>NC_000001.11:174699738-175002768 GCF_000001405.40 Homo sapiens | reverse complement strand
CTAAAGTACTCTTTTTATTATGAAGTATCCACTGAAAAAACTTAAAACTGAGACAGTTCCTCAGTTCTGTTATTGGCAGACTTGAAACCAACAAAGGTGATTCCTTTGATGCTTTTTCTGCACAAATACTTTAAGATGTCCTAGTTTCCTATCTAATTTATCATGTAATTTTCCTTGCCTTCTTGGCATGTGTTTGTTTTACGTATATAAAAATTTTATTTCTCTTTTATCCCTACCCATAAGGCATTCAAGCTTTATCTTCCTATTTCCTAATTTTTCACTAGGAGGCATTAACACCAATGTGCCTCAAAAATGGGCAAAGGAATTCAACACACATTTCTCCAAAGACACAGAAATGGACACCAAGAACATTAAAGATGCTCAACATCTTCATCATTGGGTAAACGCATATCAAATTCCCAAGATGCCACTTCACACCCAGTAGGATGGTATCATAAACCGAAAAAGAAAAATAAAACACCCCAGAAAATAACAAATGTTGATAATGATGTGGAGAAACTTTCAGAAGCTTCAAACATTTCTTACAGGAATATGATGCAACCACTCTGGAAACAGTCTAACAGTTTCTCAGAAAGTTACCATATGAACCAGTAATTCCACTCCTAGGTATATACCCCAGAGAACTGAAAACACATCCACACAAAAAACTTGGATACAGTACTCGCAGCAGCATTATTTATGCTAGTCACGAAGTGGAAATAAGGCCAGGCGCCATGGCTCACACCTGTAATCCCAGCACTTTCAGAGGCCGAGGCGGGCGGGCGGATCACTTGAGATCAGGAGTTCGAGACCAGCCTGGCCAACGTGGTGAAACCCCGTCGCTACTAAAAATACAAAAATTAGCCGGGCATGGTGGCGCGCGCCTGTAATCCCAGCTTCTCAGGAGGCTAAGGCAGGAGAATCCTTTGAACCCGGGAGACGGAGATTGCAGTGAGCCGAGATTGCGCCATTGCACTCCAGCCTGGGCGACAGAGCGAGACTCCGTCTCAAACAAAGAAGTGGAAATAAATGTCCATAAACGGATGAAAGGATAAACACAATGTGCCACATGCATATAATAGAATATTATTTAGCCATAAAGAGCATGTGTACTGATACACGCTACACCATGGATGAACTTGAAAATGTTAGTGCTAAGTTGAAGGAGCCAAAAAACAAAAGGCCACATACAGCGTGACTCCATTTATATGAAATGCCTACAATAGGCAAATTCACAGAAAGTACAAGATGAGTAGTTGTCAGGGGCTGAGGGAGGAATGGGAAGCAATTGTTTAAAACACACTACATGGTTTCTTTCTGGAGTGATGAAAATGTCCTGAAACTAGACAGTGGTGATGGCTGCACTACACTGTGAATATATTTAAACAAAAAACAAATACCTGAATTGTACACTTTAAAATGGTTAAAAACTTGAATTTTATCTCAAACAAAACAAAAATCAAGTGCCCTCAAATGTATATTTCTAAGTGCCTAAACTGAGAACGATCTCTACTTTCAAGAGGACTAACACTGAGCTATCCACCTGCAAGACTGTGAAGTTATCTCCTAGGGGCACATAGTACCCAAGACCTACCTTAAAAGACTTGTCACAAGATACCCAGATTAATACTGGAACACACAAACCTCATAGTTTTTCTTCATTTAAAGAAAAGATTTTGAGTTTAAAAAACAAAAACAAAACAAAACAAAAGCTTGGGACTCCCCAGTACTTGTTTTCATAAAGCAAATCTAGTTAATACACACCCAACACTTAACTGTGAATAACTGTCCCGTCTTCACCTCCCACTTACGCCAGGAAATGAGCAATACAAGTACTATCATTCCCATTTTCTAACTGAGCAAACTAAGTCTCCACAAAATTTAATTCTCCAACGTTCAGAGTTTACAGAGCTTTAACACAGGCCATTCGCTTTCTTACTATTAATTACAACTAACTTTCCAAGTTATTTATTTTAAAAATCACATACAGCAGATTGCTGTTTGCCAATCACTGACTTAAACACCTAGAAATCATATTTTTTAACAACCCTATGAAATGGATGCTACTGCGACACAGAGAAGCTAAACAACTTGCCCAGAGTAACACAGCTCCTCGTGTGTAGAGAAAACCTGACTAGGAGAATTCAAGTGCTAGCACTGAGAACTCACCTTCCAACCGCCCTCTACCAAGAACGACACTCATGTTTGCACCCAGCTTTGCTTGAATGAAGCTTCCTGTCCACTGGCTGGGAAACCAGGGCAGAAAGGGCCTGAGGAACACGCGCAAAGGGCCGCTCTCCCAGACCCACTCCCCGCACCGCCTGCACGGATAATCGCCGCACACCCCCGCTCGAGCCCAGCAGGCGAGTGGGGTGCGAGGTCGAGTGGAAGCGCTGGGGAGCCGACGGCGCAGCAAGGGGCGAGTGAGGTGTCCCCCGGGAAGGCGGCGCACTGACTGGCGCGGGACCGGGTGGCCGCAGGGCGGCTCAGCCCACGGAAACGGCGGTAGGGCGGGAGGCTGGCGCTGCAGCTCCAGCCGGGGGGCATAAGGAATATGGGGCCGGACCACTTACCTCTTCTGAAGCCATGGGGGCTGGGTCAGGCCGAAGTCCCGAGCTGCAGCCGCGCAGAAGGAGGAACAGGAAACCCCGCGCCGAGCCCTCAAACCGAGCGCAGACGCCTACCCGCACGAGTCGCGGCGCTGCAGCCTGCGCCCACACCGACCCTGCGCAAGATCGCGGCCCGCCTCCCGCACGCGACGGATCTCGAACCTTCGCGAGGCAGCCGCCGCCACCGCCCACCGCGAGCACGCACAGCCCGCCAAGCCTGGCTCCACCCACCCTTCCTCGCCTCGCCGAGCCTAGCCCCACCCCTCCCCGCCCCGCCGAGTCTGGCTCCGCCCGCCTGCCGAATCTCCTAGCAACGCTCAAGTCTCGCGAGCGAACCGGCAATCCGAGAAGAGTAATGTCTTGCTCTCCGCCCTGACAACTTTTATGTATTATAATTTGACCGCGCTGGGCCACGCTGCGCAGTCGCAGCTCGGAACCGCTGCGTTAACCCAGCCCCGGAAATAACGTACCGATCTTCGGAGTCCAAGTCGGAAGTTGACTAGAGAGTCACCTGCTTTCGTCCGCTCTAGGACACCAGACACACCAGGCCGCCATGTTGTGTAAGGTTAGTCTCTCAGCCTCCGCGAGAAGAAGGCGAAAAATGGGGAGGAGCAGCCTGGTTACTTTCAAACGAGAAAGAACGGATATGTTAAGCGTGGAGGGCTCCTAATGGTAGCGGTTTGATTTTCAGTGAGTTTGGCGCGGTGGAGACGTCACCGCGGTCTAACAGTTCCGACGTGGTGGCGTCATCACTGGCCGCCGTAGGAGGTGGAGCTACGTTGGCCTCGTGACCGGGCCCTGTAGCGGAAGCCCAGGTCAAGGCCCTAACAAAAGGGCCCGCCTATGGCCACAGTTTCAGGCCCTCCTTTCAGTCATGGACTGTTGAAGCACGATTTCCTGGTGCTTTCGCCCCTTTCACCGACCATTTCAAGAGTCCGTAGTTCTCGCCTGGGTTTGGATTCGGTATAAGTGAGCCTGTTTACCATCAAAGAAAATGGTGAAATGTCTTCTGGAGACGATGTTCTCTTCTGGTTCTAACCCTGTCACTCAGTGAGACCCCCAGAGAAGCCTAGTTTTCAGATTATTCTAGTCCTTGGCAGGCTCAAGATGTCAACAACACGGTTGGAAACAACCCCTGAGAGGTCACATAGCGCGCACTCAGCTTTACAGATCGTCCAAGGCAGCGACCCCTGAGAGGTCACATAGCGCGCACTCAGCTTTATAGATCGTCCAAGGCAGCAATTAGAATCAGCAACTCGGAGAGGAAAAAAAGCTGTTAGCGGAATGGAGGCTGACCATTATCTGTAGTAAAGAATCGGAAGTACAGTACAAAAATAAATTACCGAAACGCAACATGCGTGAATTTCACACAAAAAAATGAAGTTGAGGGAAAGAAGCCAGACATGGAAGAGTTCATATTGCGTGGTTCCATTTAAAAACTAGCCCATGGTGTTAATGAGCATAGTGGGGAGGACAATGACATGAAAGAGCCACCAGGGGGCTTTTGAGGTTCAGGTAATGTTTCTTGATTTGGACACTGATTATAGATAGGTGGGTTCACTTTAGAAATCTCATTGAGTTGTAAACGTATATTTATGTACGTAGTTTTTTCTGTAGATTATGCTTAAGGCCCGGCGAAGGGGAATTTGCCCAGGTAATGGAAATATTACACCGATACATAGAATTGTCAAAGTTCATGGGATGAACTCCTAAGAGCTGTGTATTTTATCGTATAAATTTTTTTAAGTGTCCAACCAATAGCCTGGAATTATTAAGTACATAATTAAATAAAAACAAATATCCCATGGACCTAATGCAGTGAACAGTTACCTCGTTCTCTTAATTGCTCAGGCTAAGGACTCATACCTGAGTCTTCTATCTCAGGCCTTACATCTTATATAACAAGCCTTACTGGCTTAATCTTCAAAATATGTAGCGAATTTAACGAGTTCTCACAACCTCTGCTTCTACCACCTGACGGGGTTTGGGACATGCTACCCAAAAATATGGCACCTAGACATATTGAATACTTTGAACTGAAGGAATTTGAGAAAGAACATATGCAGGAATGTCTCTAACTTTCTTGCACCTTTCTGCTCTGAAGCAGGACGTAATACCCTCATGTGAGAATTGCCCTGTCTATACCTGGAATAAAAGTAACATCTTTATCTCTGAAAACACAGGGACGTAGAGACGAATATGAACATCAGGCCTTGCTAAGTTTCCCCCAGTTTATTACCCTTAGATCACAGTCTTTTAGCCCCATCACATTTTCCCACAATTCTCCATTCTTCTTCAAACCTACTCTAAACAACACTAAGGTTAACTATTTATTCGGGTCTTCATTTCTTTATGAAGTTTCCATGTTATGTAAAACTAACATTAATATTTATGCTTTTCTCTTGTTAATTTGTCTTTTGTTACAGGATCCCCAGCCAGTGAGCCTAAAATGGGTAGAAGGAAAAGATATTTCTTACCCTACGCACCCAGGTCCAAGTCATCATTATTTTGTCTGAAATTTATCTTCCTAACTGATTTCTCTGCTTCCCCATTGTGCCTTAAGAGTTAGTTTTCCACAGAGCAGCTCGAGATATCTTTTCAGATCATTATATCCCTTTGCTTAAAAACCTCTAACAGCTTCCTATTAGGCTTAGAATAAAGTACAAACTCCTTAATGTGAACTTGAGTGTTTTACGTATCTTATCTCACCTTTATGAGCTTCATGTCAGAACCCATCTCTCACCACTCTTCCTTCCCCGCTCCCTGATTTAAACAGTCTGGCACTTTACTTATTCATTGAACCCACTGGGTTTGCTCTTGCCTCCAAGTCTGTACCCAGCTTTCTCTCTACCTGTAATCCTCTTCCTCTAGGTCATCACACAGATCGTTTCTTCACTCTATTTAGGTCTTTCAGAAGTAACACTAAGGGAGGCTTTTCCAGACAATATTATGCAAATATAAATGGACATGTGACAAATACTTTATTCGACTTATTAGTTACTGAGAGTGTATTTGAGTAGCCAGGTATTTATAGGCAATTTAACAATGTAATGTTAGTATAAGGTGGCAAGGTTAGATATAAACCTGTTAATGTCTCACAGGGTAATAAACTATAACTTTTGGTGTTATCTGTTCCACTGGAAAGGAAGTAGGGATTTGCATTCTTACTGGACAAAAATCTACAAGTTAATGTATAGATTCAGTATAGGACTTTTAAATCAATAGTGAACGATGAAATGAACAAAGTACAATCCCCTAGTCCTTGGTTTGACACTGAAAGGACATGCCACTCACCTTTTTGCCTTGTTTCCAAAGTTTGGAATAATTTTCCTTTCAAAATGAAATTATTTCTCATTCAGTTGTCCTATTGCAGGCAGCCTTTACTGCTTCCCCCAGTTAATGTACCTGTCAAGCTTACTCATGATTTCCTAACTGCCAAATTCAATGGATATTTTTAATTTTTTTTTTGCTATGACTCATACTGTTCCCTTCGGGCTTGTCAGCAGATAAATGACCTTCTGGGGACTGTGCAAAATATGGAATGCTTAATGAATTTGTGTGTTATTCTTGTGCAGGGGACACAACAGTCTTCTCTGTAGATTACAGTTTTAGTGTATGTGCTGTTGAAGTGAGCACTTCTGAGTAATTTTGATTGTTTTACTTTTTATGTAAAATTTCACATTGTTTAAAACACCAGATGGGGGCCAGGCATGGTGGCTCATGCCTGCAATCCCAGCACTTTGGGAGGCTGAGGCGAGTGGATTGCTTGGGCTCAGGAGTTTGAGACCAGCCTTGCCATGTGGCAAAACCTTGTCTCTATAAAAAATAGAAATATCAGCCAGGCATGGTGGTGTATGCCTGTAGTCCCAGCTACTTGGGAGGCTGAGGTGGGAGGCACTTGAGCCTGGGAGGTGGAGGTTGAAGTGAGCTGAGATCACGCCACTGCACTCCAGCCTGGGTGACAGAGCAAGACCATCTCAGAAAACAAACAAACAAAAAATACCACATGGCCAAATGAAAGATGTCTGTGGTCTGAATTTGGGCCAAAAGCTGTAATCTTACAGTCTTTGATTATTTTTTAATACATGCTGAATTCCAAGAGGAGCTGACAAATCTCTTGAGATTTCACTTGGGTTCCATGGATTCCCAGCACAAAATGCAAATGCAAATGAGATATGATTGGGATTCTCTGCACACTATCTCCACTTTCATAAGTGCCTCTGAAGTTTAGTTTGAATTTTATAGTATCTCCTACCTTGCTGTACCTTAAAGGACTAACAGCAGCTACCTGACCCAGGATTAGCCAGTCATATTTTTTCCAGAATTTGTAATTGGAACAATTGAGATGGTAGTCTTCTGCTGGTAGTTTGAAGAGAGGATATGTAAACTTGGTAGCTGTGTACTTAGAAGCAGAGAAAGCCTGTTTTCAGAGAGAAGAATGAAGCAGGTAAGTCATCTGGAAGGACAAGCAGAAGCACAATTTTGGGAACAGTTGCTTTCAGAGTCCTGATGGCATTCCAGCCCCTTGTCCTAGTGCCAGTTCAGGCCCAAGTGTTTGGCCTTTGGGACCTATGATACAGATATCCTATTTCCTTTTAATTAATTGCCTCTTAAAATTACTATTATTAAGCTAGCTTGCAAGGGTTTCTGTTACGTGGAATCAAGGAACCTCAGTAGAGAGGAAAATGAAGCACTTTGTGGTGGTGCTGCACAGGGTATCATTTTGCAGGGTATATACTGTGTGTTTTCTACGTTGACTGGAGTCTGGGGTCAGGTGTAAGAAGTGTTACATAAACATTGGGTTCAAATGAGTCAGAATAAAGTCAACTAAAAAAATAAAAAAGACATACATGGACTTCAGAACAAATGTTTATTACTGCTTAATGGGGCCAAAGGGGCAACACAAAGCATTGAAAACATCACTGGCTCACAAAAACAGTCACCTTGTTACCTTCTCAGTTGCATTTGTTTATTTCACAAGGCTTCATTCACACATAAAAACAAGATACTAATCCAATTCAAGTTCATAACGATTATAAAAGTAAACATTTGTTGGGACAATGTACAATAAATTGCACTTTTTAGACAAGCATTACATTTACATTTATAGAGTGTACTATACATAATACATGGAATTACGGAAACGTCTAATTGGTCATTGTTTATAGAGGAAGAGGCTGATCACTAACGTTTATTTTGTAGTTAATTAGTACTGTTCAGACTAATCAACTCCTTTATTCTAGAACCTGTTTTCATTAGAGATGCCATGGACAAAATAATGGAATTCATAAAAATAGACAATTCCAGAATCTCTACTACCTCCTCTGCAAGGGAAAGGTAGGAGTTAGAAAGAAAGGAAGTGGGGCTGACTGAGAAACTTTGTCCCTCATTTGAACTAAGGATCCATGCATTATGCAAAATACCAAAAATAGAGAAACTGATACAAAAGGCTTTTGGGACATCTTGGATCTGGGACCATCTCCAGCCTTATTCTTGTGCTTTCATGACACCAGAGTCTTTCGATGCATTTATATTCTCACAATTCAGTCCATATATTTTATCCCATATATAATATATAGTTATTAAAAGTTATACAGTTTAATGGAAAAGATTTTACATGTTAACTAATTGCCAATGAAAAAGGAAAATAACTTAAAATGTTCACTTTCTACTCAATGATTCTTTTTTCTTAAGCTTTTCAGAATACCACTAATGACAAACCAGAGATGGAGGTAGGAAGAATGGGATATATTAATGAAATGTTTTTATAGCAGGCAGCAAATTCAGGTGGAGATAAGCTTGACATATGTAGTCTTTTAGATGCAAACTGAGAAAGGAATGCCAGACAGCTGACTGCAGTCACTAAAATCTCCTATATGCCCACTTTTCTCATTACAACTCAAGATCAGCATCTCCTATTGAGGTGCAGCCAAGGTTGAAGTCCTCATTTTGGTCACTTTTGAAAGATAAAGAATTTGCTAAGGTAAAGGGCTTTGCCTGTATTAAATGGAAGCCATTATGAGAGAGGAAGAATGTGTTGGGACAGTTCTAGTTCAGTGTGACTATCAGCATGGCGACGAGAAAGAGTTTTATATCTGGTTGTAGGAAACAGGCTGCAGAGCTGTGGTCTGGCCTTCTGGCTTTCATCATCATTTCTTGAAATCTCAATGTGTATTTGGTTGTGTGGTACCCAGGTAAACAAAAGCAGCAGAGATACTCTATATAAAATTCTTCCAATTAAACACACATACAAACCTAATAGTGTTCAAATCATACAACAGAATTTCTTCACACTCATTTGTAATTGGAGAAAAGGAGTCAGTATTTTGGAGTGTTTTTAAGGGCAAGTTATATAATATAATCATCTTGCTAATCAAGTAAAAGTGTTCTTTCCCAGAAGATAAAACAAAACCAAGGCATTTAATTTTTTAAAAGTTTTTTCCCTTAAAGGGGCCCCCCTAATCAGGCAGGTACCTAAGTGTTTGATGCAAAGGTTGGTGGGAGAGTTAGTAGACAGATTTTAGTGAAAGTATGAAGACTTAAACCCCTACATCAGTTACACATGTGATTCTCCTGGGTGACTGGCTCACTCCTTTAAAGATGTAACTCTATCTCCTCTGCCCAAATCTGTATTGTTTTCCGTTGGTTTTCTCACTTCAGCTAGGAAATAAAGCAACTAGTTATTAACTGGAAAATATTTTAAGAAAATGGAGCAGGGGTTGGAGAAAAATAAATATTAATACATCATAGGAAAAAAATGAAACAAGATACATACTATTAAATATCCCCACATCCATACAAAGGTTGCTTTTCTACTTTACTCAGGACATTTCAGAAAGCCAATGAAGAAGTACTAATTTAACAGCTGGGAGAGGGGCAGAAGACACTGGTTGAATGGCATTCCTATTAGTGTTCCTGATAGGCACTCATAAATAAACAGAACATTAAGTAACAGAATTTCTTTGCATTAAATTATATGTAACTAAATAAAACCAAATTTTGACATGGTTCAGGATGTGGGAAGCTAGCAAACATATGCACTGCAAAATCCAGCTTGGTTTCTTTCAGATTTAAAGACGTGTTTAGATTCTCAAGATACAAAAGCTGATGAACTGAATTATGAAGTTGAATTTCATTCATTTAATTTTTTCCACAGAATTTAATGAAAATAGAAATGATCAATTCTTAGATACTGCAAATATTAGATTTTCAGAGGAATGTTTTGTACAGAGTGCATCCTAGCAAAGGATGAAAAACACTAGAATGTTTTGAAACTTTCCTGGATATTTGGCTGGTTAATCTCTTCTAAGTGAAATTCAAGAGAAGAGATGCAATTCTCAAATATATCTCAAAATAACTAAAATTAAAACTAGGAGTTACTTCATGCTGGGATGCATGAGTTTTCCAACAATAGACAGTGAAGGACATATTGTTTGGAATATTGCTATTATAACATATTGTATGAACAATCATATCACATACCAAATTCTGAATTTTCTTTGTTTCTAGTCTTTACTATTGCTACTGACTCAAAGGCATTGCAGTGAAGGAGAGTTTAGGCTTATGGTACCAACAGGCATACCCAAGTATGATATGGGGCTGGAGAATAAAAAAAAAAAAAATATGTATTGCCCTCGTAATCTTTTGAAAGAGCTAAAAGAAAACTCAAAAGATGGACTTATCAAACTTGAGAGGTATGTACCTGGTGATTTTTCGAGACGGAATTTTGCTCTTGTCGCCCAGGCTGGATGGAATGTAATGCCGTAATCTTGGCCCACTGCAACCTCTGCCTCCTGGGTTCAAGTGATTCTCCTGCCTCAACCTCCCGAGTAGCTGGGATTACAGGCACCCGCCACCAAGCCCGGCTAATTTTTGTATTTTGCAGTAGAGATAGGGTTTCACCATGTTGGCCAGGCTGGTCTCAAACTCCTGACCTTAGGTGATCCACCCACCTCAGCCTCCCAAAGTGCTGGGATTACAGATGTGAGCCACCATGCCTGGCCAGGGGGGATTTTTCTCTTCTCCTCTTTAAAAGGAAAGGGACTATGAAGTTGAACAAGGTCTTTAGATAAGGGATTGACCTAGAGCCATTATGTTTCTCCCTCACCTACTATTATTTAAAGAAAATTACACACTTTAGGCATTCTGTGGAATGTACTTATTTTTGTAAATTGAAACAAGCTCTGTACAGAACTATGAAATTCACAACACAAAAGAGCATCTTTAATTTAGCTGGCCATTTGATAAGGCAACTGCACAAGGCTTCTTGGAATCAAAGCGTAAAGTACCAGTAAAGCTAACAGCCTATACTAAATGATTTACAAAAACAAGCGCCAAGATAACATTTTCTAGCTATTACATTTTACAAAAAAAAAAAAAAAAAAATTAGCTTATCTAGACCACCATGTAGAGAATGTTAAAGCCAACACAGACACTTGGAATGCTGGGTTATGTTCCTTTTTGTTAAGAAAATAAATTTTGTAATGAAAGATGTCAGAACAACAATGAAAGATTTATGTAAGAAAAGTATTATCTGATGAGTATAACATAACAATCACATCAGTTTTATGGGCTGTAGAGAATATAAACACAGATAAAGGGGATTTCACTTTTTAGAACATAAAAGATCATTTTAGAGGAAAAGATCCACTGTGAGCAACTTGGTGCATCCTCCTGGGATGTAGATGGCTCTTATTTGATTCTTCTAAGGGTGTGTTACTTTTAATTGCAAAATATGGCACAGATGAGAATCATTCTGGCACTACAGAGTTTAAGATTCTTTGCAAATAATATGTTCAACAATGAGGCCAATGATTAATATCAACAAATGTTATTGTACATATCTAATAGTAGTTTGGTTGGTTTGAAAGGATCAGAGGCCTCCAAAATAGTTTATAAAATAAAAATAGTTTTGCTCTTATCAAATAATTTCCTGCAAGGACTATTTTTATAGGCATGTTAAATATAATTGAAAAAATATTTCCACTAATTTTTAAACAATAGCTTTACCTTTCCATGAGATAAGTATTTCTGTAAAGGTTTTATATTCAATCAAAAATGTTACAAATGCATTTGTATCTCTTTATGGGTACGAAGGACACATTTTCAGGGAACTACAGAAATCAGAAAAAGTTGCCCAGCATTAAACTAAGATGATGTGAGCCTGACCTCTATTTCCCATTTCAATACTATGTCCTTTAACAAAGTTACAGTATTGTTAGTGTTTCCTTAGCAAGTATATATCAACGTTAAATGAAATACTCTGTCCCTGGTTCTATATTCCACTCTATTCAGCACAATGGCTGAACCTGGGGCTTTTTAGGCGTCTCTGGTAAAGGCTCCCTAAGTCTGTAAGGTGCAATATCCACCTTTAACTTTATAATTGCCAGAAGTCACATCTGTGTCCATACTTTGGTGTACTTAGGAACTCACAAGTCCTATGTGGCATTCTTAAAAGGATCTGTTAGAATACCACAGCCCAAATGATCCTGACCTACACTTATTAAAATTTCAGTTCCTTTTACCTAGCGTATAATCTGAACAGCCCGTCTATTCCTGGCACTTCATTTCCAGATGTACCGAACAGAAAATGAAAGTAAACCAATGATCGCTGATTGGTTCTTTCCTTTGGACAGGATTAACACTTCCCTGGGAATCAGGCTCAGGAGGAAACCTGAGAGTGGTCATGCCTGGCCCCACAGTGTGCTTTATCTGAATAAATCCTGAAAACTTAAGATGTTTAGGTTTCAATTTTTTTTTTCCTGTGACAAAGATCTTCTTATCACTTCAACCTTGGAATAACAGATGTCTCCATTTTTATGTAAGATAAAAATAATTATGAATAATTCTAAATAAAAAAGCATTTAGTTCTGAATTACTTATTTCCAACTAAACATCAGGCAAACAAAATAATGTGTAATACTATGATGGATCTGAACATGGCCTTCCAGAAGCTGGAAAATAGGTATTCAACATAGAACAGGTCAGTTTAAATAGCATCCCTTTGAAAAGTGTCATACAAGAAAGAGTGAGAGCTACTGAAAAATTCTGGCTTGTTTTCTGGCCTCCTTGACTTTCCTTCAAAGGGACACCAGGAAGAATCCTCCCAGATTTCCATTGGTTTGAACATTGTGCTCTTGTGCTTGGGTAAGGCTGGAACTATGTGCTCTCCTTGGGTGGCTGGGTGACCGGTGCTGGCTGCAATGGCTGGGTGCCCGTGGCCGTTTTGATAGAGTTCAGGGTTTTGCTAAACCAAGAGTTTTTCGCAGCTTGGATTTCATTCATAAGGGCTCCTCTCTGATGTTCAAGTTCCTAATTAAAGCAAGAAAATCATCTGAGTTAAATAAATGTTTTCTCTTTGCCAATAAATAAATAAAAGTGTGCAGCTTTTTGGAGTCTCAAGGTATGTGCTGCCAATTTTCCTCCCACAAAACCCAGGAGAGATTGAATTGGCTTCTTAGTACAAGGATAAAGTTAAGAGCTAAAAGACTTATCAAAAATCTAGAATCTGTGCTTTCTTTAAACAGTGAAAGAAAAGCTCATTTTATTCTTTTTTTCCCTGCAAGTTAGGTCCAAATTTAGGTTTAGGTTGCAATCCGATATAACAGGTTTAAAAACCACAAATAAATGTAAACATATGGATGAATTTTTACTGATAGTAGAAGCATGAATGAATTCCAGTTCCAAAGAAATAGGCTTTGCCCTAAGAATGTCCAAGGTCAGAGCAGACACATGGTGGAAGCTGGCTGGTGTGGTGGAGGCTGGTGACATGGCAGCCATGGTGCTGGTAGGGATCACTGGGAAAATGAAATGAAGAAGAGTCCATCAGAAGCCAGGACTATTTCTAATTATATTATGCGCCAATATGGAGAAAGATAATGGGGAAAGAGGTTTGACAAAATGAGCTAAAGATAAAAAGAAGCTCTAAAGGAAAGAACGGGTGTCAGCCAATGTGTGACTCTCAGGGTAGACACAGCAGAGGGGGTTTGGTTTTTCATTTTCAGGATCAGCCACTGAAGTGACCACATTCTGTGAGAAAGGATGTAAGCAAAAAATCTCAGGGTAAAAAAAACAAGCATATGCTTAATTAAATTCCCATAAGATATAATTTTAATTATTAAAATTTCATTTAAAATTATATATTTGTTTATATCAGCGTTAAGAATACATGATATAAAATGTGATTATGCAGGACACATTAGCAGACAGAAAATGTATTCATCATACAATTCTGACCTAGATAGGTGTATTCTGAAGTACTAGAGTATCCTGGACCATTAATTGTTTATTCTTTCTTCTTGTTCTTTTATCAAATCACCAACCTGAATTTTACACTTGGCCTCCACCAACTGCAGTTTGGTTTGTGCCAGTTCCAGTTCCATCTCTCTCAGCTGCTTCTTAAGTGAGTCCTTCTCATCATCTGTTTCAATTCCCTGGTCCTCTCTGCCTGTGGCTGCTAGTTTCAAAGCACCCTCCTTGCTGAAAATGTCACTGCAGTGTTTGCATGCCATCATCTTACCCTAAAGTATCCAAAAGAGATAACCAACATCAAACTATTCCATAGGCTAAATCACCTTCTGAAACAATTTATGACTTTTTTAGATGCTGCTTATTGTCATAGATGCAGGCCCATTTCTGAAGGTTAATTATTTTTCTTGTGCTGCAATCAAAATCATTAGCCCGAACCCAACTATCCAAGACGGGTGCTCCTTTTTCCTGAAGTATCTCTAGAAATACCCTAGAAATAGAAGGTATTGTAGCATCTCTTTGAAATCTGTTCTAGAAATTTTATGCTATCATTATTCTTACTAGATGCCAAGCCCCACACCAAATGCTTTACTTGTAGTATTTCACTTAATCCTAGAGCAACTGTATAAGTAAGCACTATCATCATCCTCATTTCATAAAGAAACTCAGAGTTTAAAGAACTTGCCTGTAGTAGACTGAGGAAGGTCATCATGACTAACCTAAATCTACCCTTGCAACAAAGCACATGTCCTGTTGTTGAATTTTAAGCAAAGAGGACCCCTGTTGCTTAATAAAAGTAACTCCGGCCGGGCCTGGTGGCTCACGCCTGTAATCCCAGCACTTTGGGAGTCCAAGGCAGGCAGATCACAAGGTCAGGAGATTGAGACCAGCCTGGCTAACACGGTGAAACCTCGTCTCTACTAAAAATACAAAAAATTAGCCAGGCATGGTGGCACACGCCTATAGTCCCAGCTACTCGGGAGGCTGAGGCAGGAGAATCGCTTGAACCCGGGAGGCGGAGCTTGCAGTGAGCCGAGATCGCGCCACTGCACTCCAGCCTGGGCGAGAGAATGAGACTCCATCTCAAAAAATAAAAATAAAATAAAATAACTCTACCACATGCCCGCATTGCCAATCGGGCACACAGCACTAAACAACAGCAACTGTTTTCCAGACAATAGTACTGTTGTTTACTTATTTTCAAAAATAATTCAATAGAGATAAAAGATATTACATGCTATTTCTACTTTGATGCCCTACTGCTACAAGCTCAATGTGTCCATCACCGTGCCCATCCTCCTCTCTTCACACACACAAAAAGCAACTCTCCACCACACTTTTGTGCCACTGGGCATGTCTCCACCATTTGGGCCTGACGACTTTGGATCATCTTTTCATTAGCTCCTCTTTCATCCCATGTCCAGCTGACCATTAATTTCTTCCTCTTGGGCCAGGTGCAGTGGCTCATGCCTGTAATACCACAACTTTGGGAGGCTAAGGTGGGTGGATCACGAGGTCAAGAGAGCGAGACCATCCTGGCCAACATGGTGAAACCCCGTCTCTAGTAAAAATACAAAAATTAGCTGGGCATGGTGGCGGGCACCTATAGTCCCAGCTACTCAGGCGGCTGAGGCAGAAGAATGGCGTGAACCCGGGAGGCGGAGCTTGCAGTGTGCCGAGATCGCGCCACTGCACTCCAGCCTGGCGACAGAGCAAGACTCCGTCTCAAAAAAAAAAAAATTTCTTCCTCTGACATGTCTGAGCTCTTGCCATTCCAGGCCAAATCCCTAGGGGTCACCTTCTCAGTACTCACTGGCTTCCTTCTCATCCCATCCATAAACCACTCTTCGTATTCCTTTTCATTAATATTAATTAGACATGTAAAAACAAAACTTGTCACTCTCTTAAGAACCTCTGAGAATAATTAGCCCAGTATAGGCATATTGTAAATATTTGTTGTGTATTTACTGTTGACTAAAAATGTTAAAGAAATAGTTTTGATCTGAGTCTTAAATGATTAAAAGTTTACCAAGCTGGCTAAGTAATTTTATTAGGTTGAACCACCTGAAGAAATAGATTGATCACTTAAGAGGGAGGATGACATTTCAGCAAAGAGAACACCACCATGTGCAAAGACATAGCACCTTCAGATAACTTCAAAGAATTTAAAATGGCTTAAGCAGAAAGCGATTCAACAATGAGCGAGATGAGAGATCCCTGTGGCCAGGTCATAAAGGTCCTTAAATACCATGTTGCTGAATTCTGATTTTATCCTACAGAAAATGTATTCATTTACTCTACCGAGCCTCGTGCTACATGTCAAAGATAGAGCAATAAGTTTGACAGAGCTGCAGTCTGGCAGACCTGCTAAAATGTGGTGGATACTGCTGATTCTCACCCAATATCCATTTCTCCTTCTTCCTTACTAACAGACCCTGAGTTTATTTCAGCTGGCAGTGTGTCTAGATAAAAGGTGACACTCCCTAAATTCCCTCAAAGCTGCTATGTAAGCAGAAGTTTAGAGGGGAGCTTCTAAAAAGGCTGCTTAGAAAGAGCTCACCCAGGAGAATGAGGCCTTTATATCCTGCATCTCCTTTTGGACTAAAATTCTGCCATAGAGTATGGGTGTGATGGTGGGAGCTCTAGTTGAAAGGATTGGTTTTGTGCTGGGCACGGCGGCTCATGCCCGTTAATCCCAGCACTTTGGGAGGCCGAGGTGGGTAGAACATGAGGTCAGGAGTTCGAGACCAGCCTGGCCAACATGGTGAAACCATGTATTTTGTATTTTTCTACTAAAAATACAAAAATTAGCCGGGTGTGGAGGCGCGTGACTGTAATCCCATGTACTTGGGAGGCTGAGGCAGGAGAATAGCTTGAATTTGGGAGGCAGAAGTTGCAGTGAGCCAAGATTGTGCCATTGCACTCCAGCCTGGGCGACAGGGCGAGACCCCGTCTCAAAAAAAAAAGAAAAAAAGAAAGGAAGGATTGGTTTTTAGGTGACCTTGAGGATAGAAGTCCACATGACGATGTAGGTCACTAATGACTGATTAGCTTGGGTTACTAATGACACCAAAGATATACCTTTCTAGTCCTAGGCTGCTTTTATGTAAAATAATCAACACCTTTTATGTTTAAGCCAATGCTATTTTGGGTTCCCTATATGTGGCCAATCTAATTCTGCATTGATACACAGAGTGATAGTCAAATATCACTTTATATTTGGGAACACTCATTCTGATTATAGTGTAAAGGATGAACTGGGGGGTGATCATGACAAAAGAAGGTTATTACAGGAAACTGAAAAAACCAAAAGCTATTTATCATACCAAATGAGATAGGAGGAAGCACTAGAGAAAGGGGAGGTAGTATAGTCTAACAGCTAATGTTATTGACTTTAGAGTCTGACTTCCAGGCTTAAATCCTGGTTCTACTAGCTGTGTAACCTTGATCAAATGAATTACCTGTTTGCGACCTTATCATCAATAAAAAAGAAGCTTTACTGTCTTTTTCTTTTTTAATTTTGTACCAGGCTCTTACTGTCACCCAGGCTGGAGTGCCATGGCATGCTCACAGTTCACTGCAGCTTCAGCCTCCTGGGCTCAAGCGATCCTCCCACTTCAGCCTCCTGAGGAGCTGGGACTACAGGTGCATGCCACCACATCCGGCTAATTTTTGTATTTTTTGTAGAGACAGGGTTTCACCAAGTTTCCCAGTCCAGGAGTTTCACCAAGTTGAACTCCTGGACTCAAGTGATCCGCCCACCTCAGCCTCCCCAAAGTGTTGGAATGACAGGCGTGAGCCTAGTTGTTCTTCTTTATTCTGGCTAAGACAAGTTTACATTCCTCTTCCTGAATGTCATGGCCTTTCATTAGGTAGTCTCACCTACTTAGCCAATATTTTCCTCTGTTCCTTAATACATATTCTAATCACATCAGTCTCTGTAATGAGACACTGAAATACTCATTCCTGTGTTTGCGTCTTCACTCACATCATTTCTTCTATAATGTTCTGTTTAAACACTTCTCTCTAACTAATTTCTATCCACCCTGCTTTAGTCCAATCTCCATAAAGCCTTTTTTGGTCTATAGTTCTCATGATTTTGTTTTCTCTACAATGCTGATTGTCATTGTGATCCAACTTAGCACTTTTTTTGTTTGTTTTTTGTTTTTTTGAGATGGAATCTCACTCTGCTGCTCAGGCTGGAGTACAGTGGCACAATGTCGGCTCACTGCAACCTCTGCCTCCTGGGTTCAAGTGATTCTTGTGCCTCAGCCTCCAGAGTAGCTGAGATTACAGGTGTGAGCCACTATGCCTGGCTAATTTTTGTTATTTTTAGCAGAGACAGGGTTTCACCATGATGGCCAGGCTGGTCTTGAACGCCTGACCTCAGGTGATCTGCCCACCTCAGCCTCCCAAAGTGTTGGGATTACAGGCGTGAGCCACCACACCTGGCCCAACTTAGCTCCCTTGAACTGCTTCCGAAGTTCTTAATTTGCATGTATACATAACTTGTCCTACAGGAAAATTTTAAGCTCCTTTTCATGTGTAATTTCTATAACAAAATGGCAGTCTAATAGCTATGCACATAGTATATGCTCAATAAAACCTTTGCTGAATAATCAATATAAATTCTCATTTTGTTATTTCCATAAAGATTTCAGTTTAGCACTGAGAACACATGGACACAGAAGAGGGGAACAACACTCACCAGGGCCTGTTGTTGGGGGTGGGGACTGAGGGGAGGGAACTTAGAGGATGGGTTAACAGGCACAGCAAACCACCATGGCACACGTATACCTATGTAACAAACCTGCACCTTCTGCACATGTATCCCTTTTTTTTTTTTTTTTTTTTTGTTAGAAGAAATACAAAAAAAATTCACTTCAGGAGAGTTAACCCCTTTATGCCATTCAACTTCATCAACTGAATCTTGGTCAGTATGCCTATAATGTACAAAGAGTGGTAAGTGCTAACTAGAAAGAAGTGCAAAAGTAGACCAGAAAGGGAAGATACAAACATCAAATTTTAGCACATCAGAGAGGGAGAACACCAAACCTTATACTCACTAAATCTCTCATTGACATTTTGTAACATGAGTAAGAAGAAAATACTTTTGGAATACAAGGTCTTGTATGTCAGGTACTAATATAAGCACTTTATATACACTATGTACTTTATATTCATTATCTTATTTAACATTCAGAATGATTTTTTGAGGCAGGTAATGTTATCTCCATTTTATAGAACACAAAATGAAGCTTAAAAAGGTTAAATCACTTTTCAAGATTGCTAAATTACTTACTACACATTTATTTACTAGTATGAAACCTGAACATATTCAAATAAGATGATGTCAGGTTTCTGTAACACTGGTCCCAAAAGTTGACTATGACAATATTGCCTCTTAAGAATACCAATCCATTGGTTTACTGTTGTTTCTATGGAATAAGCAATCTGTTTTTTTCAAATAGAGCATCAACATAATGCATTTTACCACCAGGGGGCAGCAAGTAAACAAATGCCACAGGTTTTCTTTAAAAATAAACCTCTAAAAACTTAGTGCAAGAATCAGTTACCCAACACATGTTTTTCCAGCTAAGTTCTATATTGCCCATGGTGTTTACTTATAAAGAGAGTGATGGGATGATCCTACTGAGTCCCATACTGAAGCCACATCAATGCAGGCTCAGTCAGATGTGGGCTGCTGAGGGTTCTCAGGTTCATACCACTCTCATCTCAAGCTCTGGGGCTTCTTGTGACAATGTCAAATCCTACTTCCTTTCATGTTAGCTGCCTCTGACAGTCCATATGATTTATGGGAGCATCATAACCTTTCACCTGGTAGGGAAGACAATCACACCTGGTCAGAAGAGAGGTATCCTAGTCTCCATAATTCCTATTAATAAATCCTTTAATACAAAATGGTGGTGTTTGGGGTTCTTTCAGGTACTTACAAGCCTGTGTGACTTTGAAATAAATTTTATCACAGCACGATTTCACTCCTTACCTTTACCACTTCCAGCTCCTCCTTGCTGGCTGCTTGCTGTTTCTCCAGCCTGGTACTCAACTGCGAACAGATCTAAGGATGAGAAAAGAGTCTTTTACTAGAAAACAGAACAACTCTTGCAGCATGTACACATAACTACTTATCAATTCATGTGTTATGCTAGCACATCTGATCCTAGAAGGAATTTTACAAATGAATAGCACTGCAAATGCCAGTCATTTCGGAAATGAGCAGCAGAAAGCTGGAGCGTTCCATATGTAAAGCACACTCTACCTTAATTAGTAGAAACATACGGAGAGTAGATTTGGTTTCTTTCTGTCACTAGCCTTCTGTGACTGGTTCAAGTGAATTCCTGGCCTCACTTTTGGAATTAACCTATAGAATCTTTGCTGAGTATTCACTTTGTACAAGTTAGTATGCTGAGAAAATCTTGATGAAAAGAATTCTAGACAGAAATATCTCCTTTCTACTGTCACAGAAAGAACCTGTTTTCAATCACAAAAGTTTCCTTAAGAAGTGGCAGAGTGATGTTCTCACTCATAAGTGGGAATTGAACAATGAGAACACATGGTCATAGGGAGGGGAACATCACACACCGCGGCCTGGTGGAGGGGTAGGGGACTAGGGGAGGCATAACATTAGGAGAAATACCTAATGTAGGTGACGGGTTGATGGGTTCAGCAAACCACCACGGCACGTGTATACCTATGTAACAAAACTGCATGTTCTGCATGTGTACCCCAGAATTTAAGGTATTAAAAAAAGGTGGCAGAGTGGATAAAACAAAGTTAAAATGACCAGAAAATAATACAGACTAAAACTCTTATTAAGTAGGTTTGGCAACATAGCATAGAAATTAAAAACTTAGCTGCTGGAGTTAAATGTGAGTTTAAGGCAGGCCAGCTCCATTTCTTTATAGCTTTGTGAGCTTGGGCAAAGTCATTAATCTTTCTAAGACTCAGTTTCCTCATGATTGAAAAGTGCTGTGCTATAGCAATCAAGTGGAAAAAAAAGTATGCAAAGGGGTTAGCATAGCACTTGGCCAATAGTAAGTGTACATTAAATAAAATATATTCTTCTTATTGATTCTGAAATAAGGTGCTAACAAGTATTAGAAATGGTAGAAATAGGTGCTTTCAAAGGAAAAAATCTAGATAAATAAGTATTGGATGTTCAAATCCATTGTCTGAAATAAGAATCTTTTATTTTAGAAAAGTGGATGAAAGGTGGGAGGATCGCTTGAGCCCAGGAGGTCAAGGCTGCAGTGAGCTGTGTTCAGACCACTGCATTCCAGCCTGGGTGACAGAGCAAGACCTTGCCTCACAAAAAAAAAAAAAAAAAAAAAAAAAAAAAAAGATGGAAAAACAGGGGATGTGAAATTTTAAAGTATAATTTTGGATAAAAACATATATGGTCTACCTCTATTATCAAAACAGACATTTAAAAAATCCCACCCAGTCTACTCAAAAATAGCTCTGGTGATGAGGGCTTGCTTGCTGAGTTTAGTTTGTTGAGTTTCATTCCAATTTCTCCAGATCCAAGCCTGAGGAACCATTAGTAGGACGGTATTGACTGATGTTAAAAAGAAGAGATCACCATGGTAGATTCTGCAAACCTTAAACCCTTTTAAATAAGCCAAAACATTATGCATAGAGCCAGTAATAGCCAATTCCAACTATAGAATGCATTTAGATTGTGTCTTATATCCTTATCTTCAAACAGATGGGTCTGTTGCCTTTTGCATTATTTCAAGGGCTTGCCAGATAATATTCAAGAATAGTCCCCAGGATTACTATTTGAAGAGTGCTGCATTTGGTGGCCACCCATGGCATAATCTGGCAATGAAAAACATGCATTTGTAGCAATGGGAAATTCCACAGCACATAGTCTTTAATGTTCCTTGTATTGGTTAATGTCTACCACCTCTTCTCCTAGATGCCCACATTCGGCATCTCAGATCACCTTCAAGGTTTTCTCGTCTAGCAAAAAAAAAAAACAAAAAAAACTGTCTTTTGTGTCTCCCTTTTCTCTATTTTCGTTAGTTATTTAGTTCAGGGACCTGGTTCTTCTTACAGTTGGACTCTGGTATTCGCGGTCTGTCTCCTTGGTTCCACATTTCTTACTGGGACAGATTAGTGCCAATAATATGTCTTTGATTATGCCACTTTCCTGCTCAAAAAGATCCTACCACAAACAAAATAAAATCCAAGGTCCCAAGCCTAGCCCTGAAGACTTTCCTTGATCTGGACCCTAACGTCCCTTTGCTTCTCTTTTGTACCGGAATCTCTTACCAAATGAATTATTTTTCTCTTCACTAATCTACTTCCATGCCTTTGCACATCCTGTTCTCTCTTTTCTACCATTTCCATCCTCTTCTTTATCTTCTTTATCTCTACAGATCCAAGTCTTACATCGCCTTTGAAGCACAGCTCAAAAGGTTTCATTTCCCACATGTAATAAGTTTCCTTTCCTCTTATTTCTACGTAGGTATTACCTCCACATTATATGATAAGCTTCTAGAGAAGAAAACTTGAATTCATTCATCTTTTTGTCTGTCAAAGTATTAAGCCTCACAGAGAGCAGGCATTAAATAAACATATGTTGATTATCATAGAAGAGTAAAATAGCTCTAAAGTTTTATTTATCAATCGTCCGTGAATATGCGGATTCCTTATGGAAAGATGTTCATAATGTATTAGTGAACTAAAGCTAGTTACAAAAAAAAAGGATAAACAATACAATTCATCCTGTTTATATATATTTTAAATTTATTTATAAAGCATTTGTATAGCAACAATGCATATTCAATATATTACAATGATTAGCTAGAAAGACTGAGGGAGATTTGTTTTCTTTGTGCTTCTCTGCACTATTCTAATTTTCCACAAGAACACAAATTTAATTTATAAGCAAAAAAACACATTTTTTTAAAAAGTAAGTATCAGACTTCAGAGTCCTATGTGAAGTAGAAGACCCCAGGGAAATCTTTAGATCAAAAGATGGCATATGGTACTTTAATTAATTCTAGAAACCTGGAATTTGAACAGATAACTCAGGGTCTCAGCAATGAGAGGAGTCCTTGCCATGTCCAGCCAACAGGAAGGACAGGAAGATACCAGTAGATACCAGGAAAGAGGGCTTTCTGAGACCACTATGGTGATGGGGCCAGAAACATCCTCAAGAAGATGAGCCCTTTGTTAAAAGCATTTTAAGGTTCACAATAGAAAGCTTCCTGCTAGCATTGGCCTGCAGAGGGGAAGGCCACATAGCCATGTAGGAAAAAGAGTGCCTACCACATTCTGTACCATGGTAGCAAAGGGCACACTGATCCCCTAGCTACTGCCATTTAATACAATAACTAAACTTCACAAAGAGGCAAATGTTCCAAGTGTGATCTACTGGAAATTAGCTTCTGACTAAGGCAGAAACAGGATCTCAGTAGTCATCAAAAGGTTTTTCTATTCCTCTAAATCTACCCAACACTGTAAACAACCAATAGATTGTTTTGGTCAGTTAGACCTCCCAAGTTATCAGTTATAAGTAATAAGCTATAAGTAATAAGTTATAAGTATGTCCAACCAGTGTCTGCTTCAAAGGAGACAGTGAGTCACCAAATTTAATAAATCTGGAAAACTATTCTGGAAACTTTAAAAACAAAAATATTTCTTCCCCCAAAGAAAAACAACAACAAAATAATTACTTTTTTATTTTTATTTTTTTAGAGACAGGGTCTTGCTCTGTTGCCCAGGCTGGAGTACAGTGGTGCAATCATAGTTCACTGCAGCCTCAAACTCCTGGGTACAACTGATCCTCCTGCCTCAGCCTCCCGGGTAGCTGGGACTACCGGCACATGCCACTGTGCCTGGCTAACTAAAAAATTTTTTTTCCTTGTAGATATGGGGTCCTGCTATGTTGCTCAGGCTAGTCTCAAACTCCTGGCCTCAAGCAAAAAAAAAAAAATTACTTTTATAGCAGCAAACTATAACTAGCTCTATGTGCCACAGAAGTACATTACCTGTTTATACTCAGCAATGATAGCTGTAGTCTTCTTTATTTCATATTCTGCCTTCTCTAGCTGTTTCCTGAAGACTTCTTTTAGCTAGAAAGAATAGAATGAGAAATATCAGGATTTAGCCAAAATCTTAAATTTTCACAAACATCTATATTCAAGTCTGTCTGATTCATAGTCAGTAACAATGGTAACAATGTTAACTATATAAATTATCTTCATGGAAGCTGCATCTTGATAATCTGAAAAAGTCAATCATCTCCAGAGATGCAGAAACCTTACTTTCTTTTCTGTAAAATATGAGACATATGAACAACACCATTATAAAATTGCTTATGCTTGCTACTTCTAAACATATTGCTAAATAAGTATCCATTCAGAAGCTATCTTTATCCTTATAAGAGTCTAAAACAAAACATCAAGGCAATACTGCATGCTAAATTTGTTACTCTTGATGTTATAAATTACTGAAAAAAATCATTGTAGGCCTCCTTATTTATAGTCTACCTTTACTGCTGTTACCTCTCTGGAGGCAGAAACAAGAGGCTTTGGGGACTAGAGTTAGAAAAGACGGGGGAAGATAAGAGTTTTGAGAAGGACAGGAGATTCAGGGACTAAAGAAACTGACTTTAGAAGGAGCTAAAGTGACACATAATGGCAGGTACCTGTTACAGTCACTGAAATGTTAAATTATGAATGCTATAGTTATAACCACAGTTATTTTTGTGGCCCAGCAGCTCTAGAATTCTAGGTATAGGGGAAAATTAAGGTGATGGAAAAGCTCAGGTGCTACCAGATACAAAGGAAAGAATTAAATTCTGCAAGTTGTTGAACAAACAAGTAATGAAACAAACAAAAAACAACTCTGCTTAAACTTTAAGTACATAATCAGAATAAAGAGATGCGTTCTGCACTAAAGCATCCCAAATTATTAATGGCGTATACTCTGTAATTGCTAGTTCATAAATTATTGCAATTTATAATAGCACTCATTAGATTTCTGAATTTCTTCATATCTGTTAGATTCTAAAATTCTAAAAGCAATTGGTAAGTTATAGTGATCTACACTCAGTTGTTTATATTGATCTTTATTCTCTATCTGACATAATTTAAGGACATAAACAATAACCTTCTCGCCTTCCACGATAAGGCCCCATAGATGTTAGGACAGACTTGGCTGGCTGAGAGTCTTTGAGCAAGGGTCACTAAATTTATCTAAGCCATAGTTTCCTCATCTGAAAATGAGAATAATCCCTATTTTACAAGGGTACCATAATGATTAAAACAGTTACACACACACAGATGCACATGGAGGGGAGGAAGGGTGCAAAGCATCTTGCATTGTTCTTGCAACATACTAGGTGAGTATTCAAGTGTCATATTCCTTCCCATTTTAGGTATCAATTGCTTACAGGCTAGTATATATGTCTATGGAACCACGGAGCAGGTAGAACCTGGGTTAAATTTACTTGCCAAGAGCCTTATGCCTCATCTAGAGTAGCTTAAGTGGCCCAAAGATGGCAGGAAGTAAAGAAAAAACAAAACCCATTAAGGAGCCTAAATAATCTAAAACTGGGTAATCAGCCCCTGAAAATTTTTGAGTAGGTAAGAAATATATATCCTGGGCCGCTGTAAATGCCAAAGACTCATTAAATCAGATTCCAAGGAAAAAGAAACCATGGAACACTTTTTATAAAGTCTGGAAGGTGCTAAATGACACATTCCTCCACATGTAACTTTAGTGGAACTTTTTTTCTGGTTGCTTGGATGTAGATCCTTGAAATGCTTTATGCTGTGCTTTAAGTTTAGTATTACTGATGTCTCAGAATGAAACTCATTAAAATAAGCTAATCACGATTTGAGATGCTTCCTCACTTTATAAGTTAGCTACATTAGTAAAATTCAAACACACTCTTGGCAGAAGACTTCAATTGTTTGTGATGAAACTCTGACTCATAATCTAATCTGTGTCAGGCCCCTGGCTGGGACTGACAGGGGTAGAAAACACTGATGAAGCAGCATGTTCTTCCTTGGGGAAGCGGAAAGCTCCAATTCCTTGGGCCCATAGGCCTCTCTGCCCCTATCCTATACTGCTTTGCACTGGTGGCATTTTCTGGCTAATTAGCCTTACAGCTCCCATGAAGAGTGTAGGGTGCTAACTTCAAGGCTGGTTCCCAAAATGTTTCTTTATATTCCCCCAGGAAATAGGTTTGAAAGCTTAGCCAGGAATACTGATGCTGCTTAAGGTGTGAATCAGGAAAATGAAGTGTGACTGATTGCGGCAGGGGCTGTGTGGCAACTCCCAGCAGAGATCTCTGTAGGCTTTCGGTTTAACAATGCTCATAAACTACTTCAGAGAAGTCAATTATCTTGGAGATACAACACAAAATTTGCAGATTTGTCAAAGCTCTTGGATCATAATTCCAAGTTACTAAACTTAGAGAAAACTCAACACTCTTGCTAAATATCTCAGTAAAGGCAAATTCCTAAAAGCTGTTCAAGGGTAGAAATACTGCCTCCTCTTTTAACACCCTTCAAAAAAAAAATGTCAGAAATGTTGAACAAAAATGTTGAGTAAGTACACTCAACTACTTACATTACTGCTTTAACATCACCTTTGATTTAGAAGAAATTTAATTTTCCTTCTTTTTTATAGTGTTAATTCCCTACCAACATACCTTTGTAAAGAAAAGCCTACATATTATTCCTTTTACCTGGGCAGTCTCTTCCTCTTGCTTCCTCTTCTCCTCTTCAGTCTCCACCAGCCTCTGTTTGGTCAAAAGGAGCTCTTTATTCAACACATCTGCCTTGTCTTCTGCCTGCAAATCATGGTGCATCACAGTCATACATCACAGTCATACAGAGGGTAAAGAAAGTGTGTGGAAATCTTCTCCAAACCCAATCTTCAGTTGCTGTTCCAAAATTATTGCAAGTCATTATTTTCCCTCCTAGCTCAACCAAGCGATGGCTGCTTTCACTGAATGCCAACTATGTGCCATCTAGTTGGCACACATTATTTCTAATCCACACACCAACAATAATTTTACAGATTATGACAGTGAGGTTTGGAAAGATCCAACAAACTGTCTGGGGTCACACATCTAATAGAGTCATGATCTGAATTCAGATTTGAATAACATCAAAGTCCATCCTCCTTCTAAATGCTTCTTACAGATTTTTAGATGTTACAGCAGCACTCACTCTGTGTAGATGGATCTGATGAAGGGGTAGAGCCTCACACAGAAACTTCCAACTGGTGGAGAATGGGGGTTGACTCAGAGAGGGGAGCAGACAGGGTGGTCTGAGGACAACAGTTAGGTGGCAAATTCAAAGACTAGCTGAGGTAAACCTGCCCACATGGCCACTCACACAGGGCAGTGAGTCTAGTAAGGAGAAATCAAGACCAAAAACCCATGATAGAGAGAGCCATGAAGAAAATGGAAATATGGACCAGGAACCCAGGAAGAAAAGATCATATTTCTAGAATGATGATGTCTATTTAACACGTCAGGCTCTCACCTTTTAGGCCTCGGCTTCAAGTTCACATGGCAATGAAGCATGCCCTCAGCCCTGGCCCACTCACCCTCATCTAAGTTAGCTCCCCTATCTAAATCTCTCATATTTCCCTTAATAGGACTGTAATGACAACTTACACATGGGATTTATTTGTCTTGCCCACTAGGCTTTAAGCTCCAGGAGACAAGAACTATATCTCTTTTGCTCATCACTCTATCCCAAGCACCAAGCCCAATGCCAAGTACAGAATAGGTGCTCCCTAAGTACTTGGTGAATGAAGAGGTGTGGCTAAATCATTGCAGATGCAGACTGCATGCAGTGGAGATGGCAGAAGGCCACAGGATGAGTTCAGCAGAGAGAACCCAGACACAGAGGAGAGGTGATTATGTGAAGAAGCTATCCCTGGCTGACAGCAGCAAAATGTTATCCAAATAATGGTGAAAACTGGCCAGGTGGCCTTCTGTCCGTCTTCTGCCATATCTCCCACATGTCCAGATGGGCCAGGCCAGCCCAGTCTGCTGAGGACTGGCCAAGCGGCCTTCTGTCTGTTTTCTGCCATATCTCCTGCATGTCCAGATGGCCAGGCCAGCACAGTCTGCTGGTGACTGTAGAGAAACTGCATTCCAGCTGCTCTGCTTGCCCTGTCTTCTGGCTCCTGATGGCTCATAGCCCAGTGGTTAGAGCTTTGTTTGCAGATCATTTGAAACCGTTGGGTAGTTAAGGCGAAAAAGTCCCTTAAAAGTCTTTAAGACTCTAAAAATTGCTCTGATGCATTAGATTTTAGGGGGGAAAATCTAACAGCAAATTAACAACTAAAATGAGAGGTAGACCTTGAGAATGCAATATGAACACTGCAAGTCAAGTTTTCATAAGTTGTAAGTCACCTGATGTACATCATGAAAGGATGTGGCATAAAGTACGGCATTTTAAAAGAAAACAAAAAGAGAAAAATAAATAAACCATGGAAGCACAAAGCTTCCATTCTAGAGCCCCAAGCCAGATGACTGACTGAGGTTACTCACAAAGCAGGGAGACCCTCCCCAAAGTCTCTGACAGATAGGCACAGAGTGGCACTTTGAGAGCAGCTGTACAGCCGGGTGCGGTGGCTCACATCTGTAATCCCAGCACCCTGGGAGGCCGAGGCAGGCTGATCACGAGGTCAGGAGATCGAGGCCATCCTGGCTAACACGGTGAAACCCTGTCTCTACTAAAAATACAAAAAAAATTAGCCGGGCATGGTGGCAGGTGCCTGTAGTCCCAGCTACTCAGGAGGCTGAGGCAGGAGAATGGCGTGAAACCAGGAGGCGGAGCTTGCAGTGAGCCGAGATCTTGCCACTGCATTCCAGCCTGGGCGACAGAGCGAGACTCCGTCTCAAAAAAAAAAAAAAAAAAAAAAAAAAACAAAAAACAATTGTACTGCTCATTTCAGTGTTCTTAAAAACTGAACCAACTCTCTCCCTGTAACTGCAGCCCACTGGTTCAAGTTCTACCCCAGAATGTTTGAGCCCTGCTAATAAAGAAGACTGCAACTAAGCCTTCCTCTTACAGGACCCACAGCAATTTCCACTTTGTGAACAGACTGATCCTTTCATAATGTTCATCATGATACTGAAATAAATGTTTTTTTTTCAGTTTGGTCTCTTGGAGAGCCATCTAAAATTTTAACATTTTATGAAAATGTTTTAAAGTAAATGCTGGCCAGGCGCGGTGGCTCACGCCTGTAATCCCAGCACTTTGGGAGGCTGAGGTGGGTGGGTCACCTGAAGCCAGGAGTTCGGGATCAGCCTGGCCAACATGGTGAAACCCCGTCTCTATTAAAAATACAAAAATCAGCCAGGCATGGTTTTGGGCACCTGTAATTCCAGCTACTCAGGAGACAGAGGCAGGAGAATTGCTCGAAACCAGGAGATAGAGGTTGCAGTGAGCCAAGATCGCACTATTGCACTCCAGCCTGGACTACAGGGCTAGACTGTCTCAAAGAAAAAAAAAAAAAAAAGAAATGAAAGAAAAAGAAAAGAAAAGGGGGAAAAACACTTCCCCGAGGAATTTTTTTCAAAAACACCTAAATGTTTATGCTAAGAAGACCTATTATTTTTATTTGCACATTTTCTGCTGAACAGTCTTCATTAGGTCAAGATTAAGGCAACTTCACTTATTTCTACTGTTACCATATACAACATCTGCAGCAATTGTTGTGGGTCCTATAGGGAAGAGTCCAGTTTTCCAGGAAGCTTAATTCACAGTTTCTCCTCTTATGTTAAACAGAAAAGTAGGAGCAATTGTTCTGTTCATCAAAGTAGGGCCAGATCTGAAATAACTTGAGTATCCCTCTAACAGTGGTCTTTTGAATTTTTGTACAGCCAACCACTATACCTCACTTAAGTAGGAATTAATTTTAATGTTAATGAATGAAATGCTAAACACAAATTCTACCTTTGAGCCCAAATTATAAAGCCTTTCAAATTCTACCTTTGAGCCCAAATTATAAAGCCTTCACCATAATTTTTTTTTTTTTTTTTTTTTTTTTGAGACAGAGTCTCGCTCTGTCACCCAGGCTGGAGTACAATGGTGCGATCTTGGCTCACTGCAACCTCCACCTCCCAGGTTCAAGAGATTCTCCTGTCTCAGCCTCCCTAGTAGCTGGGATTACGGGCGCATGCCGCCACACCTGGCTAATTTTTTGTATTTTTAATAGAGACTCGGTTTCACCGTGTTCCCCAGGCTGGTCTCGAACTCCTAAGCTCAGGCAATCCACCTGCCTCGGCCTCCCAAAGTGCTAGGATTACAGGCGTGAGCCACTGCACCAGACAGCCTTCACCATAATTTGATAAGATTGAAACACTGTCATTATCAAGTCTAAATACTTAACAATATCTTATAATGTCTCATTGATACTGAAAGTTCTAATTGCAATCTAAGGCTTCTGCTATATATGTATGAGAGAAACAAGCATTGCAATGTGTGATTTAATCATGAATCAACCAATAACCTCAGAAAAGACTCAGCCCTAATATCAGAAATGAGGATCTCTGATAAATGATTTCTGAAAGAACTAACCAGGCCAGTTGTTCAACTTAAAATAAAACAAAATAATTTTCCACTTAGTCCATGTAGCTTCTGGTCTAACAGAACTTGCTATGGTGAGAGGGAACCTAGACCCCTGGTCCTCAGCAGGACAGTACTAATCATGTCTCTTCTCTTTTGTTCCTTGCAAATAGGGAAGGACAGGAAAGGCCTGAAAGCAGATAGCAAACAGAAACTGAAATGGAGATGTTGCACCTTTTTTTCACTTCTAATCACTGAGAAATCTTTATTTAAGGAATCCGAGAGAGGGCGAGTTCTCAAGAGAGGAAGGCTCTGCCAGAGGGAAAAGCTGAAGAGCCTTTGGTGCCCAGGAAGCCTGAAATTAGCACTAAAATGGTCAGAGTAAGAAATGATTTATTTTTGCAAAGAACCTAATTTCCTAATTAGTGTTTGTTTGCTTACATATTGTCTTAAATACAATCTACTTTTATATTTGTTTAAAGTTTGCCAGTGTTTTGCTATTTTAATTAAGAGATCTGATTTTCATGAACTGGGAATGGGAAAGTACTGGGCAAACTAGGTGAAGGCCTGCAAAGCCAGTACTTTTCACTCTCAGGCTAGGGCCCTTCCTAGAAGACTGGTGGGGCAGGTCACTTCAACTGCAGGGACAGCTTTTTGGTAAGCAAATAAACCCCAATGAGGAGGAAACTGCAAAATCAGAAGTTAGGAGGAAATATGCATGAAACAGCAGTTTTTATTCTTTCATCTAGATTCTTTCATCTAGATAAAAAGCTCCCAAAGGGAGGGTCCAGGTCATATTTACTTTTCTTAAAAGAGAGGGAAAGAGAGTCAAGGAGGGAAGAGAGAAGGCAGAGGAAGAATGAAGGTCTGATGGAACCTTTTCTTCAGGGGCTGTTCTAGCACTCACATCATGAGCTACCCTGGTACTCAATAATCAATTACTTCAGGAATACCTATAATGGCAGTCACTCCAGACTGACTCACATAAAGGGTTCTCTTGGTGAAGAAATGATTTTTAAGATAATAATTTTTTTCTGATTATTAAAGTTATATATATTATTTAGTATTATATTCATATATAATATGCATATTATAATGTTCATTATTTTTCTGATTTTTAAAAGTTCCAATGCTCATTTTTAGTTAACCTATGGTGGTTAAGTAATTTAGGGTCTTTCTATAAATTCTAAATGGGAAAAAACTATAAAGATGAATATAAAAATTATATTTAATCTTATCACCCAGAGATACCTAGCAGTAACATTTTGATGTATTTCCTTGTGGGCTTCTTCCCTATCTAGGTATACTATGGTCCCCTTCCCTATAGGATGACCCAATGCCAGCCAGTAGCCCTTGAAATTTAGATGCAAACATTATAAATGTTTACTGTTTACAGAAAAAAAAAAGTATTTTTTAAAAAAATACTTTATCATTATTTTCCCATTAACAAAAATTATTCCAGAAAGACATTTTACAGTCAAACTGTCATTCTCCCCTACTAGTGAACATAGATAAAATAATATTTCTATTTTTCATTCTTATAAGTAACACTGCAGTAAACAACCTTGTATATACATTTTTTTTAAACAGATCTTTTTTTTTTAGGATAGCTTTACAAGTCAGAGGATCTCTAGTTTCCTCATCTATATAGTTTCCTCATTCATGAAATGGAGGATTAAAATAATAACTGCTTCCTGGAGTCATTAGGGAGATTAAATGAGATGATGTTTATAAATTGCTTTATTTAGTGCTTGGCACATAGTGGGTACATAGTAAAATTTAATTTTATTATTGCTTAAACCTTTTAACGTCTTAACACATATTACCAACTACATTTGCCAAACAACTTTGAAACTCTCCTTAGCTCATTTCACTGCATCCCCACTGAATCCAACTGTTTAAAAATTGTTTCATTTAGTCAGCCATCATAAGAAAATTATTAATGGATAAAAGATTCAAAATGGCAGAATCAAGTGTGAATCAAGACCATTTGGAAAGTTAACATAGAACCAAGACTTTCATTATAGCACTGACTTATCTCAACAGTCTCATGAATACAAAAATATGACCACTGAGGTAAGGCTGAATTGACCCTGATTGAATGGAGATCCGGCTACCTTCTTTGGTTCTGACTCTCCTAGTCACATATTTCTCATACCACTTCTCACAGCTTCCAAATGGGTGGGCTGAATGAGGTTTGTGGTTAACAGGGCCACAACTTTTTAAAAAACCATTCTCTGGGCAGCTTTTTCTACCTTCCATATCCTGTGTCCCAAACAACACAGTTTTTGTTTTTGTTTTTGAATTCCCTTTAGTGCCAGCTCTCTCAGCTACATCTAACATTTAATGAACACATACTATCGAAGTGTTTTACTTATTTAATTGTTATATCATCTCTATGAGATAGACACCTTTTTATACCTATAGACAGCTTAAGAACTGTCCAGGGTCATATGGTTCACAGTGGTGGTGCCAGCATTCACAATCAGGCAGTCTGGCTCTCAGCCACTCAGATGCCTATCAATCTAACAATCCAACTCTTAATGTAGGTACTTCATGTAAAAGTTCACATTTATTATGGAGAATAATTCTTACTGGAACAAAAAGTAAGGCATCTACTGTTAGAGTGGCATTAGTACAGGCATATTCTTGGTGACTGATGTTCTCAGATAATTATGCTGACAGCCATTGGTTCAGGAAAGGTATCAACAAAGACATAACAGAGTTTAGAGGTATAAAGAAAGTATGTCACACATGCTATTTAGAAATGACCCAAACCTTTCTCAAAGGCTTATGTTTTCCATGGTCTCCAATTAACAGACTGTCCCTGCCACTTGTCCATTCCTCAAGAACAAAGTCAAGAACAAAGCAAGTTTGTGGGGGCGGTGATGAGGGCAAATCGGTCTTTGCCCTGAGGAAGTCATCACAGTCTCATTTCTAAGGATTACCTGATCCAAGTCATTCCGTAGAGCAATTTTGCTTGTTACTAGTTCATGGGCAAGGTCATCATTCTCTTGTTCCAACCTCATGCTGGCCTCCTGTAATCTTCGGTTCTCCCTCTGCAGAAGAACAATAGCCAGAGGTGGGCATTAGTGTCTGGACATACAGAAACGAACAGAACTGGTGAGGAAAAACAAGCAACAAAGTGAACTTTCAAAGGTGTAAAAAGGAGAAGGCGCAAGTGGCACAGGAAGGCAGGATTGCTGTCTGGGAAACAACAGTGAGTTTAGCTAGCAATGCAGATGCGGTTCTCTACCCGGTGAAACTGGTCCCTTAAACTCTCAAGATGGAACTTCATTATAAAAAATGTGCCACAAAGAACAAACTTTCTGAGCATATCCCCCCCAATCCTGTGAGGTTTTTACATAGATCTAGAACACAGACACAAACAATTCTTTATTTGAAACATGCACGGTAGTCTCACCCTTGACCTCAAGAGAAACCACAAGACACAGTAGGAATGAAACAGGGGAAAACCACCAGACATTTCTTCAAATTGTTTTTCTAAGACAGGGTTCATATTGAGTATATTTAAGAGCTCTAAATCAAGAATCATGACACATGGGTTCATGACTTTGCTAACAGCTGACATTTTTATTCTTTGAGTAAGAATATATTTACTTTTCTGAACACCTATTTTTGTGTGAGAGCAACAGTCATAAGATATCTAGTTTTTTTGTTTTTTAAAAAATTTCAGATTAAAACATTCTGGGTAAAATAAATTACTGAGGATTTCTGCTCCCAACCTTGAAAAATCTGAAACAAAGTTACATGATAAAAAAACAAACAAAAAAACGAAACAAACAAACAAACAAAAAGAAAGAAAAAAAAAAAACCAAGTCACTAATTCTTATGAAGCAAGGCCTTTCCTTAACTAAACACTATGAACTTGGTATGTTCACAACTATTTTCAGAATAGCTATTTCATGTCTTCCATTCCAAAGTATCAAAATTGCTTTCTTTGCTACTGTTAACAGTTATAGGAGATTCAAAAGAGAGCTGACAGGAAAGACTAATGTCATGAGACCTTCCTGTTTTTCAGATTTACACGTCTAACAGTGTTTTCTGCAAAGGTGGCAAAAACTCAGACAAAGCAGTGACAAAAAACTAGAAGACAAATATATGTTTTGGAAGATAGTTTATCATAGCATACCAGGTAATGTGAAGTTAATTGTATCTTCTATATAACAACCTGGTGTTTGTTATATTGAAAGAGAAGACAATTTCTTTCTTTTTCCTGTTTTTTAAAACAAGGGCTAAGAAACACATGGTAAGGGCAAAGTCTGAGGCTTTCACAGAGGCAGAGGATCCATAAACAGGGAAGGCTGTCAGAGAAGTTAAAGGACAAAACCGCACCTTGATTATACCAGCCACCAGGGCCCATTTCTGTCTTTTTTTTTTTTTTTGGAAAAAAATAAGAATAGTTGGAGAATGTTAAAACATTATTGAAAAACATATCGACTAAAAAAGATAAAAACAATCCCAAATCACTTTAATACTTTAAATAAATTCACAATAGAATTCTACTCAGTGTTAAAATACTGGAGAAGGCTGGGTGCAGTGGCTCATGACTGTAATCTCAATACTTTGGGAGCCTGAGACCGGAGGATTGCTTGAGCCCAGGAATTCAAGACCAGCCTCAGCAACATGGCAATACCCCATCTCTACAAAAAAATTTTTAAAAATTAGCTGGGTACAGCTGGGCACAGTGGCTCATGTCTGTAATCCCAGCACTTTGGGTGGCTGAGGTGGGTGGACCACTTGAGGTCAGTTCAAGACCAGCCTGGCCAACATGGTGAAACCTCATCTCCACTAAAACAAAACACAAAAATTAGATGGGTGTGGTGATACACACCTGTAATCTCAGCTACTCGGGAGGCTGAGGCAGGAGAATTGCTTGAACCTGAAAGGCAGAGCTTGCAGTGAGCCAGAATTGCACCACTGCACTTCAGCCTAGGTGACAGAGTTAGTGAGACTCCATCTCAAAAAAAAAAAAAAAAAAAAATTAGCTGGGTGGTGTGGTGTGCACACATGATCCCAGCTACTGGGGAGGCTGAGGTTGGAGAATCACTTGAACCCAGGAAGTCAAGGCTGCAGTGAACTATGATCATGCCACTGCACTCTAGCCTGGGTGACAGAGTGAGAACCTGTGTCAAAAAAAAAAAAAAGAAAGAAAGAAAATATAATAACAGGAAATGCTTACGCTGCCTTCCTTGTAGGGGGGAAAAAAACCCCAATAAATAATTGGAGAATCTCATTGTAACAATATAAACAACCAATATTAACTGTAGGTAGTGAATTTTCTTTATTGTTGTCCTTGTTCTTTTAAAAATGTTTTCAAGTTTTCTACAATGAATATATATTTGTAATAGGATTTAAAAAATAGTTTTATTAAGAAAAAAAGGAATTCAGAATTTTAATTCCATTGGAAGGGATAAGATGCCAAAATGAGAAAAAAAAATTTAAGTCCACTTCTGTTAGAAGGTCATATTCTACACAAAACCATATTGGATCCTCCTTTTTGACCAAGATATAATGTAACCCCTCAGAAGTGGTGCCTTGTGAGGAACTCTTTCCCTAGATGTTCCTGAGAAGACTGTGAATGCTCTTGTAGAGGCAACTTGTACTCATCAGATTCTGTCTGTTCCCCTCAATCTACAGAAGTTACACCCTCCCACAGAAGCATAATAAATGTGGAGACTAAAAAACAAATTTCTAAAAAGCCAGAGCTTCTACAATGAAATCTTTGAATCTTTGCCTAAGCAACACAATTTCTAGCAGGGGCTGGAGAGTTAGCCTTTATTTCTGATATATCTATTACTCCTTTTCATGGAAAAAAAACATATAGGAAACTTAGATTAAAAAAAAAGATTTGAGAAGCTTTTTCAATAAATTTCCTCCCAGCCAGGAAAGAGTAACAATACCAGCACAATTTCAACATGACATATTTCACAATGCAGGCTGCTTAGCCAGGGAAGAGATTTTTCTCATTTCTTGATAAATATCTTCAAGAAACTAAGATAAGACTACTTCAATAGGTATTCCTGAGTTAAGTATCCTATTGCTATTGAAATTGTACTTGTATAACCCCAAAGTACAAAAAGCTCCCTCGACTATTATGTACATTACATTCATTTGGCACAAGTGAAAATGTTGCCACTACCAGTTTTTCAGGTTACAATTACATGCTTAGAATTGAGTTAAAGTAACCTCCAAGTAAAGTCATAGGATGTTCATGGAAAAGTACTTTGTTCAAGTATTTAGAAATCATACCAGGTAGCTACTTCACTGTTGATTAGAGATAAATGTCTGATGGATTATCTGTTATATAAGAAAGAGGTGTGAGTTCAGCTGAAATTCTGACTAGTAACTTCTCATTACAATGACTGTTGCAACTGAAACCCTTCCTTACAGACACACAGCTAAAGGGGCAAGGGCAAGGGTGGGAAAAGATTTGGGAGAAACTGAGTGTCTCAGAGTCCCTGCAAAGCAAAATAGCCTAGAGGGCACGCCTACTGGCTTTTGCTTTAGCAAGAAGCTTCAATTTAGTGTCTGCAAAGCAAGCAGCACAGTGGGAAGTGTCAGACTCCTGCTCTGCACTCACAGACAAGTGGGAAAGCAAGCTACGGGGCCAAAAATGCAGTATCATCCTCCAAAGTATGAACCCAGGGTGAGTGCTACTGAGCACTACAGTGAGACCCTGCTACTGAGATGGAGATTTTCTACAAAGAACTTGCCCACACTTACCTACTGAGGGCTAAACAGAGCTTATATTAACGTGGCTGTCTTTTACAGTTCTTCTCAAGGAGCCAAAACTGTTTTCAATACTGACCAATTCTAGAAAAAGTTTGCCTGTATACTAGAATGGAGAAGAGAGTTTGGTTTTGATGGTCTTGGAAAAGGCAGTAACCCTGCTTGGTTCATTTTGAAATGTTGACAAGGGTTGCCCATGGAAGACAGACTTAAAGTCAGCCCCAATAACCTCAGTCAGCCCAGAGAAATTCACATGCTGTAAGTTTGCACAAGCAGATGTGCTAAATGCTCAAAGCCTGTAAACAAAACAGGCAAACTGGCTCCCTCTTGCCTTTCAGAAAAGATTACAGGAGACACTGCTTACATAACTCTTAAAACTCACATCACACTGTCTGAAACATATACTCCCCATCTCACACAACTGACACCGTTTGAACAAAAAGCAGATAACAACTGTCCTCATAGTTTCACCCCTTATGGATAGGAGATGTACAGCTGGGAAAGTTTGGTTAGTAACTTTTGGGAGGAGGATACTGCATTTTTCAAAGAGACAGACACTGATGTTACAGACATACATAGATTAAAAAAAAAACTTACCTCCTCAAAAGTCATAGACCAACTACTGTTTTCAATCATAGGTACAAAGACAATTAAAAAAAAAGAATATCCAATGAAATTGAACACCTACTAAAATATTTATGAAATGGCAATAACAAAAACAGACACTTCTTAATGCTCTTTTGCTTTTCCTTTGAGTGTCATATAACTCTAAGTTCTCTCTGTGACCGCAAACATTCAATGGAACAAAGATACTTGAGGTAGCCAGTGGGCAAGTCTCAACTCAGGAAGACTCATATCTTCAAACTCCTCCCTCTCCACATTGCTGTTTACAGTTTGCATGAATGACTAAAATGCTGTATGTGGGACTATTAAGGAACTACGGTGTGAGGTGTTGATACTGTGTTGTTAAAGCTGGGTGGAAGGAACTTCCTTATATGACAAGGTCAGAAATCTTGCAAAATAGTTCATCTTCAGACAAAAGAATGAAATTGCTGGGCAGGGCAATGCAAAAGAAAAATGGATCCTGGATCTCATGTGTACCTGGGGGCTGAAGTCTGGGTGAAGCGGTTCAAGGGATTGTGAACGTCATTTATTTCAAGATGAGAAACCAGAGAAATGTGAACTGTTAATTAAAAGTAAAGAAACTAAGCTTTAAAGGAAAAAATGACGAGGAGGGAGGCGGCTTTATAAACCCTAGCTCAATATTTTGGGTGTTGTCTGCTGCTATGATGAATTCTTGGCACATGCTTTTAAAGACTTTTAAGGGTCAGGAGAAAATGTTTTCCTAAAAGACTCAGTGCAAATTTATTAGCAACAACACACTCAACTCTCACATATTTTCTTTTGGATACCTCTTTTAAAAGAGTTGACAGCTATCATATTCAAGTTTTCAAATGCCTACAGATAAAATGTTTAAATATCTATGTTGTCCATAATGAAGATCTGAGAAAGAAAATATGGATATTTGAAGGTTTTGTGCTTCCCTCCTTTACTCATCACATCCAATTTTATCTTTGTAGTGGAAAATTTCAAATTTTTAAATGTCAAACTAAAAACAAAATCTTGTCAGTGATAAATGACAGCTGGCCAAACAGACTGCATTTCTTTCAGCGCTTAAAAAACTATCTTAGGTTATACTCTTGCACAGGGGTCAGCAAACTTCTAGTGTAAATTGCCAGAAAGTAACTATATTAGGCTTTGCAGGTCGCATGGTCTATGTTGAAATTTCTCAACTCTACAAATGTCATACAAAACCAGCCATACACTATAAATAAATAAACAGGTGTGGTTGTGTTCCAATAAAACTTGGTTTACAAAAACTGGCAGTGAGCCAGATTTGGCCTATAAACCACAGTCTGCAGATCCTTGCTCTACTCTAGTACACAAATCAAATTTTCAAAAAGCAGATGCATTCTAGATGATATAGAAACATATTAGTGTCAGGTAATTTTCTCAGTAATACTTAAACAGAAAAGAAAACTTTCTAAAAATTAATGAAAGTTTCTTGAAAACTCTGAAGATCACCAGTAAACATACTAGAAATTCTTAGTGTTCCTAAAGCATATTCTTCCCCCAAGGGTTAAGTATAAGGGACTCTAGCAGACCAGCATTGTTAGAAATCGCCCACTCCTTATTAGCTATATTGCTTGAGAAGCCAAAAGGATTTAGTTTTGCATCTTCACCATCCTATAACAATGAACTCTCTGGATTATCCAAGCTCAAAGAGAAAGTGGAAGACTTCTGAAGTTTATCATTAAGTTATCATAGGCATATATAAACCATCCTTGTGTCTATTACTATTCCTTAAAAGCACATTATTTCATAACATACTATTTCCAAAAGCCAACACAGTTTTTGGGATATGAAAAAATAATAAAATGTAAGTTTATTTGCTATGGCAGAAAAAAAATTTTTTTTTTTTTTGAGACGGAGTCTTGCTCTGTCACCCAGGCAGGAGTCCAGTGGCACGATCTCTGCCCACTGCAACCTCTGCCTCCCAGGTTCAAGAGGTTCTCCTGCCTCAGCCTACTGAGTAGCTGGGACTACAGGTTATGTGCCACCACACCCAGCTAATTTTTGTATTTTTAGTAGAGACAGGGTTTTACCATGTTGGCCAGGTTGGTCTTGAACTCCTGACCTCAAGTGATCCACCTGCCTTGGCCTCCCAAAGTGCTGGGATTACAGGTGTGAGCCACCACACCCAGCCAGAAAAACATTTTTCAAAGATGGATTCACTTATCTTGACTCCCCTGAGTAAGAAAGGGTCCAACAGTTTTTTTAAAAAGTCTACTCCCTCTTTTTTATAGGTAAGAAATGTATACTAATTTAAACTTTTATTTGTCAAGTTTAAAAGAAATGTGAAAATTACTCTAAACTATTGCATTAGATATTTAAGGATGGCAAAAAAGTACAATTAAGCTTTATTTCAAATATTTCATTTGTATTATTTTTACTATGCATAATAGCTTAATTTGAAATTACATGTAGGAGCAATTGCTCTACAAAAACCAGTATGTGCAAGAAAAAACTCTGTGGAAACATAGAGGAATCATTTTCTTTGTTTAAATTACATTTTGATTTTAAAAATTACTTTGTTTAATCTCAAGAATGAGGTTAAACATTCTAAATTTAATTGTACTGAACATGGATAAGACACTTCAATTAGAAATTATGTATTTATAATAATGTCTGTGTCCCAAACCCAAGAGAGTTTAAGCATTCCAGATTCTTTTAGTATTTTCCCATCTAGAACAGGTAACCTTTATTATGCTTTGGGAGATTCACTGAATTTAATTAACTAGCTGTGTGTGTGTGTGGGGGGGGGGTGTATTTTTATTTTTATTTTTTGAGACGGAGTCTCACTCTGTCGCCCAGGCTGGAGCGCAGTGGCGTGATCCTGGCTCACTGTAAACTCCGCCTCTTGGGTTCACACCATTCTCCTGCCTCAGCCTCCCAAGTAGCTGGGACTACAGGTGCCCACCACCACGCCTGGCTAATTTTTTTTTATATTTTTATTTATTTATTTTTTAGTAGAGATGGGGTTTCACCATGTTAGCCAGGATGGTCTCGATTCTCCTGACCTTGTGATCTGCCCACCTCTGCCTCCCAAAGTGCTGGGATTACAGGCGTGAGCTGCTGCACCTGGTCGTTTCTTTTTTTTTTTTTTTTTTTTTTTTGAGACAGAGTCTGGCTCTATTGCCCACGCTGGAGTGCAGTGGCATGATCTTGGCTCACTGCAACCTCCCCCTCCCAGGCTCAAGCGATTCTCATGCCTCAGCCTCTCGAGTAGCTGGGACTACAGGTGCTTGCCAGCACACCCAGCTAATTTTTATATTTTTTAGTAGAAGCAGCATTTCACCATGTTGGCCAGGCTGGTCTGGAACTCCTGACCTCAAGTGATCCACCCACCTCGGCCTCCCAAAGTGCTGGGATTACAGGCAAGAGCCACCATGCCCGGCCAATTAGCTGTGTTTTTAAGCCTTAACTCACATTTGTGCAAATAGTTATTTAATTAAACCAGAAAAGCATATCGTTCTCCAAAGGTAGATGAAGGCTACAGATCTCCAAAAAGTACCAGCAACTGATACCATCACTAGAAAACTTTCCTCACAACAGAAACAATTCATCTCTTTAAGATAGAAAGTATTTTAATTTCTGAAATTGGTAACTTTGCTTATTAAGGGCTTAGTTACTAGTTTCTAAAATATACTAAAACAGCTACACATATTGATAAATGTGTGTCTTCTGGGAACCTGTATAAAAATGAAAACATGCTTATTCTACAGTCAAATCTTTATCCTAATTTCACTTCATTAGAAATCAATCACTAAATTTACAAACCAAAATGTTAGAGTAGACAAAGAATTTTACACAAACCTGGTCAGGTGCAAGTTAAGAAAGAGGATAAAAGAGATTTGAAATAAACATTCTACATTGTTCTTTCAAAAAAGTTTCCTTTCTGTCTCTTGGAATCTAGTCATGAAGAAAAACAGAAAGAGTAAAGGCTATAAAGCAGTCATTATGGTGTTCACTGAGTTTAAAATATAAACTGATGCCAAGACCAGGTAGCACAGGCAGTGCATATATGTGTGTGTATTACCTACTTATATATGTTTATATGTGTGTATACATATAATGTACAACATATGTTCTACCTGGAAATTAATGGGCATCACTAAAAATTAATGTACCACCCACTGTGTTGGCTTTTATTCTGCAAATATGGACACATATAAGATCAATAGTCACTAATTAGCTCTAATTTCAACAGGAAGCTCTCCCTCCTGCTTCTAAACAGGTACCTCTGGTGTGATTTAGGGTTCATGAAAGGAAAAGGGTAGGCTAAATGACAATCCTCCTGGAATATTCTGCTTTTTTTTTTCTTTGGAGATGTAATTCACATACCATAAAATTCATGTTTTTAAAATGTGCAATGTAATGATTTTAGTATATTCACAAAGTTGTGCAATCATCACTACTTCCTAATTCCAGAAGATTTTCAAGATATGTCGAGTTTTAAAATTTAAATTTATACTAACATTATTTCATCTCTTTGTGGTTGAGATTTAAGTGTTGAATAAAGGTGACTACAGCGATATAACCTAACCATGAAGATATCTGCATATGTCATAAAAATAGACATAAAACACATGTTTACATAGATGTAGCAAGAAGTATGACTGTTGAGAGCTACCTCACATTGCTGGATCTGTATTCCCACCTCTAGGTTCCCTGTGATAGCCCTTTTACATATGCCACCATGTCCAAAAGAAATAGCACTGAACTGAAATACCTCTTAAAATATCTTATTATATAACATATGTGGGCTTTAAAAAATAAATTTCCCACAACCTTCTAACTCTCTTGTCATATGGCAAGCTAGGGTGTGGAAATGACTTTTTAAGCAATATAGATTCTAATGTTGAGGAGGGGTTGTTACTGAACTGGTGCAAGTTCTCACTCAATGCCCTCAAAGATCTTCCCAAGTCAGTCTTTTAAGAGTTTACATTAACTGGGTTCCCAGTCCAAGATCTATGAATTACAAAGTGCTCATTCCCAGGACAGAGATCTTATTCTTCATAGGATTAAATTTAGAAGATGTAAAAGGTATTTTCTAACTTTGCTACTTTAATTAAGATAATTATAATATGGCTTCTTAAACTGCATATTGATCATCTTACAAACCAAATATGTTGATGGTTAGAAACTTATGTTGTTGACTGCCACCTTGAAGATGTAATTATAATCTAAGAACTATAAATTCACCAAGTGTATTACCAGGACAAATGCCTAGACATTATTAAGAGTATAGAGACATTAGATGAATGTACTGACAAGTTATCACAATAATCTAAAAGAAATAGCAATAGAGGGTATCCGATATGTGTAAATAAGAATCAACAATACTTGAACTTAAAAAGTAATGCCTGCTTTCAAAACAAGAAGTTTAATCCTACTTTGATCTCTCAATAAAAACTATACATATTGATAATCTTACATGTTATAAGTACTTTAAAAATAATGTACATCTTACTATTAATGTATACATACCTGCTTTGGCACAAAAAAGGATTTAAGACACAATAACAAGTTCAATTCCAGCCTGATTTTAAATGTACAAGTTTGGTCTTCCATTTCTCTCTTATTTTAAAGCACTCTTCACAGAATTTATTCATAATAATTGTAGTAATAAGAAAATCTGAATGATATTAGCAAAAGGAGACCTTCATTTTGGATGCTTAATAATAGTTTATAATTACTACCTTCAAGCCTTTCTAAAGCAGCATGCTATGTGATTTACATTAAAAGCTGGTTTTATTGAGGGGATGTTGGTGGTGAAAATTAGCTTCAAACATTATCTGTTAATAGTTATCTGCTATAGAAGTATGTGGGATTTTATAATCAGATCTTGAACCACTTCTATAAGCAAGGGGAGATTATTGGTTGGCAATACTTGAGAGAAATAAGAACAATCAATAAGGGACTAGAGGGGAAGACCCACATAAGGTGGCATTATTCTAGTAATAATTGCATAATCTGTAGTAGTAGGCTTCATAAAATAACAGCCATTTATTGAACACAACTATGAGCTGAGTCCTTAACATACAGCATCCCTCATCCTTGTAACAATCCATCAAGGAATCAGAAACACTATATCTTTTATAGATGAGGAAGAGGTTCAATAACTAGTCGAAGATGCTGAATGGTGGCATGGGGATTAAAACCCTCAATTTGGAGTCCAAATCCTGTGCTCTAAAAAATGAGCAAGATTTGAGTTCAGGTCTGTCTGACTACAAAACCTACATACTCCCACCATGTTCCTCTGCACACATCCCATGCTATTCAATTCAGCAACAGAGATAAGATGTTCTGTGTGACTATGCTGCCTATGTCCAGCTCTGACCACATAAAGATAACTCTAGTTACAAAAGTGGAAGTCATCCCAATGTGGGTGATTTAATTAATAATGCCACACAGTCCATTTCTTGGCAGGAGATTTTGGCACTGCTGCTCAGTGCTGAAAATACAGTATTCTTTTATCTTAGTGTATTGATATGGAGGGAGAAGGAGCTGTTACGTATCTGTGTGAGTCTGAAAAGTTAAAGCATGTTGAAGAGAGATAATATTTTACTTGGAAAAAAATAAGTTGGAAATAAGTGTTTCCCAACTTTGCATCCTGGGAACAGTGTTGCTAATTACCATTGAAGAGATTCACAATTAACGAACGTATTAAAATGAAATTATTTTGATTCTGAAACTTCATACTTTAACTCAAATATCACTGTTGTTCATAAATTCATTTGTGGAAATAAATGTTGCAACAAACACCACTACTGTGCTCAATATACCTTTGTGATTTTTATTTTTCCTTCCAAGTGAGTTGGTATTTTTAACATTTTCTACAGACAGAGGCAAGTTTGAAACATCCTTGTGTCAGTCTTGGAACAGTTCACCTGCTAAAAGTCTTTGTGGATATGACATGCACAGCTAAAACAGTACTTTGCCATTTTTCCTTTTTGTTTCATTTTTGAAAGTAGAAAGCCACTTTCTTTTTCCCCTCTCTTTCTCTCAGCTTCTTATGAAGATTCCCAGTATAAATGCAACAGCTGGAGTTACCTACAAATATACAAACTGAAAGAAAAGAAATATTATGGTTGGCTATTTGGGAGTCTCCTGAAATGAAAACATACCTGGACAGTTAGCATGATCAGAGAGCATCTAAATCAATCAAGGAAGAACAGAGGGAATTGAACTTGCCACAACTGCTGCTTTAAGAAAAAAAAAAAAAAAAAAAAAAAGGTACTTTGCTGGGAATGGTGGCTCGTGCCTGTAATCCCAGCTACTTGGGAGACTGGAGTGGGAGGATTGCTTGAGGCCAGGTGTTCAAGACCAGCCTGGGCAACACGGCAAGACTCAGTCTCATTTAAAACAAAAAAGAAGGTACTTTGATAGGTGCAACATATTTCTCATACCTTGTATCTATCCATTGGGTCTTCCTGTTGCAGCTGACTCTCTCGCATTGTCTGATATTCTTTCTCATATTTCTTCAGCTTCTTGGTTGGTACCTGCAGGGATTTGAGGAAAACCATGTTAGACAAGGACACCATTTATGAAAAAAAATTCAGGTGTGTTTGCTAGTTAAATTTCTGGCATTCTAAGGGAACATGCTCAACTCAAAGTTAGGAGAAAAATAGAGATTCCAGAGTAGAGGTTGGCAAACTTTTCCTGTAAAGGTCCAGACAGTATATATTTTAGGCCTTGTGGGCCATATAGTCTAAGTTGCAAAGATTCAACTCTGTCATTATTATACAAAACCTGCCATGGGTGATACCTAAACAAATGAGCCTGGCTGTGTTCCAAGAAAACTTAATTTACAGAAACAGGCTACAGTTTGTCCACCTCTGTTATAAATAATATTGCTGATGTCACAACCTTCTCTTGTTAATGTATTTAATAGTGCTATTAATTTTAACTTTCTTAAATATAATTCACTCATATCCTTCTATTATGTTGAAAATGAAAATTATTATTTTATATAAGTAAAAAATTGAGCTACAAGAAATATTCTAAAATGGCCTGGGCGTGGTGGCTCATGCCTGTAATCCCAGCACTTTGGGAGGCTGAGGTGGGCGGATCACTTGAGGTCAGGAGTTCGAGACCAGCCTGGCCAACATGGTGAAACCCGGTCTCTACTAAAATTACAAAAATTAGCGGGGCATGGTGGTGGGCATCTGTAATCCCAGCTACTCTGGAGGCTGAGGCATGAGCCTGGCTTGAACCTGGGAAGCTGAGGTTGCGGTGAACCAAGATTGTACCACTGCACTCCAGCCTGGGTGATAGAGCGAGACTCAGTCTCAAAAAAAAAAAAAAAGAAGAGAAGAGAAAAATATTCTAAAATGGAGTTAGTACACTGAAAACAAAGGAGGTTTTAGTGTTTGACAATGAAAACTCAAATATAGAATCATTATGCTGTATGAGATAATAGAAAGTCATCTAAACAACCCATTTATTTCTTGCTAAAATTATGTCATCCACAAAAGACAGTAGTTTACTATTTTCTGAAAAAAGACTAGATTCCTATGGACTCTTAGAATTTTAAAAATAAACAAATAAGCACAGCGTAGTATAAAAGCCCTCAGTAAACAGATATTTAACCTCTCTTAGGGGACAGTGGTGCACATCTATAGTCCCAGCTACTTGGAGGTTGAGACAGAAGAATTGCTTGAGCGCACAAGTTCCAGGCTGCAGTGCACTATGACGGCCACTTACTCCAGCCTGGGCAACAGAATGAGACCCTGTCTTTTAAAACAAACAAACAAAAAAACTCTCTTAGCCTCAGTTTCTTCATCTATAAAATAGCAGGTAAACAAAATTTCTACCTCATAATGGTGTCAGGAGAATTAAATGAGTTAACAGAGAGGTATCTAAAACAATGCCTGGTTTATGGACATTTTTAAAATTTTTTTTAAAATAAGTATTCAATCAAAATTAACGTATTAGAACTTATTCTGTTCCATAATACATATTAAATCTACTTTTAGCCTTTCTTTGGACAATCAAAGTTATAGAATTCCCTTACTTATATTATTTTATTTTAACTTTTGTAGAGATGGGGTCTGGCTATGTTGCCTAGGCTGGTCTCAAACTCCTGGGCTGAAGCGATCCTCCTTCCTCAGCCTCCCAAAGCATTGGGATTACAGGCCTGAGCCACTGTGCCTAGCCTATGATTCCTTTACACAGCAACACCTTTCCTTAATGTTTTTGTTTGGTTTAAGATTACAAACGTGCTATGTTGCAAACTTCTTGCGTACTCTGAGAAGGCAAGGATGATGTGTTGCCCTCAGTATCTGCCATAATACCTAGCAGTATTTGGCTCATACTAGGCCCTCAACAGATTGTTCCTTGTTGAGTTTAAAATATGGTATTTAGAAAACATATACATATGAGTGAGAGAGCAAAAGAGAATGGAAAGCATCTAGCATGAATATAAAATTATCTCACAATTTCCTTATTTTCATTAAAATGAGGACAGTACTAATTCTCTGGCATCTGGCCAGATAATTTGTTACATAAAAAACAAAGACTCCAGGTGTCATTCCCCATCTTATTCTAATTACTTTGTTCTTCTTATCCAGGAACACTATGAAGTACTAGAATTATCTGCTTCTCACCACAATTGGGAAGTTTCACAAACTCAGTCCAAACCTGATAGATGATAGAAACCAGTCAACAACCACATTATGAGAATATTCATCTGGCTGATGGGGGAATGTCTCCCCAGCCAAACAAGGAGTGAGGACATTTTCCAGGGTGTAACTGAATTGCAAAGCCACTGCTGAATATTGTTATGAGAAACACGAATCCTTTATTACTCCATCTCCAGAGACCTCTAACAAGTATACTGTGACCAACTAGAGTGCAATAGAAAGGAAAGCACCACCTGCCAACTGTGTAGCCTCACAGATCATTAGATAAACAAGGGAAATATACACAATCATGTGTTAACAAAACGACAACATTATTTTTCTTGGCTTTGATAGCAGTCTCAATTTCTTTTATTTTCTCTATATACATTAATCATACACTGAGAAAACCAAAAATAGACTCTGAAGATGAAGTTGCAAATCACTAGCACTAAAATAGCCCTGGAGCTATAGAAAAAGGGGAAGCTTCAGGGTTTTAAGCAGTAACAAGGTGTCTCCAATGTTTCCCTAGGAGCAGAAACAAGGGCCAAGGGGAGCAGCTAAAGGTATTGTGAGGAGAGAGCCTACTCCAGGAGCCATTTTCCCACCAGATCGGAAGTATTTCAGTATTTTTACAGCAGGAATACCATACCACTGGACACCAGGCTGAGAATTAGTTCCATGTGGAAGTATTTTCTACATGGTTCTAAAATGGATCCACTCACCAGTGACTGAATTACATACTGGAAGCTTGTGCCTAGAGAATTCTGAAACCATATTTTTAAACTTCAAACTATTATCAATTTTTTTTTACATGTAAGAGAAAAAAATGTCCTTTTAAAGGGATATTTTTACATGTCCTTTTAAAAGTCACTTTTGCTACTTATATTAAGAGGTTCATTTCAAAGTGAAACATTTTTTTAAAAAAGGCAATAACACTCTCAATAAGCTAATCCTTTCCCATCTGGCTGAGATTCTAGGATATTTGGCTTCATCTTGTTCAGGGAAACAGAGCAGGTTCCCAGAACAATATGTTGCTAGGAAACCTTCCAAGCTTATTTATCTTGTGCTGTGGGGTGATACTGAGCATCCACCTGTGTGATTGGCACAATGTGAAAGAGGGGAAAAGAGTGGAGGAGGAAGAGACAGGAGAGCTGATATGAAACTCTTGTTATTTATGAGGTAATCAAAGAAAATAGATTTTCAGTTTTTAAACCATCTTTCAGGACAAACTTGATTTTATTTTAGAGAATACTGAATGGGATTCAGACGCTTGAAATTTTTCTTTCTGGAGAAAGAAATTTAAAAACCTCTTAGGTAATTAACATTTATTGTTCCCCTTTCAGGGGGACCGTCCCCACGGATGATCAAAGGTCAGTTCCTGGTCAACATAAGTAAACAAGTTTGTTTAAGATAAATTCCCCTACACTGCCTTGTACCTACTCCTTGCCCAATGCCTCAGGGTTACAGAACAGCTGCCTTCAGCTATTCTCCCCTGGGGCTCTGCAGAACCTTCTGACCTTTCAGAAGGTTTGCGTCCTTTCCCTATAGTTTTTCCCCACCGCTCTGACCGATCTCCCACAGTGTCTGCTGATACTTTCTATTACGTTTCATCGTATTCCACAGTGATTTCACAGACCCTCTAAAATGATTTCATAACCAGCAGTTTGAAGGACACTGCACAAAATGAAATGGGCTTTTTCATCTATTCCCCTGATGATAATACTCAGAGCGTTATAATTCTAAATCACTGGAGAAGCTTTATTAACTCTACTTATCATCAATACCCTCACCTGTCATTACAGATGAGAGTGGGTCCTTGTCAGCTGTTATCAGGAAATACAAAGAATACAGCTTAATGAATTTAAGGCAAAGGGGAGTGGTTAGGGGAATGGCGAGGGAGTGTTAAACAGTGACCTTCAATAACAGTAAAAGACAGAGCACAATAATTACTCATTTGCCTTACTCTTTCTCAATATTAGCCATGCTGGCCTCAGACGGAGATATGGGAGGGGAAGACTGAAAAGAATACACCCAACTTTCTTCATTCTCCATGTTTTCTCTCTTCTTCTCATTTGAGGTGTTTATTTCATATTTGTATATATGACTCTTTCAGACTGAATATATATTAATCATGTTGTATAACAATAATTATCGGAAGAATTTGCCTTAATAATGTTCATCTCACTAATCATATCAACCAGTGATATCACCCTATTTTGTATTCTTACTTTCATATCTTATTTTGAATACTTACTAATATTTGAATTTCACATGCATTAGTTCTTTTTTTTTTTTTTTTTGCATGCCACCCATGCCTAGCTAATTTTTGTATTTTATTTGAGATGGAGTTTCCCCATGTTGGCCAGGCTGCTCTTGAACTCCTAACCTCAAGTGATCTGCCCTCCTCAGCCTCCCAAAGTGAGTTATTTCTAATAAAACTTATTTTGGCCAGGTGTGGTGGCTCATGCCTATAATCCCAGCCCTGTGGGAAGTCAAGGTGGGTGGATCACTTGAGTTCAGGAGTTCAAGACCAGCCTGGACAAAATGGTGAAAACCTGTGTTTACAAAACATACAAAAATTAGCTGAGCATCGTGGCACATGCCTGTAGACCCAGCTACTTGGGAGGCTGAGGTGGGAGGATCACCTGAGCCTGGGAGGCTGGGTTGCAATGAGGTAAAATCATGCCACTGCACTCCAGCCTAGGTGACAGAGTGAGACCCTGTCTCAAAATAAAACAAACAAATAAAAACATATTTATTTGCTTACATATAAGATTTGGTTAAGTTTCCTGATTATCAAACTCAATCATCATTTTTTTTTTTAAGAGACAGGGTCTTGTTCTGTTGCTCAGGCTGGAGTGCAGTGGCGCAATCACAGCACACTGCAGCCCCAAATTCCTGGACTCAGGTGATCCTCCCACCTTAGCTTCCTGAGTAGCTGGGACTATAGGGGCACACCACCATGCCTAGCTTTTTTTTTTTTTTTTTTTTTTTTTGGTAGAGCCAGGGTCTCACTATGTTGCCCAGGCTGGTCTCAAAATCCAAGGCTCAAGCAATCTTCCCACCTCAGCCTCCCAAAGTGCTGGGATTACAGGTGTGAGCCACCAGGCCTGGCCCAAACAAGATCTTTGTACATTTAGGAGTTCAAGGGCTTTGTTTATTTAGGAGTTCAAGGGCTTTGTATATTTAGGAGTGCTTTTCAACACCGCAGATCTTAAACTTCGGATCATAATGAACAGAATAATAGAACTCTTAAATAACAAATTTGAAACTCACTGTAGTAACTTGAAAAGAACTTACACACAGAAAAGAGAAATAACAGAATACATACGTAAAGATTTTTCAAGTTGATCTATGCTCTGTAATATATATGGCATGATCTTTGGCATATTCTGACTTTATGAAATAGTATATTAATTTTGTGAAAAGTTGGTTTTGCATTTTAGTAGAGAAAAGACCCTGGGCACTACCAGTGTTTCTCAAGGTAAGATATTATTGGCATTTTGGGTGGAATAATTTTTGGTGTAGACTCCGCTCTCCATTTCTGAGCCCATGGCATCCCTGGGCCCATTTATGATTTCACCTATTAAATGTCAGTAGCGGCTGCCTGTCACTGTGACAAACAGGATGCCTACAAACCTTTCTAAACCAGGTGTGGATGTTGGGGGCTGGTAGGTTTGAGGGGTACATGCTTGAGAAGATGTGGGATTCATACTAAAAGCCTCTGAGCTAAACTATCAATAAAGACAAGAAGAGAGGCCTGGACCAGTGTGCAAGGTTTTTAGCACTGCATTGATGTATTCAGATGTCCACTTCCCTCTGCTTTGTTATTGGTTAGCAGTAATTGCCACTAAGTATGTAATTCCTTCAAGTCAAAAAATTTCCTAACAGTTTTAAGCCTATTAATTTAGAAAAATCTATATTTAATCCTGCCAGCAACTCCATGAGGGAAGTATTATTTGGATTTTACAAATAAGTTGAGGATAGGTAACTTGCCCAAGATCATACAGAAATGAAATCCAGTTGGCCTCCAGAGCCTGCCCTCTTTAACCACTTTGCTCTACTGCCTGGGACCAGATGATTAAAGTAAAGCTGCTCAAGAAGCTGACAGTCTAGACGTAGTGCCAAATATGTGTCTAGTTATCATCTAGTTTCATAAGCGCAATAACAGATATTTATAAAAGGTACAAAGATGATCAAGAAGAAATTTGTGGGACAGAGGGTTGGAGAGGGAGAAGCACCTCAGTGAGGAGGATTTTCATGATGACTGGTTTATGCAAGCTTCCTTGCCCAGTTAAAACACAGAGCATTTCTCCTGTGCTCAGTTTTAACATTGGGCCAGTCACTTGTAAGAGCTATCATTCAGGGTTTGATGAATCTGCTTCTGTAATTCAGAAATGAAAGATACAAAAATATTAATTTATGGATGCAAATACTGGTAAAGTACATCACTGTGTTTTTCTTTTTTAAAGGCTGATATGACCCAAGTTAACATTTTCAGAAGTGAAGATTCCTGGTGCTCAGTTCAGGTGCCTAGAAAATTAATAGGCCAAAGGTGCTAGCCATTATGTGCTACTCTTGCTCACTTCAGACAGTTTCTTAGGATGAATATAAATTATCTCATTTAATATATTAATCAATGGACAGAGAAAAAATAGAAATGTAATATAGTATCACTTTCCTTGGAAATTTGGGGGTTACTGAGAGTTTCCAAGTCAGAGTCACAGTTATTTTTGCAAGGACTTATCAAGATCTGGACATAAAGTGGATCAGTGGCAACCAAAATTCTAACAGTTTGCAGTAGTATAATGCACTCGAGAAGAAACAGATGAAAAGGAATCAGGAGAAGGCATCCATCAAGAGGAGGAACACGCCCTATAGGCTTCACTTAATCCTCTTCATAGTGGTCAGCAAAAGAAGTCACTTTGACTCCTTTTAAGCTTTTAGCACTAGGAGGAGAGGGAACATATTAAACAATGATATTTTGCCCCATGTGTCTTGGGTGCAGGAGGAAACCTTCAGAGAATGTTAGAGCCTGTAAATGATTATTAGTTGTATTCTAATACTTAAGGAACATAATGGTTTAAGGGGGTGGGGACAAAGGACATACTTCTCTCTTGCAACTCTAACATAATTTCCAAGGCTTCTTACAGACATCAAATTCCCAGGCATTCTCCTCCTGAATTCATACTAACATACAATCTATGGTGCTGTACTTGTTTTAATCTCATCTGACATGTCTAGCTTTCCCAATTACTCAATCCTAGTGGTGTGCACACTTGTGACATGTACCTGGACCTTTATTCATGAATACTTATATGACATGAGCCACTTTCCAATGTTTGTGGCTTACTCCAGAATGTAGCATGCTCATCAAAGTATCTTTGAGAGCTTCTGAAATACTGATTTGTACTTTATTTGCCACATTCTAGTATAAGCTGTGGTCCCAATGCTGTAGCAATTTTGGGAGACTTGCATTTTATAGAATCTGCTTACCTGTTCATTTTTAATTCCTCATCTTCAGTCCTGTAAGTCTAATCTTGTATAATATTTTTGTGGAACTCCTTGGCACTTCTGCTTTAGATATTTCCTATCAATAAATAATATCTGGAGGTAGAGGAATTTCTGTACTATGTGTTGACAACTCCTAAATTTATAGTTTTCTGCCCAGAACTTCTACTAAGCTTAGCCTGCATATCCAATTGTGAACTTCCTATCATCATTTGGATGGTTAACATTCAAGATATTTAAACCTGGACTAATACCCCACCTTCTACCCCCAATTTGTTCTTCTCCCACTGTTCATCTTCCATCCAGAAGCTCAAGCCAGAAACCCACAAGTCACCATTGTCTGCTCCCCCAACCAATGCTCAGGCAATCCATCACTAGATTCTATACTGTACGCCTCAAAAATATCTATCTTGTTTTTCTTTTAAACTTCACTGGCAATGCCCAATTCAAGGCATAATCACCTTTCATCAGAACTAGTGCCATAAATTCCAAAGTGGACTCCCCATGTTCATAGTTGCTGTACTAAATCTTTTTGCTATTGGGCAGCCAAAGTAATTTTTTCCAGGATGCAAATCTGACATCATTTTCCTTCCTAACATTTTCCAATTGCTTCCTATTGCACTTAGGATAGAGAAATACTTGGCTCTGCTGGTCCTACAGAATCTAGTCTCTATCTACCTTCCCTTCACTCTCTTTGCCTATATTTTGCAAAAGTGTGGTTTGTCCATCCCAGAAAGTACATAAAACTATCCAAATAGGTACAGAAAGCAAAAGGTGATTATTAGAATTTCATGTTCTGTTTTTAGAATATGAAAATAGTCAGGAAGGACTATTTTTATTTCATCTTTTAAAAAATATTTGTGCTTATTGTAGTACAGGTGGCTAATTTATTTAAAAATGAATATACATATATTGGTGGTATCGGCTCATATGACTTTCATTCACAAGGATCACAATCAAGAGTTTAAAGACAACCGGTCTCTGCTCCAGCCACACAGGACTTCTTCTAGTACCTTTACTACATCATGCCTCCCCTGCCTCAGGCTTCTGCTGGGATGGATCGAGCACATTCACCCTAAAATTCTGATTCAGAAGATCTGAGGTATGATCAGTCACCTTTATCTTTTTTTTAATCTTAATATTTGTGGATACATAGTAATTTAATCTATATATGGGGTACAAGAGATAGTTTGAAACTGGCATGTAATGTGTCATAATCAAATCAGGTAAAATGGGGTAGCGATCCCCTCAAGCATTGATCCTTTGTGTTACAAAGAATCCAGTTACACTCCTTTTTTTTTTTTTTTTTTTTTTTGAGGCAGGGTCTCGCTCTGTGGCTGCGGCTGAAGTGCAGTGCCGCTCACTGTAGCCTCGACCTCCTGGGCTCAAGTGATAGTCCCACCTCTTAGCCTGTAGCTGGGACTACAAGCACCCGCCACCATACCTGGCTAATTTTTTGTATTTTTTGTAAAGACAGGGTCTCGCTATGTTGACCAGGCTGGTCTTGAAACCCTGGGCTCAAGTGATCTGACCTCCTCAGCCTCCCAAAGTGCTGGGATTACAGATGTGAGCCACTGCACCCAGCCCAATTATACTCTTTTAGTTATTTTTAAATGTACAATTAATTATTATTGACTATAGTCATCCTGCTGCGCTATCATACACGAGGTCTTACTCATTCTTTCTCATTTTTTTTTTGTTCAAGTACCTTTATCTTTACAAAGCTACTCAGGCAGTTTTGATATACTGTCCATCTGAAAACCACTGAACTAAACATTAAGCACTAGAAAGGGAGAAGAGACAGGCTAGAGAAGCTTTTATGAATTGGCCTGAGAACACAACCACCACTTCCTAAGGGAATATCCATTCTGAGTTTCAAACAACCAATTTATACATAAATTTTAGGAGAGAAGAAATTTGTAAGATCAGGAAGGACTATTTTAGTGTCCCAAAATATTTCAAGAATCTATTTATATAAGCAGCTTGGATATAAGAATAAAATCAAGTTTTAAAGAAGAGAAAAACCATATTCTTCGAGCACAATTATTTGAACAGCAGTTTCTCTTTGATACTTTATTTGAGGTGGTTTAGAAATTAAACAGGCTGGCTGGGTGCGGTGGCTTACACCTGTAATCCCAGCACTTTGGGAAGCTGAGGCAAGTAGGTCACCTGAGGTCGGGAGTTTGAGACCAGCCTGGCCAACATGGTGGAACCCCATCTCTACTAAAAATACAAAAACATTAGCCAGGCACAGTGGCTCATGCCTATAATCCCAGCTACTCGGGAGGCTGAGGCAGGAGAATCGCTTGAACCCAGGAGGCTGAGGCTGCAGTGAGCCAAGATCGCGGCATTGTACTCCAGCCTGGGTGACAGGAGCGAAACTCCATCTCAACAAAAAAACGAAAGAAAGAAAGAAATTAAACAGGCTTGGCTGGGCATGGTAGCTCACGCCTGTAATCCCATAATCCCAGCACTTTGGGAGGCTGAGGCAGGTGGATCACCTGAGGTCAGGAGTTTGAGAGTTTGAGACCAGCCTGATCAACATGGTGAAACCCTGTCTCTACTAAAAATACAAAAATTAGCTCAGTGAAACTGTCTGAAAAAAAAAAAAAGAAAAAAATTAAACACGCTTGCATTTGAAAACTTTCTCTGCCAAATACTAGCTATATAATTTTATGAGCAATTTACTTAAACCTCTTACTCAGAACTTGAATTGTTTATGTTTTGTAATAGGGTAACACAAACAACTACGATGACCATCTCCTTTAATTGAGCACAAAATGCATGCTGCAGCACTGACCTAAGCACTGAACACATACATACATATATATATACATATATATACACACACACACACACACACACACACACACACACACACACATATATATATATATATATATATATTTTTTTTTTTTTTTTTTGAGATGGAGTCTCGCTCTTTTGCCCAGGCTGGAGTGAAGTGGCATGATCTCGGCTCACTGCAACCTCTGCCCACTGAGTTCAAGCGATTCTCCTGCCTCAGCCTCCCGAGTAACTGGGATTACAAGCGCCTGCCACCACACTTGGCTAATTTTTGTATTTTTAGTAGAGATGGGGTTTTACCATGTTGGCTAGGCTGGTCTCAAACTCCTGACCTCAGGTGATCCACCTGCCTCGGCCTCTCAAAGTGCTAGGATGACAGGCGTGAGCCACAGTGCCCAGCCATCATTTAGCATTTTTTATATTTCTTAAGCCTCACAAAGAAACTGGGTGTTACTATATCCGTTTTATAAATTGAGTAAACCAAGAAAGACTAAGTAACACACACAGGCCCTATAATAATGACAGACCCTATAGGCTTTTGTTTTAAGAGATTGGGTCTCACTATGTTGCCAGGCTGGCTATGAACTCCTGGGCTCAAGAAGTCCTCCTGACTCAACCTCCCAAGTAGCTGGGACTACAGGAACATGCCCCTGCACCCAGCTACCCAAAAGGTCTTTTTGACACCAAAGTTAAAGCCTTAGTCATACACTATGTTACATGACTATCATCTACATTGCCTGTCATCTAGCCAACATGCATAGCTCTCAAACCTAGGACCTTTGATAAGCCTCGTCAGTAGCCTGCAGCAGTTAACTGAGCTAATCAGCTCAAGGATGGAGGTGCTGTTAATGCATAACTGAGAGGTAATGAACCTAAGATATCTGCCACATTACCAGGCATAACGTAGGAGATTAAAAAGAAAAAAGAAAAAGAAAGAATACCTTTACTTTAATCTTTCTGGGCAAGCTAGGAAAAAAAAAAAAGAGAGAGAGAGAGAGACAGATAGCCAAATAGACTCTGGGGTGGTTGAATCAGGAATTTAACTCTAGGAGAAGCCTGCTTAAAATTCCATAAAGTCTTAAGAGGGGGCAGACTGAAAATAATATATTTTTCCTCCTCTCACAGCCTTCTGAAAAAAAAGCATTGAGAGCATAAACCACTCAGAAGATTTATAGCTTAAAGCAGATCACCTTAAGGTACTGGAATCAGTCAGTGCTTAGATGGAACATTTTTTGAGGCCTACATCTTCACTGAGTGCCCTTCTTCTCTATTTCCTATACTTCCTTGTTTCTTTCTGTTCCCACTGCATCCCTTATGGATTTGTACAAATAATGCTGGGTTCTTTTCTTCACCCACATGCAGCAGTTGCTGCTGGATCATAACCATTCCTTCTATTGGTTTTAAAATCTGTTTTTCTCAGATTCCTTACACTTGAAGGAAAAAAAAAAAGGACATTTAGCCTGTTTTTCTTTTAAGCAATAAAAATTCTTCTCTCACTGTATTGATTATTCTCAATGTGGGGCTAAATTATGCAAATTCTGATTCTTTTCCTCTTTGCAAAAATTAAGAAGCAATAATATCAAGTTAGTATACCATGTTGGATGTTTTTTATTTCTTTTGGGGGAGGTGCTCAAAATCCATTGTAAATCTCAAGTAGAAATCCATTTGTAAATAAGTTTTTGGTTAGAAATTTATCACTTAAAAATTTTAGTACAGTATTTGGAGAGTAATGGAATGACTACCAAGCACTAAAAATTGAGACAGTAAGATGGCAAGCATTAAATCTGGTTACATGTTGAATTGTATTGGTGTGATTCCAGGGAGTAGAATAAACAGATATAGTTCCAAAATTGGACCACAGAAAGCTGATACAGCTGTGCATTCAGAGTGAGTTAATTAAACTATTTGAACACAGACAATAAGAGAGGAGAGAAAGAATGATGGGAAAACCAAGTAGGACACTGTTCTCTATTATTATCAAGTGTTAACTTCATTATCATAGTACTGGCCTTTCCACCATAAAATGCTAAGAAACCTGAAGCATTACTTTTATGTCAATTGTCGCTGGCAATTAGATCAAAAGTAAATACATGTCGCTTGCTAAAAATACAAGAGACAGAAGGCTGTAGACATTTATGCTCTAAGAAATTTAATTTGAAACTAATGTATAAGACAACCTGAGTAAATCTGACTTTAGAGAGATTCAACTTTACTATACCAGATTATATGAGAAGAACAAACAGTGGAAAAGAAAAATGGGGAATTTTACTGTATTCATCCATCTATAAAGACAGTAAGTAGAACTGGTTAAAAGTCATCACTAGCAATATTAAATTGCATGAAGATTGCACTGACTTTTTTTTTTTTTTTTTTTTAATTTTTTGAGACAGGGTCTCACTCTGTTGCTCAGGCTGGAGTGCAGTGGTGCAATCACAGCTCACTTCAGCCTTGACTTTCCAGGCTCAAGAAATCCTCTCACCTCAGCCTCCTGAGTAGTTGGGACCACAGGTGTAAGTCACCAAGCCTGGCTGATTTCTTTGTAGAGGTGGGGTTTCACTGTGTTGCCCCAGCTGGTCTTGAACTCCTGGGCTCAAGTGATCTGTACACTTTGGCCTCCCAAAGTGCTGGCATTACAGGTGTAAGCCACTACACCTGGCCTTGAATTGCTATTTTTATACATCAACTTTTTAGCTTGGGAAGAAAAGCTTATCCATACAACTTTGCTTTTTTTTTTTTTTTTTTTTTGAGACAGTCTTGTTCTGTTGCCCAGGCTGGAATGCAGTGGAGTAATCTTGGCTCACTGCAAGCTCCACCTCCTGGGTTCAAGCGATTCTCCGGCCTCAGCCTCCCGAGTAAGTAGCTAGGATTACAGGTGCACACCACCACACCTGGCTAATTTTTTTATACTTTTAGTAGAGACAGGGTTTCGCCATGTTGGCCAGGCTGGTCTTGAACTCTTGACCCCAAGTGATCCGCCCACCTAAGCCTTCCATAGTGCTGGGATTATAGGCGTGAGCCATTGCATCTGGCCACAACTTGGCATTTCTAAAAATGATTTATTCATTCACTCACTCAACAAATATTTATTTACTATTTACTATGTAGCAGGTAAAGCCGTCCTGGAACAAAGGCACAGTCTATCCCCTGGAGGAGTTTACAGTCTGGTGGGGAGAAAGTCTTTTTTTTTGAGATGGAGTCTCGCACTGTCGCGCCGGCTGGAGTGCAGTGGCGTGATCTCGGCTCACTGCAACCTCCACCTCCTGGGTTCAAGGGTTTCTCCTGTCTCAGCCTCCTGAGCAGCTGGGATTACAGGTGCCCGCCACCACATCTGGCTAATTTTGTATTTTTAGTAGAGACCAGGTTTCACCATGTTGGCCAGGCTGGTCTCGAACTCCTGACCTCGTGATCCGCCTACCTCAGCCTCCCAAAGTGCTGGGATTACAGGCATGAGCCACCGCACCCAGCCTGGGATAAAGTCTTAAAAGAAATAATCACAATATAAATAAATACTGTATTTACAAAGTAAGTTAAGTGCTCTGAGGGAGAAGAAAATGTGGAGGGATACTAATACATGGCTCTAATTTTTATTGCTTCTCTGAGGAATGACAATGAAGCTGAGCCTTGAAGAGTAGGTTAGCCAGTGAGGATTAGGGAGAAAGGGTGTTCCAGGCACAGGGAACAATGAGCACAGGATGACCAAGAGCAAGACCGGCTACATAATTTGCAGGCTCAGTGCAAGATAAAAATTGAACACAAAAACTAAGAATTTCAAGCTAGTGATAGAGCATTCAACCAAGTATGAGGACCTATGTGACTGCACAGGTCACACACACATCAAGCCAGTTTTGGAAAAGGATGCATGTTTAAGGGACTTAAGGCCAGTTGCTGGAGCACAGTGAGGAGAGGGATTGCTAGCTGAAGAGTACGAGAGGTACACAGGAACCAGTCCAAGGTGCAGGGCCTCCAGGGACCAACCTCACAGAGGTTCATAGTTTCCCCAAATAGTTAGCAAAGAGCTATTGTGTAAGCAAGGCTGTTATGTAATCATTCTGCTGGGTGCTGAGAGGAAGACAAAGAAGATAGTTTCTGCTTTTAAGGAGCTTACAAATAATTATATAATTTAGGGTAGAATGTGACAGGTTCCACAAGAAAGGTATAAGCACCAATATTTGGGGGCTTCAAGGCATTAAGATTACTCAGTTGGAGGCGGAGAACTGCAAAGCACACAGACAGAAGGACTGCACACTGACTGAAATTAGCATACTTCTGCCTTTGGAGCTATGATTTAACCATATCACTGCAGGAACAGCAAACACATCCAGCACTTCCTATGTGCCAGGCACTGAGTGCTATATGCTTTACATGTATGAATTCATTTTAGCCTCACATCTCTGAAGTAGGTGCTGTTCTATCATCTTCATTTTACAGAAGAAGAACAAAGGCACAGAAAGGTTAAATAGCTTGCCCAAGGCCACACAGCTAGTAAAGTGGGGATTAATTTGAACCCAGGCAGTCTGGGTTTAATATCCTTGCTTTGAACTATTATACTATACTATCATCTTACTAACATTAAATGTTTTATTTTGCTTTGTTTTTTAAATCTGTGTGCTATAATTGCACCTCCTTTACTTTTCTCCTGGTGTACTTGGTTAGTTATATATACTGCTTCAAATTGGCTAGGAAATATAGAACAAGAGAAATAACTGCCCTAAATATTTGTCCTTCTTTATTATCTAGAGCCAGATTTGGCCGAACAGCAGTATGAAATACATTTAGGTATGAGTTTCTGAAAGAAGACAACATAGACAGCACTACTTTCCTCTGCTGTTGACATCAGTCCCAGTGTGTCTTTGCACTAATGGCTAACTAGAGCCATGTAGTTATGGACAATTACTCCTGACTCCCTTAGAACTATGAACAGTGAATTAATGGAACTCTAAGAACTCACACATTGGCTCCCAGTGTCCCTATGACCCAAAGCTGGATCTGTTCCTTACAGAATTGGTAAGTACATGCATGTGCTCATTATAATAAATATCTACTGTGTACAAGACACTATGCCACATGCTATGTGGGATACAAAGAAAGTTATGACACAGTCCTTTCATCAAGAAACTTACAATAAATTTTAAAATTTTATTAATGCCATAACAGAAATATAAGCCTCATTCTATGATGGTGTAGAGGAGAATGAGTTCACAAATCCATCAGGAAATTTAGGATAGACTTTAAGGAAGAGATAGCATGTAAGCATCGTCCTGGAGGGAGGTTTTGCTATTGACCATTCCGAAGTGTCAGGGTTTTGTTTTGTTTTGTTTTGTTTTGTTTTGTTTCGTTTTGGTGGGGGAGGAGGAGGGTATATATCAGTGCCTCCAAAGACTGAAGACAGGCATGGCCATAGGTCTCCTCACTACCTTTCTACCAGGTAGGAAGCATCTTCTGTTAGGTGATAGTCAACAGGCCCGAACAGTGCTCTGCCTCGGGTGACACTGTGCAGGCATTAGGCTACCTGGCTTGCCAGAATCTTATGAGCAATTCATGTGCCAGAGGAACCTGTATGGTATTTCTAATCAATCCAATTTGAAATTATTTCTGACATCCTTTATGCTAACTAGAAAACTCTCTGGTGTAGATTTAAAGATAAGCAGGTTAAATTTACAGTAGTTATCTCCTCATTAGGGTATTTCCAATGCCAAACAACTACCCTTACACTATGTATTCCCTTATCAGTGTTTCAAATGTTAATCACTCACATCCAAGGTGTAGACTAACTAACACGCTGTGTAGACTGGGGTGTTTTAATGTAAATTACAGATTGTATTACAGTAGGATAGGGCTATGAGAGGGGTATAGGGAGGGACAAGAAGTTCCAGATGGAAGGAACAACTTGTTATTGCTTCTATCTTTCCTCATACCTAAAGGAAACTTCTGTAAGCAAAGGCATGGAGCTACAAAATGTGGGCCTACTGAATGTGCTAAGCAGTTCTGTTTGGGTGAGGAGCTAGATGACCTGGCATAAGGTACCTGCAGAGCAGGCCGGAAGGAATACACTGAAGCCAGAATGAAGACTGTCTAGGTTGCTGCCAATCGCTGAAAGCATGAACCTATTTTGGTAGTTGCTAGCTCAGTGACCATATTTTCTGAAATAAAAACCAGGCAGATGGTCTTAACAGATGTTTGCATCCATTCTGGATATGAGAAGCAATTTGGAATATGAAAGAACCTAAAATAATAAAAGTTTTTGGATTGTTTTGGTAGCCAGGCTTATGAGGCAGAATATCTGACGTTAGAACTGTCTTTTAAAAGAAAAATCTTGTCACAATGATGTGAAGAGATCACTGAGGTTTTAAAATAGTAAAAGGATCAAGACTGGTTTTACAAATATGAATCTGGAAATCATGTATATGCTAAAGTAGAAGGGAAGATAAAGAAAAGAAGAAAGGGTTAGGTGCAGTGGCTCACGCTTGTGATTCTAGTATTTTGGGAGGCTGAGATGAAAGGATCACTTGAGCTCAAGAGTTCAAGACCAGCCTGGGCAACAAAGCGAGACCCCATCTCTACAAAAAATTTTAAAAAAAAATTAGCCAGGCATGGTCAGTGGTATGTGCCTGTAGTCCCAGCTACTCCAGAGGCTGAGGCAGAAGAATCCCTTAAGCCCATAAGTTTGAGGTTGCAGTGAGCTATGATTGATCGTGCAACTGCATTCCAGCCTGGGTGACAGAGCAGGATCCTGTCTCAGAAAAAAAAAAAAAAGAAACAAACAAACAAACAAAAGGAGAAAGGTAGCAATTGAAAGGACATTTAGGAAGTTATGAAAATAAATCAGGAGAAAGGGACTTTGTGAAAAAGGTGACAGTAGAAAGGGAAAGGAAACAAGTTTTCCTAGTCATGGGAATCAGTCTATGTCACTCATGTAATAATCACATATGGCTGTTATGAGCTATTCCTGGGGTATGAATTTTCCAAACTCCATTGGGATGCCTTAAGGAAAAAATTCTGCCTTACTTACAGTTGGTATCTACTGCAACCTAACATAAAGCTGAATACTTAGTAGATGCCTAAAGCAGATTTACTCAATTACACATATTCTTACTGTCTCATGATTCAAATGGAATTTGTTAATTAGTTAAATGTTGGAATAAAAGAAACAGATAAAGACTATGCCCATACATTTTCCTCAAGTACGGGTGTTACAGGAAATATGTGATGACACAGAGCTGATAAGTGGAAAAACATAGAAATGCATTTAACATAGGATATTCTTGTTACCTAAATGAGAAAATTGTGATAACCAATTAAATTTGGAAGTTTTCTCTGATATGTTTGACAGAGCCAATAATTACCTCTGTTCTGTGGGGCAATTTCTAAAATAATGCATAAGAATAAGACTATTTGAGAAGACCTTTTATACTATGCAATTGGAGCATTCCCTAAATCAAAACTCATTTCTTTTTTTCTTTTTTTTTTTTTTTGTGAGACAGAGTCTCGCTGTATCACCCAGGCTGGCGCAATCTCAGCTTACTGCAACCTCCGCTTCTTGGGTTCAAGCAATTCTTCTGCCTCAGCCTCCCAAGTAGATGGTAACAGGCACGCACCACCACACCCAGCTAATTTTTGTACTTTTTTAGTAGAGACGGGGTTTCGCCATGTTGGCCAGGCTGGTCTCAAATTCCTCATCTGAAGTGATTTGCCTGCCTCAGTCTCCCAAAGTGCTGGGATTACAGGCATGAGCCACTACACCTGGCCCAAAATTCATTTCTTTAATCTTGGATAGAACAAACATGAGAGGAAAGTTAGAACACCAAGCTTGCTAGATTTTTAACACATAAACAACAGATATATACCTATCAATCAAAGTATGTTCAAGATAATTCTCATTTCAGAAAAAAAGGTAATATCAAACTTTCTAAAAATTGATTTAAAAAAATCGAATCATTTTTTAAGTACAGAGTAAATCAAATGAGAATCTATCTGAAATTAGGCTTGGCCAAACACAAGTAAAGGAAAGACCCTAAGATTAGCTTATTTTGTGTGCCTCTTTAAGGTCCATCTACTGCAGTTTACACATAAACGATTGCTCTTCAAAGTCTGGGGTGGGGTGTTATTTATGTTCCCATTTCTATGGAAACTGTGGGGAGGCATGAAAAATATGGTATGGGAAAATGTGTATTTCAACCCTCACTTCCCTTCTATGCGTCCAGCCCAGCCCTCCTCATTTCCAGGGGAACAGGAGTTGAAAGACCTCTGGCAGCTGAAAGTAAAAGCTCACTAACAGATTGCAGCTGTTTGACTGTCAGCTGAGAACTGCAAATGACAGTTTATCACGGCCGTTAAAATTTTTAAATGATGTTTTCCCTAATAAATCCCCCACTGTAATAATTTACAAGGGGGAAACTGACTATATAACTAGCGCAAGGAAAAACACTCAATGGGATCTTCTGAAGCCGAGTCTGTTGCTGTCTTTCATAATTCCAATGTCTTTGATCATTTTTCAGAGAATGACTGCAATAGGAAACACAGTGAAATCAAAAGTACCCTCATCAACTCACTCTGTCACAAACTTCCTCCAAATGGTGGGTGTGGAAAAAGTACTGGGTAACTAATTAAACTGAGGATGGATGGAGAAAGGGAAAGAGAGGGAGGAAGAATCTAATTTAACATTTAAACACTATTTAATTATATTTTATTACAAGAAACTATGTGAAGATGTCAGCTACCCACAGGGTGGGAACACTAAGCCTGGTGAATGTGGTAAAATCTAGACATAAGCCTTAGCAGAGAAATCTACAGACATACAGTATTGCTATCCAAATCACCTGAATTCAAGTAGTGAGGTATACCTGTATTTCTTTAGTAATTGAAAAGGACAGGCTGGAATTTGCTAAATATTACCCATTTCCCCTCTACATCCAAGGGCTTTGGAATACATATGTAAAATTATTTATAGATGGAAATCTGTGTTATATGCTTTTAGCTCAAGGGAAATATACTCATTAATAACCTGAAATGTGACAGGCACGGTGGCTCATGCCTGTAATCCTAGCACTTTGGGAGGCTGAGGCGGGCAGATCACGAGGTCAGGAGTTTGAGACCAGCCTGACCAACATGATGAAACCCCATCTCTACTAAAATACAAAAAAAAGAAAGAAAAAAAAATTAGCTGGGCTTGGTGGCGGGCGCCTGTAATCCCAGCTACTTGGGAGGCTGAGGCAGGAGAATCACTTGAACCCGGGAGGTGAAGGTTGCAGGGAGCTGAGATCGTGCCACTGCACTCCAGCCTGGGTGATAAAGCAAGACTCCATCTCAAACAAACAAACAAACAACAAAACAAAACAAACCAGCACCAAGCACTGTAATACATTTATGACAGTTTCTAACTGCAAGATATATATATATATATTTAATGAAGTATTGCTATTTAAAAATTAATCTTGGGCTGGATGCGGTGGCTCATGCCTGTAATCCCAGCACTTTGGGAGGCCGAGGCAGGTGGATCGCCTGAGGTTAGGAGTTTGAGACCAGCCTGGCCAACATGGTGAAACCCCATCTCTACTAAAAATGAAAAAAATCAGCGGGGTGTGGTGGCGGGCACCTATTATCCCAGCTACTTGTGAGGCTGAGGCAAGGAAATTGCCTGAACCAGGGAGGCAGAGGTTGCAGTGAGTCGAGATCACACCATTGCACTCCAGCCTGGGCAACAAGAGCAAAACTCTGTCTCAAAAAGAAAAAAAAATTAATCTTGGCTGGGCTTGGTAGCTCACGCCTGTAATCCCAGCACTTTGGGAGGCCGAAGCGGGTAGATCACCTGAGGTCAGGAGTTTGAGGCCAGCCTGGCCAACACGGTGAAACCCTATCTCTACTAAAAATACAAAAATTACCCGGGCGTGGTGGCAGGAGCCTGTAGTCACAGCTGCTCAGGAGGCTGAGGCAGAAGAATCGCTTGAACTCAGAGGTGGAGGTTGCAGTGAGCCGAGATCATACCACTGCACTCCAGCCTGGGCAACAGAGCAAGGCTCCATCTCACAAAAAAAAAAAAAAAAAAAAAAAATTAATCTTATAAAAATTATGGTCCTTCCTCATTCTCACTACAGACCTTGATGTATATGACAGTTGTCCTAAGACAATTTTTTCAAATGTCACTTATAGTGTAACATGTAATTATATAATTGAAGCTATAAAATGCAAATTAATAATTAAAAAAAGAAAGTGATTTATATAAACATGGGATCAAAGTAATAAGCTCTGCTACTTTCTAATTCTTAGTAAAGTTTCATCTTTTCATAAGCAAATATTTACTGGCTAACATCTTGATTAAGTTAGTGTTAGGGAGCACTTTGTTGTCTCTATAAGGTGTCCAGTCATTTAGGTTCAAAACATATATCTGCCAATTCAAAGAATGCTTCAATGTATTTATTTATTTTTTGAGAAAGGGTCTTGCTCTGTTGCCCAGGCTGGAGTGCTACAGTGACATGCTCATGGCTCACTGCAGCCTTGACCTCCCAGGCTCAGGTGATCCTCCCACCACAGGAGCTGGGACTACAGACATGTGCCACCATACCAAGCTAATTTTTGTATTTTTTGTGGAGACAGGGTTTCGCCATGTTGCCCAGGCTGGTCTTGAATTCCTGGGCTCAAGCAATCTGCCTGCCTCAGCCTTCTGTGTAGCTGGCACCACAGGTCTATGCCAGCACTCCCAGCTAATTTTCTTATTTTTAGTAGAGACCAGGTCTTGCCACATTGCCCAGGCTGGTCTCGAACTACTAAGAGAATCAAGTGATTCTCTTACCTCAGCCTTTCAAAGTTGTGAGATTACCAGCGTGAGCTACTACACCCAGCAGAAGCTGCTCTTTCCTTGGTAAATATCATCATGTCCTTGGACTTTGTGTTCTCATCAATTCTAATATCAGCACTAGTGGTTGGCTTTTTTTCTGGATATATTTTCTACCCAGAAACAAAGTTAAATTTAAATCTACATACTGCAAAAACAAGTGTGCTTATCAAGACTTACTCTTTTTTTTTTTTTTTTTTTTTTTTTGGTGAGATGGAGGTTTACTCTTGTTGTCCAGGCTGGAGTGCAATGGTGCAATCTTGGCTCACCACCTCCTCTGCCTTCCAGGTTCAAGCGATTCTCCTGCCTCAGCCTTCTGAGTAGCTGGGATTACAGGCATGTGCCACCACGCTCAGCTAATTTTTTATTTTTAGTAGAGACGGGGTTTCACTGTGTTGCCCAGGCTGATCTCGAACTCCTGATCTCAGGTGATCCGCCCGCCTCGGCCTCCCAAAGTGCTGGGATTACAGGCGTGAGCCACTGTGCCTGGCCAAGATTTATTCTTTACCAACCCTCACTGGGCATATATTGACAATCAGGACTTTTACAAAATTACAAAGTGTTACAGTGTCATGGCTCTTAAGGTAATCCCACAAAAATGTTGAAATCACAAATGATAATAAATTAAAAAGTCTACTATGTTATAATTTTCAGAATTCTAAGTCTTTCATATTTCCTTTTTCAGTGTTAATGATTTTCTGAGACACATTTTCAAAGGATTATTTATAAGAACGAGACAAAATTAAGCCAAAGTCCATATTACGTGAAACTTCATCTCCTAGGCTTTGTAAATGTGAGTGGGTATATGTTTATATGTCTTGTTTCTTGTCTGGAAAAAGTCAGAAGTACTATATCTAGATATTCTCAAAACCTTAATCACATAAACTCAGAAAAAACAGAACTCAAAGATATTTACAAAAATTTTGCAGTAAGACAATAAAAGTCTCCTTGAGAACAAAGACAATGAAAAATCATAAATATCAATCACCTTTAAGAAGGGAATCAGCTTTAATTCAAGGGAATCTTTAATTTAAACTGAAACCATTTTAAAATTCAGGTTCTGTGTCCTAATTATCCCTTTTTGCTGACAGAAAAGCTAAAGGATACAGGACACATCTGACCCAGGAATCTAAGCAAGTAACATACTACCTGGCTAATCCAGTTGAGGTGAAGGTCACAATACTGAATTTGAATATGCTGTGTTCTCTACTGTAAATAAAGTATTTTGTTTATCTTTTCATGCCACTCAAGAAAAAGAGATAAAACTTTCTTATTCTCAAATTGCTTTATACGGAGCCTATCTTATTTACCTGAAATGTAAGCCTCTATGTCTATATATAAGTAAAATTTGTGAAGCATATATATGTGTATACACACACATACACACACACATATATGAATGAGATAGGGTATCACTCTGGTGCCTAGGCTGGCGTGCAGTGGTATTATCTCAGTTTACTGAAGGCATGACCTCCTGGGCTCAAGCCATTCTACCATCTTACCCTCCTGAGTAGCTGGGACCACAGGTGCATGCCACCACTAGCAGCTATTTTTTGTATTTTTTTGGGGAGATGAGGTTTTGCTGTGCTGCCCAACTGGTCTCAAACTCCTGGGCTCAAGCAACTGATCCACCTGCCTCAGCCTCCCAAAGTGCTGGGATTACACACGCGAGCCACCATGCCTGGCCTTGAAGTATATTTTTGATACTGTAGAAAACACAGCCAGTACGGGAGAGTAACAGTTCATTAACTGTACATTCTTACATCAGATGTGAGCTTAAAATAAGTAAAAACTGTACAACTTTCGGCCGGGCGTGGTGGCTCATGCCTGTAATCCCAGCACCTGGGAGGCCGAGGCAGGTGGATCACCTGAGGTCAGGAGTTCGAGACCAGCCTGACCTACATGGTGAAACCCCGTCTCTACTAAAAATACAAAATTAGCTGGGTGTGGTGGTGCATGCCTGTAACCCCAGCTACTTGGGAGGCTGAGGCAGGAGAATTGCTTGAACCCAGGAGGTGGAGGTTGCAGTGAGCTGAGATTGTGCCATTGTACTCCAGCCTGGGCAACAGAGTGAGACTCCATCTCAAAATAACAACAACAACAACAAAAAAACAAAAATGAAAACTGCAAAACTTTTATTTCTTTGATACTAATTTCTGGTCCTTCCTTTAAATATTTATTAACTGTAAGGCTTTAATTAAAATGTTTCTATACCAAAAAGACAAAGCACAGTTTAATTCGAGTATAATTCCTTGATTTTCCCTAGAGGATTGGGTTTTCCACGGATGGTGGGTTGAACTGGATAATTATTCCAGTCTTGATCCATATGGGAGGACTTCATTTCTAGGATGGCTCCAAAGCCCTAAAAAATTGTACCAAGACCTTGACAACCAGGGAGTCTTCATTATGCCAGAGATAACCTAGATGCAGGATAGAATACTAAGTTGAGACTCTATCTCTCCTTTGGATAGAGGGTCTCAAACACTAGTATGTGCCAGAATTCCCTAGAAAGCTTGTTAAAGCACAAATTGCTGGGCCCCATAACCAGAGTTTCTGATTCAGATCTGAGATGGAGCCTAAGAATCTGCATTTCCAAGAAGTTCCCAGGGGGTGCTGATGTTCTGAGTCTAGAGATCACATTTGGAGAACTTCTGCTCTAGTTTCCTCCCTTTAAGGTAAACTCTTCAGTACTTTTCAGTCATTCAATTTTCTTTGGTATCCAAACCCACGAAAACAGTGCAGTTTTTCATGTGCTTGGGGAGACCTGGCCCAAGCATCGTAATAAGGGCATTTATGAAGAGTGGCAGCCTGACACAGATGTGTTGGAGCCCAAGCAGAATGTCAGAAAGGCATCCATGGAAGGGTGCAATCTGGCATGCAGCATTTTAACAGGGTGAAGAGGGTAACCACACAATTAAAGAGGTGGCTACTTGGCAAATACTGGGGGATTTATCAGGAAGTTCAGGATCCAGAAAGATGAAAAACTAGAATGAGCTCTGTGGGGTTGAAGAAATACAGGTGCAAATGCATATAAATGTATGTATGTTTGTATGTATGTATGTATGTATGTATAAATGTATGTATGTATGTATGTATGCATGTATGTATGTAAGTGTGTGTGTGTTTAGTCCCTAGTTCTGTCTGCTGAGAAGATATAGAAGCAACAATACATATCCAGAAACAATGAGCAAATCTACTGCACAGATCTTGGTTGCTATATATCAGTGTCTACCAAAAAGAACCAGGGCTACTTGGAGAAATACCTGATTCTAGGGCTAGTGCCAGCAAAGTACAAAAAGAGCCTGGAATATCTTGCTTTTCCAAAAGCAAGTTACGCTTGAAGAATAATGGAAACATGTCAAAAGGACACAAAAGCCATCCTGAAGGAGCTCCCAGTGGCCAAGTAGGGGATAATTTCAGCATTAAAATAAATAATGGTAGAATAAGATATAATACTGAATAAACAGGAAATCATGATTCTATATATAAATGAAATAAATTGAAAGTTTTATTAGGAATTGGATATTTATATAATTTCAAAGTACTTCGCCACAAAATTCTTATTTGTCAGGAAGGGGAATAGAGCAACTTTACATAAAGAACCTTGCAGAAATCACCTTGGTCAAATGATCAGAGTAAGCATCACCAGCCAATGAGACAAATTAAAATCATACTCCATCTGATAGAATGAATGGGATGAGAAAAACAGCATCACTTCTATAATATTCTTGCTCATGATACATATCCTAAATCTAATCTTAAGGAACCACCAGACAAACTCAAATGGAGAAACATTCTACTAAATAACTAGCTTGTCATCTTCAAAAGTATCAACATTATAAAAGTCAAAGACTGAGAAACTATTCCAGGCTGAGGGTGACTAAGGAGAGAGTTAAACACAGCATCAGGCTCAGCATTCTTCTTTTAAAAAAAAAAAAACAAAGAAGTATTAAATAAATGAATAAACATCCCTCTTTGAAAACCTTAGAGAAAAGGATCACTTCCTGGAGCGGTTTCCTTCATCCTATATGAAGGAAAAGTACCAGATGATTCCTCTGGGTCCTTTCTAATTTACCAATTCTACTCTGTTTACTATCTAACTGCTTATCTATCATTCAGAGCTCAAGGTATAGTCAGTGTTTTGAGCAAGTATAGCTCAAAACTTCACTGGACAGGCAAAAAAAAAAAAAAAAAAAAAAAACCAAAAAAGCAGTCTAAAGAAATTTTATAATTTAAATCTTATTTTAATGGTAAGCAGGCAAGCCTCAAAAATCTACCCCTAGGTACAAAATGGAAGGCAAACAATGTCTTCTACCAGAGAAGCCAACATGTACAATCTTTCACATGGTATTTCTCCACTTGATTGTAGGTTCAAACAGGAAGTAATAAAAGGCAATATATTTAATTTTTTTAGGTGAAATATTAACAAAGACCTCTGGTATAAAATATAAGTCATCTTTTGCTTTCTTTAGTGCACAGAAGACCGATGGCAAGTGGTAAATGCACATCTAAAGTACCATCAGTTTATTTTATAACTGAACTTGAGATGGCTACAGCTTACAAATTAATTAAAATTTTTAATACCTTTAGGCAAAGAGCAAAATAGAACTACGTGGCTGAGATGACTAATATAGCCTAGTAAAACATATGACAATAACTGTTTCTTCCCTAGTCTCTTTTTAAAAAAACATGCAAGTCTTTCCAGGGCTGAAGCAAGGTTTAATTTGGCTCAGAAGTACTGGCTTCTATTTAGCTTGAAAAGCCTCACAAAGAAAATCCCTGAAAGAGGATCAGTGAAACAAAGCATTATCTATTGGAAGTCATAAGGAATGACTTCCCTTATTCAAAGCATTCAAAGCTAGGCTTAGAACTAGGGTATTAGAATATCAGTCTCACCATTAGCAGCAGGGATTCTGATTTTTATTTTCAGAATATAATGCAAAGAATATCCCATCAGCTTTGCCTTTTAAATAAAATGGGAAATATTCATCATATAAGAAAATATCAAGTTTTGCTGGACACATATTCATTCCCATCACCCACAGTATATTGTAAAATACCCTGAAAATAAAATTATAAATTAAGAGCATTCACTCTGCTTACTTTGTTACTCTGTTTTAAAAGAGGGGACAATGATGGGATGATTTTTAAATGTTTCTGGCTAAAATAACAAAAAAAAATCCCACTACATTTGGGGTTAAAAGCCAAACTATCCCCTACTTGGTAAATTAGAACATGGTATAAGTTCCTTTACTTGGACTCTGGTTGTTTCATATTCATTTGAATTTTAAAAATGCACCCACTATTAGAATATTAATTTCAGTGGGTCTGATATCAATATTATGGTTATGATTTTAAAGTCCTTATGTGTTAAGATATATACTTAAATATTTATGAGTAAAATGATATGTCTGAAATTTTTACCTAATACTCTTGCAAAAAAAGATGGGGGAGATATAAAACAAGAAAAGCATGAGGCTGAAGGTTACTGAAGCTGGGTGATGACTACGTGGATGTTCACGGTGCTCTTCTCTCTACTTTTGTGTATGTTTGACAACTTAAAAATGGGTTCGTATGCTGGGCGCAGTGGCTCATGCCTATAATCCCAGCACTTTGGAAGGCCAAGGTGGGAGGATTGCTGGAGTCCAGGAGTTTAATACCAGCCTGGAGAACACAGTGAAACCCTATCTCTACAAAAAATAAAAAATTAGCCAGGCATGGTGGCATGTGACTGCAGGCACAGCTACCAGAGAGACTGAGGTAGGAGGACTGCTTGAGCCCAGGAAGCCAAGATCCTGCCATCTGACACTGTACTCCAGCCTGGGTAACACAGCAAGATCCTGTCTCAAAAAAAAAAAAAAGAAGTTTGATCTAGGTGTGGTGGTATATACACTTGTAATCCCAGCTACTTGAGAGGCTGAGGCAGGAGGATTGCTAGAGGCCAGGAGTTCAAGGCCAGTCTGGTCAACAAACTGAGTCCCCATCTCATAAGTAAATACATAAAATAAAAATTTTTAAAGGAGTTAAAGAAATTACTTTTAGCAGCCAGCCATGGTAGTTCACACCTGTAATCCCAACACTTTGGGAGCACAAGGTGAGTGGATTGCATGAGCCCAGGAGTTTGAGACCAGCCAGAGCAACATGGCAAAACTCTGTCTTTACAAAAAAAAAAAAAAAATCTGGCATGGTGGCACTTGTCTGTAGTCCCAGGTACTCAGGAGGCTGAGGTGGGAGGATCACTTGAGCCCAGGAGGCTGAGGCTGCAGTGAGCTGAGATTGCATCACTGCACTCCAGCCTGGGAGACAGAGCAAGACCCTATCTCAAAAAAAAAAAAAAAAAAAATTAAATTTTGCTTTAAAATCAGTAGAGATGAATATACTTCCTAAATTTCTTATTTATTTATTTATTTATTTATTTATTTATTTATTTATTTATTTTTTGTAGAGACAGTGTCTCCCTCTGTCACCCAGGCTGGAATATAGCGCAGTGATATGATCATAGCTCACTGTAGCCTCGACCTCTTGGGCTCAAGCCATAATCCTGCCTCAGCTGCCTCGTAGTTGGGACTACAGGCGCATGCCACTACACCTGGCTGATTTTTAAAATTTGCTTCTGGAGATAGGATCTCGTTATGTTGCCCAGGCTGGTCTCAAACTCTGGCCTCAAGTGATCCTCCCAGCTTGGCCTCCCAAAGTGCTGGGATTACAGGCATGAGCCACTGTGTCTGGCCCCTAAATTTCTAATTTCTAACTAATTAAAGCAGATAAATTGGTCATATTTTTTACCTAACTGAGGAATACAATCCTTCAATGCTGACAGTTGAAAGTGAGGAAGACAGTAGTAAATAAACCAGGAGAGTGGCATCTCAGACAATTTCCTTCCAGCATCCTATTCTCAGTTACTTCCAGTTATTCTTTTGTTTGCCAAATACAACTGTTAAAACCCCAATAAACAGCCAATCTTCTTTTTTATTATTATTGTATTTTAAGTTCTAGGGTACATGTGCACAGTGTTCAGGTTTGTTACATATGTATACATTTGCCATGTTGGTGTGCTGCACCCATTAACTCGTCATTTACATTAGGTATATCTCCTAATGCTATCCCTCCCCCCAGCCCCACCCCACGACAGGCCCCAGTGTGTGATGTTCCCCTTCCTGTGTCCAAGTGTTATCATTGTTCAATTCCCACCTATGAGTGAGAACATAACAGCCAATCTTCTTTACAAGGTGGGTTTCATGGTGGAAAAACATGACAAGACAATTAGGAAAGATATTTGAAAATCACTGCTATATTTGTTTGTTTACATGTTTGTACCCCAGCCAGCCAGAGAGATACTCCAGGGTAGAGACAGGCTCTATCTAACTAGTTCCCAGCACTAGCACTGAGCCTGGTATATAGCAAGTAATCAATAAATATTAACTGACTAAATGAATTCAAAAGAAAGAAAATCCCCAAAGAGAGGAAAATAGAAAAAGCTTCTTCATAAAGAGAGAAAAAAAGGCAACAAATTTGCAAAAGATTGCAGGTCAGGGAATCTTTTCCCTCAATCAGTAGACAATCATTAGAATCATTTCCCGAGTTCCCTAAGGCTCCACCCAGGACTCAATGTAGATAATGAAATTAACAGTTAACAAGGCTTTTGCTTTCATTATTTTCCTTTTGGAATAATCCCTTTCTCTTTTATCTCAATCATTGCCTGTCTGCTTGTTCTTTTGTTTATTCATCATTATACGTGAACTGAATACCTTCACTGTGTTAGGAATACAATGGTGAATAAAATAGTCACAAACTTCAAGATACTAGATACAAGTCTAGTAGATGAAATAAATACATAAATGAATAAAGACCATACACAATTTCAAAAGATTAAGGTTTGTATGGCATAGGAGGATGTACAAAGATTCAACGGTCTACTCTATCTGGAAGTTAGGACATATATTATGGAGGTAGATAAGGCTTGGCTGGGCCTGGAAAAATGAGTAACTGCTAGACAGCTAGACAAAGAGAGGAATGCTAAATAAAGGCCCCAAGGAATGACTGATTTGCTGGCGAATCAGTGGGAAGTAGAGTGCAACAAGAAGGGCCTGCAAGGCTGGAGAAGGAAGGGCCAGATCTTGAAGGGCCTTATAGGGCACAGTAAGGAGTTCAAATTTGTGAAGGCTACAGATTAGGGAATCACTGAAAGATTTTAATCAAAGGAATTTTCTGCTCTTGCAGGTACATGGAGAATAATTAGGCAACAAAGAAAGAATAGAGAGGCAACGACAATATTGAAAATGACAGGATCTGGTCACCAAGCAGCTGTGAGCAATGCCTAGATTAGCTCCTAAGATTTTAGGCTGAATGGTACTGTTCTTTGAAACAGGGAAGTGAAATGAAAGAGTAGCTTTAGAGGGGTTCAAATTTACATTTCAGATTTTTTAACAGCTTCATTTTTACTATTTAAAATATTATTTTAAAAGAAGAAACATCATCCAGCTGTGGTGGTGTGCACCTATAGTCCTAGCTACTCGGGATGCCAAGGCAGGAAAATCGCTTGAACCTAGGATTTCAGTGCTATAGTGCACTATGATCACACCTGTGACTAGCCATTGCACTCCAGTCTGATCAACATAGCAAAACCATGTCTCTAAAACGTCTTTAAAAAGAGAGGAAATATGGCTTGGTGTGTTGTCTCATTCCTGTAATCACAGCACTTTGGGAGACCAAGGCAGGAGGACTGCATGAGCTCAGGAGTTCGAGACCAGCCTGGGCAATGCAGCGAGACCCTATCTCTAATTTAAAAAAAGAAGAAGAAATATTACTATAATTCACATATTACAGGATAAAAATCACAAATTCATCAACAGATATACAAACAACACTTAATAAAATTAAATACCTATTAATACTAGGTTGGTGCAAAAGTAATTGCAGTTTTAATAATTAAAAATCTTGGCAAATTAGAATTTGAACAGAATAGAATAGACTATTAACTATTAACCCAACATAAATGATCAATCTGAACCTAAAGCACACAAAATCTTTAACAGTGAAATCTTAAAAATGTTCCCTTTAAAATCAGGAACAACATAAGGATGCTTATTGTCATGGCCCCCCCACTTTTTTTTTTTTTTGAGACGGAGTCTTATTCTGTCACCCAGGCTGGAGTGCAGTGGTGCAATCTCAGCTCACTGCAACCTCTGCCTCCTGGGTTCAAGCAATTCTTCTGCCTCAGCCTCTGGAGTAACTGGAATTACAGGTGTGTGCCACCACGCCTGGCTAATTTTTGTATTTTTAGTAGAGACAGGGTTTCACCATATTGGCCAGGCTGGTCTCAAACTCCTGACCTTGTGATCCACCTGCCTAGGCCTCCCAAAGTGCTGGGATTACAGGTGTGAGCCACCATGTCCAGCTGTCATGGCCCTTTTAACAGAGAAGTTACTGTTGATGCCGTAAGATGATGTAATAAATATAAAGTTAAAAATTAGAAAAGGCAAAAATCTTCATTTTTTACAGACGATTGTAGTCATTTAATTAGAAAAATCTAAAACAACATATTGATAAAACAATAAAACCACTTAGAAAGACATTAACAAGTTTGTTACATACGAGATTAATTTACAAAGTTAATAGTATGTCTATACACTAGCAACAACCAATTTAAAATGTAATAAAAACAGAGCCCATTCATTCTTACTACAAAAACTTAAGGTCTTTGGAAATAAATCTAATGATAAAACCTCTATGCAGAATTTTCTAAAAACTTTTGTTAACATAAAAGAGGGTTTAAATAAAACGGATGGGGAGACTGAACTATATGAAGATATCAATTCTTCCATAATCAATTCATAAATGTAACACACTTCTATTCAATATCTCAAAGGATTTTTAAAATATGAGCCTTGACAAAGTGATCAAAAAATTCTTACTGAAGAGAAAAGGACCAAGAATAGTGAAACAATAATAAAGGAAAAGGCATTTGCTCTACTAGACATCAAAGATTTATAATAAGTTTTACTAATTGAAACTGTGACATACTAGCTCAGGAACAGATCAACAAATCAGTATTAAAGAGCCCAGACACAAAATTAAGGCAGTATTATTACAAATAGGTGGGGAAAAGATAAGTTATTTAATAAATGTTGGTCAGACAACTGGCGATCAAAATGAGAAAAATAGGCAGGGTATGGTGGCGCACACCTGTAGACCCAGCTACTTGGGAGGCTGAGGCATGAGAATCACTTGAACCTGGGAGGAGAGGTTGCAGTCAGCCAAGATCACACCACTGCAGCCTGGTATCAAAAAAAAAAAAAAAAACACAAAAAAAAAACAAAAACAAAAAAAAAACCAACAACAAACCCAAAAAACCAAAATAACAAAATGAGAAAAATCAGGTTCTCTATCTCACATTATATTTTTTTAATTGCACAAAAAACTAAAAACTGAAAAAAGAAAAACAAATATTCAAAAAAATTTACATATAGAACATTTTCATCTTTATGAAAATCTATAAATTCCGTTTTTAAAAAGAGGATAATTAACAATTCTTCTTTTCCTCCTCTAAGTCCTCATCATCTATGATTCATAAGGAAGAAATCAAGACCAAAAGCACAAATCATAAAAGAATTACAGACCAAATGCCTTGCCATGGCCTACAAAGCCCTCCCCTACCTGGCTCGCTTTCTCCCCGGCTATTCTACGTCTGGTCTCCTCCACTCTCCTCTTATCTCATCATGCTCTAGCCTCCTTGTGGTTCCTCCGGTACACCAGACATGCTCCTGCCAAGGTTTTTTCACCAGCTGTTTTTTTTGTTGTTGTTTTTTGCTGTTTTTTTTTTTTTTTTTTTTTTTTTGAGACGGAGTCTCGAGTCTCGCTCTGTCTCCCAGGCTGGAGTGCAGTGGCGTGATCTCGGCTCACTGCAAGCTCCGCCTCCTGGGTTCACGCCATTCTCCTGCCTCAACCTCCAGGCGCCCGCCACCACGCCCGGCTAATTTTTTGTATTTTTAGTAGAGACGGGGTTTCACCGTGTTAGCCAGGATGGTCTCAATCTACTGACCTTGTGATACGCCCGCCTCAGCCTCCCAAAGTGCTGGGATTACAGGCATGAGCCACCAGGCCCGGCCCACCCGCTGTCTTTTCTCTTTTGAAAATTCTTCCCTCTATCTAGCCATGTGGATGGATCACTCCCTTGCTTCAGTCAAGTCCTTGCGCAAATGTACCTTTTCAGTGAAATCTACCCTTACTACCCTATTTAACACTGCACTCTTCCAGCACTACTGATCTTCCTGACCTTGTCCTATTTTTTCCACATTAGTTATCTTCTAATATACAGTACTATGGATTTTTACTTAGGTATTGTGTTTATTGCCTGTCTCTACTTAAACTTAAGCTCTACTAAGTAGGGAATTCTCGGGGTCTGTAATAGTGACTGATTTTTCTTAATTCGAGAGTTAACATGTTCCAGGCTTAAGGAAGGTCATCATAAGTTGCCACCATCGTGCCCGTTGAGATTATCCTTCCATGCAAGGCTCTGAGGAAGATGGGAAGGACCAGATCTAAAGCAAGGTTGAATAGATTAATGTTGAATAGCAGGGGGACAAAATCTTTTCTGGGCCTGGGGAAAAGTAATACATCTGAGCAGAATCCAATTACCCTAAATGCTCTGCGAAGTAGGAAGCAAAGTCATCCTTTAGAGTTCTCCATAAATGCCATTTATTTCATGAAGTCCTCCCTTCTGATTCTGCAGTAAGAGATGCTCTTTCCCCTTTTCTAGATTTCAGTAGTACTTTGTATCTCTCTCTTTTTTTTTTTTTTTTTTTTTGAGACAGAGTCTTGCTCTGTCACCACATTGGAGTGCAGTGGCGCAATCTCGGCTCACTTCAACCTCTGCCTCCCGGGTTCAAGAGATTCTCCTGCCTCAGCCTCCCAAGTAGCTGGGACTACAGGCATACACTATCATGCCCGGCTGATTTTTGTATTTTTAGTAAAGATGTGGTTTCACCATGTTGGCCAGGATAGTCTCAATCTCTCGACCTCGTGATCCACACACCTTGCCCTCCCAAAGTGCTGGGATTACAGGTGTGAGCCACTGTGCCCAGTCAGTACTTTGTATCTTTCTTATGAAGCTTTCTAGACTGTCCAGTAGTTTGAAAGTGAATGCTTACAAGCCCTGAACCAGGTGTAATAGCTTAGTCATATTTGCATCTCCTAATGAAACTACTCAGCAGTGTAAGTTTTGACTAAATACTTTCCTGATTAAATCTTAGAGGTGACAAAAGCTACAATTAAACAAACCGACTTTTTCTTTTTTCTTTTTTTTTTTTTTTTTGAGACAGTCTCGCTCAGTCGCCCAGGCTGGAATGCAGTGGCACAATCTCAGCTCACTGCAACCTCCACCTCCCAGGTTGACGCGATTCTCCTGCCTCAGCCTCCCAAGTAGCTGGGATTACAGGCACGTGCCACCACACTCAGCTAATTTTTGTATTTTTAGTAGAGATGGGGTTTCAACATGTTGGCCAGGCTGTCTCAAACTCCTGACCTCAAGTGATCCACCCGCCTGGGCTCCCAAAGTGCTGGGATTACAGGCATAAGCCTCCGTACTTGGTCAGCAAACTGACTTCTAAATGTTTGTTTATATACAATATCCTCAAATAATTAACATTATTATATAATTTGGCTATGTGTCACTCATCCAGACAGGGCACTAGGGTAAGGCTTTGAGCTCCAGTTCATTGAGGAGGTGCTGAAATAAACTGTTTAAAACCTTTCATTGTTTTTGAAAAATGGTAATCTATTCAATAAAGCCTCCATATACACTTGACATGTCTTTATTACCCAATAAACATTCACTGAATACTTACTGTGCTTTACACAAATCAGTCTTAAGGTCGATTTCAGTTTTCTCCAATATCTGGATAGCCAATAAATAATGGTAATGATAATAATGACTAACATTTACTGAAGATTTCCTATGTCCCATGTGCTATTATAAGCATATAACACACCTTACCTTATTTATTTCTACAACTCTATAGATATGCTCTACTTTTTTTTTTTTTTCTGAGATAGGGTCTTGTTCTGTCACACAATCTGGAGTACAGTGATGTGTCCGTAGTTCTGCAGCCTCAATCTCCTTGACCCCCCAAGTAGCTGGGACCACAGGCATGTGCCACCATACTTGGCTGTTTGATATTTCTGTAGAGACAAGGTCTCCCTCTGTTGCCCGGGCTGGTCTCAAATTCCTGGGCTCAAGTGATCCTTCTACCTGGGCCTCCCAAAGTGCTGGGATTCTAGGCATGAGCCACTGTGCCTGGCCTATCCTCTATAATTGGCTACATTTTATAGAACAGGAAATCAAGGTTCAACAAGATTAAGTTGATTTGCCTAAAATCACACAGCTGGTAGTTGGCACAGAAGGGATTTGAACTAAGACAGAGCCCACACTTTTAACCACTACATTGAATTTCTTCACCAGAAAATGAAAAGTTTTAGTATACTTGAGATGTGAATATGCATGAGTTCCAGTTTTGGAAATAATGTTATCATTGCTCTTTCAGATAGAGGAGACCATGAATATCTCACAAAATGATCAAAGGCCTGGTCCTTATTCAGAAACATTTCTCTTCCAATACATTGATAGGTTATGTTCTTAAGCCCCAGGGTGAGAAAACAGTGCTGCGAGAGAGAGCCACTGTCTAAGGAACATGTCAGGAAAGAAGACTGTGGTTTTAAAAATTGAAAGGCAGCTCTTCAGTCCTTGCTTCCAAGATGACAAATAAAGAAGGAACAATGGTCATGCCAAAAAGAGCTGCAGCCACATGCTGTCTATTTGCTGCATAAACTGCGCCTGATGCGTGCCCAAGGACAAGGCCATTTTAAGAAGTTCATCATTTGAAACATAGTAGAGGCTACAGCTGTCAGGGATTATTTCTGGAGTGTCTTTGATGTCTATGCGCTTCCCAAGATGTATGTAAAACTGCGTTACTGTGTGAGTGGTGCCACCCATAGCAAGGTAGACAGGAATTGTTCTTATGAAGCTGGGAATGACTAAACACCCATTTTTAGGCCTCCGGGTGCTGCCCTACAACCACTACCAAGCCTGTGTAAGAAGCTGAGTTTTTAAGGACTGAAGAAAAGCTATCTTCTGGAGAAAAATAAAATGGAAATTATACTTAAAAAAATTGAAGGGCAGAGTGAATGTATCAAAACAGCATCCCCCATATTGATTTCAATAGTGTTTCAAAAGTGGAGTTTAGAGGGAAACTGTACACAAAATACCTAAATCTGAAAATTACAATTCAGTTTAATAGCATTTAGTGCTCACCTACAAATGCATTCATTACATTTTACTAACTAAAGAGGATTCAAAAATGTGCATCTTTAGGAAGCTCATTATTAGGGAGGCAAGATTTATATATATAACACAAGACAAAAAATTCAAACATGACAGACCATAATAAATAAATACATGGTTCAGAAGGTAAATGCTACATGATAAAGTTCAATTTTTGGCATATTTAGACAGTTCGTTAGCAGCTGATAACTAGCTTTATAAAACCAGAGATTTCCACATTGATTTCCGGATTACTTTGAAACAATTGTAATTAATCTTGATCTTTGCAGAAAATAAACTCCTTAGGGGCTATTAATTGATGCTCACATCTCAAAAGAGGGAAGAACTCTAATTTTATCCTATAGGAAAGAGTATGCCCATGTGGAGGTATTTTTACCTTGAAGAATTGTACACCTTTATTATATGTCTCAGCATGTGATAATGGTAAGAAAGTTTGTAGGTCTATAAAAAACAAATGTATCTGTCCACAATATCTTTGTAAGAGAGAGGGCAATGGGAAGGACAGCACTAAAGTAGGCTGATTAAAACAGGTTTAAAAAAACAAAACAAAACCCAGGTATGCACATTAGTAATGTGCTATTAGTGACGTTATTAGTTCGCTAGGGCTGCCATAACAAAGTACCACAGACTGGGCCGGGCGCAGTGGCTCATGCCTGTAATCCCAGCACACTGGGAGGCCGCGGCAGGTGGATCACAAGGTCAGGAGTTTGAGACCAGCCTGGCCAACATGGTAAAACCCCGTTTCTACTAAAAAAATACAAAAATTAGCTGGGCATGGTGGCATGTGCCTGTAATCCCAGCCACTTAGGAAGCTGAGGCAGGAGAATTGCTTGAACCCGGGAGGCGGAGGCTGCAGTGAGCCAAGATCGCTCCACTGTACTCCAGCCTGGGCGACAGAGCAAGACTCCGTCTCAAACAACAACAAAAAAACAAAGTACCACAGACTGAAGGGCTTAACCAATAGAAATTTCTTTCCTAACAGTTTTGGAGGCTAGAAATCCAAGATAAAGGTTGTTGGCAATGGTTGTATCTTCTGAGGGCTCAATTCGTGGCTTGTAGATGGCCATCTTCTCCCTGTATCCTCACATGATCTTTCCTTTGTGTGTGTCTGTGTCCAAATTTCCTCTTCTTACAAGGACACTAATCATATTGGATTAGAACCTTCCCCAATGACCTCCTTTTACCTTAATTACCACTTTAAAGACCCTACCTCTAAATATAGTCATATTCTGAGATGCTGACTATACTCCAAATATAGTCATATTCAACATATGAATTAGGGATGCGGTAAAGACAATTCAACTCGTAACAGTAGTTGATATGGTTTGGCTGCATCCCCATCCAAGTCTCATCTTCAGTTGTAACTCCCACTTGAATTGTAATTCCCATGTGTTGTGAGAGGAACCTGGTCAGAGGTGACTGAATTATGGAGGTGAATCTTTCCTGCACTGTTCTCCTGATAGTGAATGAGTCTTACAAGTTCTAATGGTTTTAAAAATGGGAGTTTCCCTGCACCAGCTCTCTCTTTGCCTGCTGCCATCCATGTAAGACATGACTTGCTCCTCCTTGCCTTCTGCCACGATTGTGAGGCTTCCCCAGCCAGGTAGAACTGTGACTTCTCCATTAAACCTCTTGCCTTTGCAAACTGCCCAGTCTCAGGTATGTCTTTATTAGCATGTGAAAATGGACTAATACAGTAGTTAGGCCACTAACATTGGAGTTAGATCTGTTTTGAGTCACAGTTCAGCCACTTAGCATTATGACCTGGACAAGATGCTTAACTTCTCTAAGCCTTGGTTTCTGCATAAGGCTGTTGTGAAGAATAAATCACATTATAATCCACAAAAGTGCTTATGGTCCAATGCCAAGCATATAGTATACACCCAATAAATGCCAGTTTTAAGTTCCTGGTGACCCCAAATAAACTTTTATAACTCTACTTACCTAATACTTAACACTTTTCATCAATTTGGTTTGAATAATTCTTTTTTTGTTTTGTTTTGAGACAAGGTCTATGTTGTCCAGGCTGGAGTGCAGTGGCATGATCATAGCTCACTGCAGCCTGAAACTCCTGGGCTCAAGTGATCCTCCTGCCTCAACCTCCCAAGTAGCTGGGACTACAGGCATAACCACTGTGCCCAGATAATTTTTTAATTTTTTTTTGTAGAAACACTGTGTTGCTTTGTTTCTCAGGCTGGTCTTGAATTCCTGGATTCAAGCAATCCTCCCACCTTGGCCTCCCAAAGTACTGAGATTACAGGAGTGAGCCACCATGCCTGGCTTAAAAATAATTCTTAATTTTTTTATTACACTAAAATATTTTTAATTATTTTATAAGACAAAAACTTTCCCTTGGAGAACACCAGTTCTGAGAACCCTGAGCTGCCATGTAAGACATTCAGGGCACTATGCTGTGAAGAAGCTCAAGACATACGGAGAAGCCGAAGTAGGTGTTTCAGTTAATGGTCCCAGCTGAGCCCTGTCTTTGAAACATCCCACTTCAGGTGGCTGACACAAGAGTAAAGAACCACGGATTGGCCAGGCGCAGTGGCTCACGCCTGTAATCCCAGCACTTTGGGAGGTCAAGGCGGGCGGATCGCCTGAGGTCGGGAGTTCGAGACCAGCCTGACCAACATGGAGAAACCCCGTCTCTACTAAAAATACAAAATTAGCTGGACATGGCGGCGCATGTCTGTAATCCCAGCTACTCGGAAGGCTGAGGCGGGAGAATCACTTGAACCTGGGAGGCGGAGGTTGCAGTGAGCCGAGATCGTGCCATTGCACCCCAGCCTGGGTGAAAGAGCAAGACTCTGTCTCAAAAAAAAAAAAAAAAAGAAAAAAGACAAGGTCTTGCTCTGTCGCTTAGGCAGATGCAGTGGCACGATCAGAGCTCACTGCAGCCTCTAACTCCTAGGCTTAAGCAATTCTCCCACCTCAAGCCTCCTGAATAGCCGAGACTACAAGCACATGCCACTGTACGAGACAAATTTTTAAATTTTAATTTTGAATTTTGTGTAGAGATCGGGGGGGTGGGTCTCACTTTGTTGCCCAGGCTCTGAATTCTTTTCTTCTTTTTTGAAAAAAGATCTTGCTCTGTCTCCCAGGATGAAGCGCAGTGGCACAATTTTGGCTCACTATAGCCATGACCTCCTGGGCTCAAGCAACCTCAGCCTCCCAGGTAGCTGGGACTACAGGTGCACAGCAGTATGCCTGGCTAATTTTTAAACTTTTTTTCTAGAGACGAGGTTTCACTATGTTGCCCAGGCTGATCTCTAACTCCTGAGCTCAAGCAATTCTCCTACTTTGGCCACCCAAAATGCTGGGATTGCAGGCGTGAGCCACCATGCCTGGCCCTGTGTGAATTCTTGCTCCGCAGATTCTGTGAGCATAACTGCCATTGTTTTATGACACTGTTTTGAGGTGGTTTGCAATAAATACTCTAGGACTACAGATTAAAGATAACTGGAGCTATGGAATCATAGAAATGTACAGATTATAGATAATAAAGTATATTTCACATAAATATATACATTATAGATAATTAGAGCTACAGAATCATAGAAACAAAGGAGACTGTAGAAACTAAAATATATAATAAACTCCTTCAATTTAAACCTGAGGAAACAGGTCAGCCCACAGTTGCCCGATGAGTGACAGAACTGGGACATACACTTAAGTCTCTTTGCATCCAGTCCTGGGATTTTTCCAAAACATAATTACTTCATAATAGTTCTAAATTATAAAGGCCTCTTATATTATTATTAAAACTGCAATATTTCAGGATGAGAAGACTCTGCTTTCTGTTTGAGGCCAAACATAATTGTATTTCTGGTTACAGACAACTTACCCCTGTATCCCTGACACATGACAGGCACTCAATACACGTATACATGTTTTTTGGGCTTTTTTTTTTTTTTTTTTAAGACAGAGTCTCACTCTGTCACCCAGGCTGGAGTGCTAGTGGCACGATCTCAGCACACTGCAACTCTGCCTCCCAGGTTCCAGCAATTCTCCTGCCTCAGCCTCCTGCATAGCTGGGATCACGGGTAATCGCCAGCATGCCTGGCTACTTTTTGTATTTTTAGTAGAGATGGGGTTTTGTCATGTTGGCCAGGCTGGTCTTGAACTCCTGACCTCAGGTGATCAACCCACCTCAGCCTCCCAAAGTGCTGGGGTTACAGGCGTGAGCCACCACGCCCAGCCTCAATACATATTTTTTGAAGTGAAGAATTACTATATCAAGGTAGCTACAAAAACTGTAAATAGTGCAGCTTAGATCTGCAGTGATTGTGTTTGGAAAATTAAAATGGCATTTTCAGTTTAGAAATAACATTTATAAAGTTATAACACTATAACTGCCTCCCCTTCCACCAGCTGTTAAATTCTGGAAATCTCACTAAAGGCAGTCTTTGCAATCGCCATAACAGTGTCTCCAATGTAAGTCCTCAATGTTTGTCTTCTGATGTATACATAATATCAACACATACATACATTATATATTCTGATGTATACATAATATCAACACATATTTATAAATCTGTAATACTGATGTAATTGGAAGCATAACCTGCCAATTTCCTCTAAGTGTGCATTTTCCCTGATATGAACCGAATGTTTATGTCCTCCCCAACCCACTCCCACACTGAGATACTGAAGCCCTAACAGCCAATGTGATGGCATTTGGAGGTGCAGCCTTTGAGAGGTAACTAGGTTTTGATAAAGTCATGAGGGTGGAGCCCCCATGATTATTAGTGTCCTTACAAGAAGAGGAAGAGAAACCAAAACTCTCCCTCTCTGCCATGTGAGAATACAACAAAAAGGTGGCTATCTGCAAGCCAGGAAAAGAGTTCTCACCAGGAACCAAATCTACTGGAACACTGATCTTGTATTTCCCAGCCTCCAAAACTGCAGACATAAATATTCATTGTTTAAGTGATATTGTATACGGTGTTTGGTTATGGCAGTCCGAGTTGACTAAGACACCTGCTTGTTATTTAGTAATGTAAGTCTTAGTTGGGCACACGGCCTTCAGCTAAAGATTATGCTTCCAAGTGCTGTTTGCATCTAGGTATGGCCAGTGACAAGTTTTCACCAATGGAATGAATAAAATTAATGTGTGAAACTTCCTTCAAAGGACGAGATATGCTCTCCTTTGAGATAGTAGAGCGAGTCTGATTTCCTGACTTCAACGCAGCCACCACATCAAATTTGGATTGTGTATACTGAAACTGACACTAAAAGACAAAAATGAAGATCTTTCTTGTTTAAGCAACTATCTGGTTAGATCTCTTCGTTAACCTGTATTTTAATACAAAAAAACTTCATATTTGTGACTATCATATTTTCCCTTTTGGCCCTTTTCCCCTCTGGGTTGACATGCTTCTTATCTTGTATTTATTTATCTGGCTTATGAATATAAAACTTTGTTCAGCTTCTGGATCACTCTTTTCAGCGATATTTAAGTGTTGTGAGGTCATTTCAGGTCCCATCATTGACAAGATTGCATGTAAAAGCAAGAAGGTGAATTCAGAAACATTACTGTGAAAGTCTTAAAAATCTAGCCAGGTAAAGAGAGACATATAGATTAACAGAACAGAATTGAGAGTTCAGACATAAACCCTTATGGTCATCTGACTTTCAACAAAGTTGCCAGGGAAATTCAATAGGGGAAAGAATAATCTTTTCAACAAATAGTGCTGGGATAATTGGATAGCCCTATACAAAAAAAAAATGTACATAGACCCTTACCTCATACCATACCAAAAAAAAAAAAAAAACTAAAGAAAAATTTATTATAGACTTAAATATAACAGTGAAAACTATAAAACATTTAGAAGAAAACATAAGAGAAAGTCTTTGCAGTCTTGGATTAGGCCAAGATTTATTAGATGACACCAAAAGCATAATCCATAAAAGAAAAAAATGGCTAAGTTATTAAAACCTTTGCTTTTCAAAACACACCATTAATTTTTAAAAAGCCACAGATTGGGAAAAAATATTTATAAATCATATATGTCATAAAGGACTTATTTCTATAATATATAAAGAACTCTCATGACTCAATAGGAAGACAAATAACCCAATTTAAAAATGGGCAAAGGCTGGGAGTGGTGGCTCACGCCTATAATCCCAGCACTTTGGGAGGCCGAGGTGGGCGGATCATGAGGTCGAGAGATTGAGATGATCCTGGCCAACATGGTGAAACCCCATCTCTACTAAAAATACAAAAATTAGCTGGACGTGGTGGCGTGTGCCTGCAGTCCTAGCTACTCGGGAGGCTGAGGCAGGAGAATCGCTTGAACCTGCGAGGCAGAGGTTGCAGTGAGCTGAGATCACGCCACTGCATTCCAGCCTGGTGACAGAGCAAGACTGTCTAAAAAACAAAAGAAAAAAGGGCAAAAACTCTGAACAGACATTTTACCAAAGAAAATATATAAAGGGCATGAAAAGGGGCTCAACACCATTAGAAAATATAAATAAAAACCTCAAATGAGATACTACTACAAAAATGATTGACATCAAGTGTTGTTGAGGATATGGAGAAACTGGAATCCTTATACATAACTGGTGGGAATATAAAATGTTATAGCCACTTTGGAAAATAGTATGGCAATTTCTTAAAAGTTAAACATAAACTTACTATACTCAGCAATTTCACTCCTAGGCATCAACCCAAGAGAAATGAAAACACATGTTCACAGAAAAACTTGTGGGGAACATTCATAGGAGCATTATTCATAGTAGCCAAAAACTAGAAACAAGCAAAAAGTCCATCAACTGGTAAATGGATAAACAAAATGTGGGCTATCCATACAATGCACTATGCAACGAAAAGGAACAAGCTACTATTATGCAACAAAAAAGAAGAAATAACTGTTATTTACTATAGCAGAGATTAACCTCAAAATCATTATGCCAAGTAAAAGAAGCCAAGTACAAAAGACTAAATACTGTATGGTTCCATTTATACATACATTCCATTTATATAAAAGCAGATTAGGGGTGAATGGATCTGGGGGGTAGGATGAGGGCTGACTGCAAATGAGCATGAAGGAATTTTAGGGAGGTGTTCAAAATACTCTGAAACTGGATGTGATGATGGATGCATAACTCTGTGAACTCTCTGCTAAATTGCACAAACAGGTGAATTTTATACTATATAACTTATACCTTTATAAGGCTGTTGAAAAAGTTTAAAAAAAAAATCTAGCCAGAATCTTTCTGCAGACAGTAAAGAAAGGGAAACCACTATATATTAATATAAAGCTTCACCAGTCCTTTGTAGGACTGTTCCTACAGACTCATATGTATGCATTTAGAGGTATTACTGTGGCAGAGACTACTAAAGTTGTACTTCAGTATCCACTCTGCTTCTTCCTTTAGTAATAATCCTTCCTGTCAATTGGGCTTGTGGTTATCTATCTAAAGATGATCATTCCCAGCCATCCCTGCAGCTTGGTATGGCCATATGATTAGGTCTGGTTGGTAAATAAAAGTGATATATGTCATTTGATACTTGTGCCCCTAAAACGGAAGGGATGTATTCTCTCTTCCTTTCCCCTGTTGGCAGGGAGATGGTAAAAGCTCTAACAAATCCCTGAACCCATCAATGGAAGCAGCTTGAGAGGAGGCAGAGGCACCCTACTGGCCTTGGACCTCTCAATCCTAGACTGTATGTGAGAAAAACCACTGGATTTTAGGATAATGCAATCACAGTTTAGAAAATAAAGAATGGAGTTCATCCCTTAACTCTAAGTATGATAGGCAGCAACTATCTTTACGGACTGTTTGCAGACCAGCCATAAAAATGTTCTTATCTAATTGCAGAAAAATTTATGCAACAACTTCTGTTAGTTTTCAATATTTAAGATCTGTTGTAGATAAATATGCTGGGAAATCTATCCTGGACAATAGTATGTATCTAAAGTCTAGGTATTTAAAGAGTGTTCCTCAAAGTTATTAAAGTTTTAGAATTTGTTTCTTTTGAGTGTTAAGATCTATTTTCTGAAACAATGAGTGGCCAGTCATTTTTATTGCATACAAACACTGGCATTAACACAGCACTAAGTAAAAATCTGTTCTTTTTCTTTTCCTATAATTACTCCATTGAAACTTTACAACAGTCATATAGTACAAAGAAACCCTTTGCAGACAGCTCATTTATAGAGAGAAGCTAAGTATTTATTTACTTGCTACTCAATTTAAAATACGACCATGGCAGGCAACCAACCAGGAGAAGAGCTAAAAGTTTGAAAGCACTGCCCTTTTCTCTACTATAGAAGTTACAGGGTCAAGCCTTGGAAAATTTCCACAAAATAAGGCTTTGCTAAACATATTTACCTTATCAGAAAGATTGTATCTCAAAAAAGTTACGTTTTTCTTCAGGCAAGACAAGAAAAACTGCCTGTCCTAATCGACAGTACACAGGGACAAACTTCTATCTCTAGAAACACAAGGTTTAGTGCTGCTACCCTTCTCACACAGCAATGATAAGCAAGGCAAAGGCTCTGGAGGAAACCATCAAAATCTGTATAGTTATATTGTTTTATTATATAGCTCTTAGAAATAAGCATGTAGAGGTCGGGCGCAGTGGCTCACACCTGTAATCCTAGCACTTTGGGAGGCCAAGGTGGGCAGATCACTTGAGGTCAGGAGTTCGAGACCAGTCTGGCCAATGTGGTGAAACCCTGTCTCTACTAAAAATACAAAAATTAGCCAGGCGTGGTGGCATACACTTGTAATCCCAGCTACTCGGGAGGCAGAGGTGGAAGAATTGCTTGAACCTTGGAGGCGGAGGCTGCAGTGAGCTGAGATTGTGCCATTGCACTCTAACCTGGGCGACAGAGTGAGACTTCATCTCAAAAAAAAAAAAAGCTAAAGAAATAAGCATGTAGACAGTAAACTATGCTGGATATCCCTACTTACAACCAAGAGTACTGTCTGTGCCATATATGATAAAGAGACAAAAGCTTTCACACAGTGCTACACAATAATTAAACTCTGGTTACTGGTGCTGCTTAATGAGGAGTATATCACATGATGATGGAATAAAAGCAATCAGAAGCTGATACTATTAAAATGGCACATATTTCAATAATTTTCAGGGTTTAAAAAGTTTAAAAACATATGACTACATATATCTGGATTAAATTTTACTGTTAAATGAATCCCTTTCTGACAATCTAAAAGAGACCAGAATTCAGTTATTTTCAACAAATTAGCCTCATCTAAGATTGACACACATTTTCCATATGAAATAAACTTATCAGATTAGACACAGCTGGCACTCTACCAGATTCACTTTGTGCCCTATTAATATGCACATGGTTATACTTTGCTTTTTAAGTCATAAGACATTTCTAGATATGAGTATGTTCTTTTCTGAGAATACTGAAACTTTGTGAAATTGGCTGGGTGCAGTGGCTCATCTGGCCTGCAATCCCAGCACTTTAGGAGGCCAAGGTGAGAGGATCACATGAGGCCAGGAGTTCAAGAACAGCCTGAGCAACAAAGTGAGGCCCCATTTCTACAAAAAAATGAAAAAGTTAGCTGGGCATGGTGGCATGCACTGGTAGTCCCAGCTACTCAGAAGGCTGAGGCAGGAGGATTGCTTCAGCCAAGAGTTCAAGGCTGCAGTGAGATATGTTAGCACCACCACTGCACTCCAGCCTGGGTGACAGAGAGAGACCCTGTGTCCAAAAATAAACAAACAAACAAACAAACAAAGGAATTTAATGAAATCAAAGACTATATATTTTTTTTCTGCTATTTCTTGTGATAAGGCATGATACATCCTAGCCACTTATAGACAGTTCCAGCTTATCCAATGATGAAACAAGTATCCAATTCTTTGGGCATATCTTTGAGTTACTTTAACAGGGCAATAGATGTGAGCTGATCTGTCCAGATTCTCTTGCTTGGTTCCTATTGCGTGACAAATGTGAGAGGCTACTGGCAGAGAAAAGTAGTAAAATCTACAGAACAGAACACAGTCATCTGTTTCATTTGGATATGGAGCATATCCAAAACTCTGAGAAGAGTTTAGAAATCACTGTTTCCACAGTCATCTTTATGGCCATTCTACGCCATCAAGGCAAGCATAGTGCAACTCTGGAAGCAATAAGCACCTCCTACTGCTCAGTCATGTGTCTCTATGTTCAGCAGCTTAGAAGAATCATAGGTTCAGCAAGGGAGCTTTAACTTCTATAACAATAATAATTAGATTACATATACGAGTATTTGAATGGGCTATATTTAACACCTTGAAATTTAATAAGATGGTGTCATTACTAACTAGATAATAGGCTCACAAAATTTATCTCCAGTCTCCTAAGCACATTCTCAGATTTTATAAGTTTTAGTGAAAAATCCCAAAATATCCTTTATAGGTGAATGGGACCCTATTTCATAGAAAGATAAAGCTTAGAAAATGTAACAAAGTTATTCAATTCACACAAATTTGCATTAAATTTAGCTATTATTTCTGTAAGTGTCAACAAAGCCGTTTGCACTCATTATTACATAAAGGTTTGCTTTCTTTAAAAAAAGCAAAAATAGTGAGACTTCAAGCAAGTTTAAAACTTTTTTAACAAAAACACTTTCTTGAAAGTGAAAAGACAACCTGCAAAACGGAAGAAAATATCTGTGTCATATAGCTGATAAGGATTTGCTGTCCATAATATATAAAAAAGTTTACTTGACAATAAAAATAAAAAAATTTAAAAATAGGTAAAAAATCTGAATAGATATTTCTCCAAAGAAGATATACAAATGGCTAATAAGCACGAGAAAAGATACTCAACATAATTAGTCATTAAGGAAATGCAATCAGAATCACAATGAGATGCCACTTTACACAAACTAGGATGGCTAGAATCAAAAAATGGAAAATAACATATGTTAGTGAAGAGTGGAGAAATTAGAACCTTCTGCATTGCTGGTGATAATGTAAAATGGTTGAGCTGCTGTGAAAACAGTATGGTGGTTCCTTAATAGTTAAATATAGAATTATGATTTAAGCAAGCAATTCCACTCCTAGGTATATACCCAAAATAACTGAAAACAGGGACTCAAACAGATACTTGCACAGATCGTCTCTGACTTACAATTATGATTTTTGTATGTTGATTTTGTATGCTGCAAGTTTACTGAATTTGTTTATCAGTTCTATCAGTTTTGTGGTGGTGTCTTTAGGTTTTTCTATGAGTAAGATCATGTCATCTACAAACAAGGCTAATTTGACTTCTTCCTTTCCAATTTGGATGTCCTTTATTTCTTTCCTTTGCCTAATTGCTGTGGCCAGGACTTCCACTGTTACGTTGAAAAAAAGTGGTATAAGTGGGCATCCTTGTCTTGTTCTGGTCCTAGGAGGAAAGGCTTCAACTTTTCCCAGTCAGTACAATGTTACCTGTGGGTTTGTCATTTATGGTCTTTATTATTGAGGTATAATAATTCCATTATTATTAAGGTACATAATCATTTCTTCTACTTCCATTTTGATGAGGGGCTTTATCATAAAGGGATGCTGAATTTTACCAAATGCTTTTTTGGCATCTATTGAAATAATCAAATGGTTCTTGTTATTGGTTCTGTCCATGTGATGTACCACACTTATTTATTTGCATATACTGAGCCCTCCTTGCATCTCCATCTCTTTGATGGGAGACTTTAAACTACAGCTTTGATCTCATTACTTGTTTGTTTGTGTTTTTTTTTGAGACAGACTCTCACTCTGTCACCCAGGTTGGAGTGCAGTCGCGAAATCTCAGCTCACTGCAAGCTCCGCATCCCAGGTTTACGCCATTCTCCTGCCTCAGCCTCCCAAGTAGCTGGGACTACAGACACCCGCCACCATGCCCAGCTAATATTTTGTATTTTTAGTACAGACGGGGTTTCACCGTGTTAGCTAGGATGGTTTCGATCTCCTGACCTCGTGATCTGCCCACCTCAGCCTCCCAAAGTGCTGGGATTACAGGCATGAGCCACCACACCCGGCTGATCTCACTACTTGTTATTGGTTTGTTGAAGTTTTCTATTTCTTATGGTTCAGTCTTGGTAGGTTGTATGTGTTCAGGAATTCCTCCACTTCTAGGTTTTCCAGGTTGTTCATAACAGTCTCTAACGATGCTTTGTATTTCTGAGGTTTCAATTGTTATATTTCCTTTTTTGTTTCTGATTTTATTGGGTCTTCTCTATTTTTTTCTCAGTCTAGCTAAAGTTTCGATTTTAACTTTCCATAAAAACCACTTTCACTTTGTTGATCTTTTCTATTGTTCTCATAGTTTTAATTTATTTTATTCCATTTCCATTTGTTTCAAAAAATTTTTAGGATGGGCACAGTGGCTCATGCCTATAATCCTAGCATTTTGGGAAGCCAAAGTGAGAGGATAGCTTGAGCTCAGCAGTTCAAGACCATCCTGAGCAACACAGTGATACTTCATCTCCACAAATATTTAAAAAAATCAGTCAGGTGTATGGTGGCACATACCTATAGTCCCAGCTACTTGGGAGGCTGAAGTGGGAGGATCACTTGAGCCTGGGAGGTAGAGCTTGCAGTGAGCTGAGATCATGACACTGCACTCAAGCCTGGGTGACAGAGTAAGACCTTCTCTCAAAAACAAACAAAAAAAAACCTTTTAAAAAATTTCCTTTTTAGTACTTTTTTTTTTTTTTTTTGAGATAGAGTCTCACTCTGTTGCCCAGGTTGGAGTAGAGTGGCGCGATCTTGGCTCACTGCAACCTCTGCTTCCTGGGTTTAAGAGATTCTCCTGCCTCAGCCTCCCAATTAGCTGGGACTACAGGCGCATACCACCATACCTGGTTAATGGTTTTTTTTTGTATTTTTAGTAGAGATGGGGTTTCACCATGTTAGCCAGGATGGTCTCGATCTCCTGACCTCGTGATCTGCCCGCCTCGGCCTCCCAAAGTGCTGGGATTACAGGTGTGAGCCACTGTGCCCGGCCCCTTTTTAGTACTTTCATTGACCCATTGGTTGTTCAAGAATATCTCGTGGCCAGGCGCAGTGGCTGACGTCTGTAATCCCAGCACTTGGGGAGGCCGAGGTGGGCAGATCACCTGAGGTTCGGGAGTTTGAGACCAGCCTGACCAACATGGTGAAACCCCATCTCTACAAAAAATACAAAAATTAGCCGGGTGTAGTGGTGGGCACCTGTAATCCCAGCCACTCAGGAGGCTGAGGCAGGAGAATTGCTTGAACCCAGGAGGCAGAGGTTGCAGTGAGCCAAGATCGCACCATTGTACTCCAGCCTGGGCAACAAAGTGAGACTCCCTCTCAAAAAAAAAAAAAAAAAAAAAAAGAATATGTTGTTTAACTTACTTATTTAATGTGTTTGTGTATTTTTGATGTTACAGATTTCTAGTTTTATTCCATTGTGGTTGGAAAAGATACTTGATATGATTTCTTTTTTAAAAAATATGTTCAGATTTGTTTTGTGGTCTAAGATATGGTCTATTCTGGGGAATATTCCATGTGCTGATGAAGAGAATGTGTATTCTGCAGCAGTTGGGTGAAATGTACTATAAATGTCAGGTAGGTCTATTAGATTTAGTGTGTAGTTTAACTCTACTGTTTCTTTGCTAATTTTCTGTCTGGATCATCTGTTACTGAGAGTGGGGCTTAAAATCCCCTACTATTACTGTATTGCAGTTTACCTCTCCTTTTAGATTTAACATCTGCTTTACATACTTGGGAACTCTGGTGCTGAGTGCAAAAATATACAATTGTTATATTCTCTTGCTTAATTGACCCTTTTATCATTATATAGTGACCTTGTCTCTTTTTACATTCTTTGATTAGTGTACTATTTTATCTGATATAATTGTAGCTATTCCTGCTCATTTCCAGTTGCATAGAATATATTTTCCCAACCCCTTCACATTAAGTCTATGTGTGTCTTGATAGGTGAAATGGGTTTCTTGAAGGCAGCATATAGCTGGGTCTTGTTTCTTTACCCATTCAGCCACTGTATGGCTTTTAATTGGAGAACTGAGACCATTTATACTCAGTGTTATTATTGATAAGTAAGGATTTACTAATGCCACTTGTTGCCTGTCTTGTGGTTGTTTTGAGACTCCTTTCTTTCTTCCTACCTAATAGGTAGTAAATTTGTTGCTTTTATTTTTAGTGAATCTATTATAGGTTTTTTGCACTGTGCTTATCATGAGAAAAAAAAGCATCTTATAGATATAACAAATTATTTTTAAAAGATGACAACATAGGGGCCAGGTGTTGTGGCTCATGTCTGTAATCCCAGCACTTTGGGAGGCCGAGGTGGGTGGATCATTTGAGTCCAGGAGTTTGTGACCAGCCTGGGCAACATGGCAAAACCATGTCTCTACAAAAAATACAAAAAAATGAGCCAGGTGTGGTGGCACACACCTGCAGTCCCAGCTACTTGGGAGGCTGAGGTGGGAGGATAACCTGAGCCCAGAAGGTCAAGGCTGCAGTGAACCATAATCATGCCACTGCAGTCCAGTCTGGGTGACAGATGAGACCCAATCTTAAAAAAAAATTAAAAAGACAACTTATCTTGGATCACAAATAAAAGAACAGAAACAGGCAAAATAAAAAAACATGACAAAATTCTACTCTGCCTCCCCCTTTTGACTTTCAGTTGTCTGATTTTATATATTTTTCATTATCTATCTCTTAACAGGCTGCTGTAGCTATTGTTACATGACAGTAACAGAGTATTTTGGGTTTATCCGTATACTTAATTTTACAAGTGGGTTTTATATCTTGAAAACTTTTTTTTTTTAACCCATTAGTGCTTTCTTCTTTCAAATGGGAAAGCTCCCTTTATTTCTTGTAAGATAAGCCCGGTGGTGGTGAATGATTCAGTTTTTACTTGTCTGGTAAAGATTTTATATCTCCTTCATATGTGAAGGATAGTTTTTCTGGGTACAGTATTCTTGAATGCAAGTTTTTTTTTTTCTTTGAGCACTTTGAAAATGTCACTTCATCCCCTCATGGCCTATATGGTTTTCCATTCAGAAGTCTATTGCCAGCCAAACTGGAGATCTTTCATATGTTATTTACTTCTTTTCTCTTGCTGCTTTTCAAATCCTCTCCTTATCTTTGATCTTTGAGAGTTTACTATATCCCTTGGGATATCTTATTTGGGTTGAATCTGTTTAGTGATCTCAGGCTTTCTTGTACCTGGAAAGTTTTCTATTACTATTATTATTATATTAATTTTTATTTTTTGAGATGGAATCTCATTCTGTCACCCAGGCTAGAGTGCAGTGGCGCCATCTCAGCTCACTGCAACCTCTGCCTCCCAGATTCCAGCAATTTTCCTGCCTCACCCTCCCCAGTAGCTGGGATTATAGGCATCTGCCACCACACCCCGCTAATTTTTGTATTTTTAGTAGAGATGGGGTTTCACCTTGTTGGTCAGGCTAGTCTCGAACTCCTGACCTCATGTGATCCGCCTGCCTTGGTCTCCCAAAATGCTGGGATTACAGGCATGAGCCAATGCACCCAGCCTATTATTATTTTTTGAATAAGCTTTCTAGGCTAGGCATGGTGGACACACCTATATTCCCAGCCCTTTGGGAGGTTGAATTGGGTGGATCACTTGAAGTCAGGAGTTCGAGACCAGCCTGGCTAACATGGTGAAACCCCGTCTCTACCAAAAAATAAAAAAATTAGCCAGGCGAGTTGGCACATGCCTACAGTCCTAGCTACTTAGGAGGCTGAGGTGGAAGAATGGCTCAAACCTGGGAGGCAGAGGTTGCAGTGAGTGGAGATGGGGCCACTGCACTCCGACCTGGGTGATAGAGTGAGATCCTGTCTCAAAGGAAATGAATAAGCTTTCTTCCCCTTCCTTGTTCTGCTTAGCTCCCTCTTGAACACCAGTAATTCTAAGATTTGGTCTTTTGAGGCAATTTTCTATATATTGTAGGCTATCTTTATTCCTTTTCATTCTTTTTCTTTATTCTCCTCCATGTATTTTCTTTTTTCTTTTTCTTTTTCTTTTTTTAGACAGAGTCTCACTCTGTTACCCAGGCTAGAGTACAGTGGCGCGATCTCAGCTCACTACAACCTCCACCTTGTGGGGTCAAGTGATTCTCCTGCCTCAGCCTCCTGAGTAGCTGGGATTTCAGGCACCCGGCACCATGTCCAGCTAATTTTGGTATTTTTAGTAGAGATGAGGTTTCATCACGTTGGCCACGCTGGTCTCGAACTCCTGACCTCAAGTGATCCACCCACCTTGGCCTCCTAAAGTGCTGGGATTACAGGCATGAGCCACCACACCCAGACTTCTCTGTGTATTTTCAGACAGTCTTTGAACTCACTGATTTTTTTTTTCCTCTGTTTAGTCCATTCTACTGTTGAGAGCCTTTAATGAAGTCTTCTGTTCAGGAAAGGTATTCTTTAGTTCTAAAATTTCCATTTAATTTTTTGTTATTTCAATCTTTGCTAAACTTCTCTGATAAATTTCTGAATTGCTCTTCTTTGTTATGATGGTGATCACTGAGTTTCCTTAAAATTGCCATTTTGAATGCTAGGTCACAGATCTTACAAATCATCACTTAAGGCTAGTGACTGAATTGTTGCTCTGTCTCTTTGGAAAGGTCATGGTTTTTGCACTGAAGGATTAGTTATTTATTCTAGTATTTGCATTGAAGAATTAGTTATTTATTTCAGTATTTTCTGTCTGGCTTGTTTTGTTTTTTATTAGATATAGTTCCTTAGCAAATCTTTACTACTAGGTCACTTCCTCCTTTTTGGCTCTTGTGGCACCTTAAAGCCCAGGTTCACCTTGACGCTAGTGCATGATTGGAGTGCTGCCTGTCCCAAACTAGGGAGTTCCCAAAGAGATTATCCCAGCAGTGTGAGAAGGCTGGCTAGAGGTTCCTGTCCAAGGAACCTATGAAATATACCACTCTCTTCTCATGCCTGTCATCCCAGCAAGTTGAGAGGCTGAGGTAGGAGGATACCTTGTGCCCAGGAGTTTGAGACCAGCCTTGGCAACATGGTGAGACCCCCGTCTCTACAAACAAATTTTAAAAATTAGCTGGGCATGGTGGCACCCACCTGTAGTCCCAATACTCAGGAGGCTGAGGTAGGAGGACTGCTTGAACCCAGGGAGTTGAGGCTGCAGTGAGCTGTGTTCACGCCACTGCATTCCAGCCTGGGTGACAGAGGAAGACACCCCTCCTCCCTAAAAAAAAAGAAAAGAAAAAAAGAAAGAAAGAAATGTACCTCCTATAGAATAGAGCTACTGAACAGCCACTTTTATGTGGCATCTCCTTTGGCCTAGTTACAAAGCAGAGTTTTCAGAGCTAGGGATGATAGTCCCATTTCTCCCCTTTGTCTGCCTGTCCTTGGGGGAATATTCCTCCCTTTAGGCAGTCATGATGCTTCCTGTGGGTTAAGGCAAGAACAGGTCTCCTGCCAGGTAACCCAGTATGGTGCGAAAAGATGGTTGATGGTCTCAATCTCTCTTTTTGTTTTAGAGACATAGTCTTGTTCAGTCACCCAGGCTGGAGTGCAGTGGTACAACCATAGTTCACTGGAACCTTGAACCCCCAGGCTCAAGTGATCCTCTCACCTTAGCCACCAAAGTACAGGGATTATAGGCATGAGCCACCACACCTGGCCTCAATCTCAGTTTTTCTAGTGTAGAAACTCTAAGTTGGGGAAAGATTTTCCTCAAGCTTATTGCCAGGCAGAATGGGGGAGAGAGCAGAACCTTGGATATGGAAGTTCAGTTCTCCTACTGACTGCTCAGAGTTGTTGCTAGCAAAAATCTTGGCGCTATATATTTGTTTTTGGTTTTCTGTGGGGGGAGGGGAGAGTGGAGGCAGCTTGCTTCCATGTCACCATTTTAAAATCAGAAATCTCCCTAGGAATTTTTTTTTTTTTTTTTTCTTTTGAGACAGAGTTTCGCTCTTGTTGCCCAGGCTGGAGTGCAATGGCGCGATCTCAGCTCACCAAAACCTCCACCTCACGGCTTCAAGCGATTCTCCTGCCTCAGCCTCCCAAGTAGCTGGGATTACAAGCATGCGCTACCATGTCCAGCTAATTTTGTATTTTTAGTAGGGATGATGTTTCTCCATGTTGGTCAGGCTGGTCTCAAATTCCCGACCTCAGGTGATCCACCCGCCTCAGCCTCCCAAAGTGCTGGGATTACAGGCGTTAGTACCGCACTCAGCCATGAAATTTTTTTATCCACTTCTTAACCACCTATATCCAGTGTTATATGGCTTTATATGATTTTATATTCAAATCCTAATGCTATACTGCTTTATATTATAATTCCAATTCATTTGCTGAGAATTCTCTTTCCCCATACCCCACATGAACATTTTATTTTCCCATATGCACTGTCATACATTACAAAGTCCATTGTCAAATACCCAAATAGAACAGCAGAATTTGTGGAAGGTCTGTGATAAAGAAAAATGCATTATCTGTATTAAAAGAAGTTTCTCTTTATATTATCACATTCCACTCATAATCTGAAGACAAAGGCTCATGTATTTCACCAGATGCACATTTCATAAACCCAGAGTTGTAATGGGACAACTCCAGCTACAGAATGATCTGTATTTCTATGGCATATCTGGGCATTGAAGCTTTAGGCACCCAGGTGAAGGCAAATGGCTTTGGAAGGATATTTACACTTATGGTACTTGTGTGTCTTGGAATTCTAGGAAGTTTCCCAAACTCTCCAGGAAACAAGAATTGGTCTGTTGCCTCTATATCTCTAATATACAGGATTATTTATTTTAGAAGATGCACACAATGGAAAAAAAATTACAGCTGCTGAATTTGAAATATAAATCCCAGCTTTGTCACTGAGTCCTGATGTCTTAGCCAGTTTCCTTAACTTCCCATAACCTTAGTTTCCTCACCTTTTAGATTAGCTTCAGAGATCAATCCAAGATGGCCGATTAGAAACAGCTGTGGTCCATTACACTCATGGAGACGAATGAAAAAGGAAGAGTGAATTCAGCACCGAAATATCCAGGTGGTTACACTGGGACTGACTAGGCAAACCACCTGACCCAGAGAGAACAAAGAAAAGTAGTGTGGGGCAGGCAGGGCAGTGACAGCCCACCCAGGAGTGGCATAGAGCCAAAAGAAACTCCACCCCCAGCCAAGGGAAACAGTGATTGTGCAACCCCACCTGGGAAACCACACTTCTCCCACAGATCTTTGCAACTCACCTATCAGGAGAGTCCCCTCATGAGACCATGCCAACAGGGCCTTGGGTCTGATACACAGAGCTATGTGGAGTCACGGCAGAGTAGCCACTTAGGTACATGCAGAGACCCAGGAGTTTTAAATACACCAGCCCCAGGATTCCCAGAAAGGTGGGAAATCCATCTGTATATATCCCTAGGAAGGGAGCTGAATCCAGGGAGTCAAGCAGCGACGTTCTGTGGGCCCCACTTCCACAGCACCTCACAAGTTAAGACCGACTGGCGTGGAATCCCAGCCAGCCAATGGCAGTGGATTAGAGTCCATCAGAGACAACTCTGAGTTCCTGGGGGGGAGAGGCAGCCACCACCTCTATGGTTCAGTCAAGTCAGCTGCTCTAGTCTGCCAGCTATGGAGAATATAGGTGGTCCAAACAAGGAAGGGACCTCCTCCAACACAGCATACCTGCTCTACCAAAAAGCAGCCAGACTGCTTCTTTGGGTGGGTCCCTCATCCCGTTCCTCCTGACTGGGTGACAATTCCCAATGTGGGTCTTCAGCCACCTCCTACAGGTGTGTGTGGGCTGGCAAAAGGTCAGTATCCCCCTAGGATGGAGCTTCCAGTGGAAGGAGCTAGCTGCCACCTTTGCTTTTTCTCAGCCTACACTGGTGATACCTCCAGGTACAGGAAAAACTGAGGCAACTGGGGTCTGGATTGGACCCCCAGCAAACCACAGCAGTCCTACGATAGATAGAGTGGCCTGATTGTTAAAAAGAAAAACAAACAGAAAACTACAACAATATCAACAAAAAAGACCCCACAAAAACCTCACTCAAAGGTCAGCAACCTCAAAAATCAAAGGTAGATAAGCCCACAAAGATGAGAAACGATCAATGCAAAAATGCTAAAACCTCAAAAAAGCCAGAGAGTCTGTTCTCTTCCAAATGACCGTTAACACTTCTCCAGCAAGAACACAGAACTAGGTTGAGGCTGAGATGGCTGAAATGACAGAAGTAGGCTTCAGAAGGTGGGTGGTAATGAACTTCACTAAGCTAAAGGAGCATGTTGTAACCTGATATGGTTTGGCTGTGTCCCCACCCAAATCTCATCTTGAATTGTAGTTCTCATAATCCCCAGGTGTCATGGGAGGGCTCAGGTGGAGATAACTGAATCATGGGGGTAGTTTCCCTCATCCTGTTCTCATGACAGACAGTTCTCATGAGATCTGATGGTTTTATAAGGGGGGCTTCTCCCTTTACCGGGCACTCATTCTCTCTCCTACCACCATGTGAAGAAGAACGTGTCTGCTTCCCCTTCTGCCATTATTGTAAGTTTCCTGAGGCCTCCCCAGCCATTCTGAACTGTGAGTCAATTAAACTTCTTTCCTTTATCAATTCTCTAGTCTCGAGTATGTCTTTATTAGCAGTGTGAGAACGAATTAATACATAACCCAATGCAACAAAGCTAAGAATCATGATAAAACAATACAGGAGCTGATAGCCAGAATAGCCAGGTTAGAGAGGAACATAACTAACTAATGGAGCTGTAAAACACAACATGAGAACTTCACAATGCAATCACAAGTATAAATAGCAGAATAGACCAAAGAGGGGAAAGAATTTCAGAGCTTGAAGACTATCTTTCGGAAATAAGACAGGCAAACAAGAATAGAGAAAAAAGAATAAAAAGGAATGAACAAAACCTCCGAGAAATATGGGATTATGTAAAGAGAACAAACCTATGACTGACTGGGGTACCTGAAAGAGATGGGGAGAAAATAACCAGGTTGGAAAACATCCTTCAGGATATCATCCAGGAGAACTTCGTCAACCTAGCAAGACAGGTCAACATTCAAATTCAGCCTGGGCACAGTGGCTCACACCTGTAACCCCAGCACTTTGGGAGGCCAATGCAGGTGGATCACTTGAGGCAAGGAGTACAAGACTAGCCTGGCCAACATGGTGAAACCCTGTCTCTACTAAAAATAGAAAAATTAGCTGGGTGTAGTGGCTCACACCTGTAATCCCAGCTACTCAGGAGGCTGAGGCAGGAGAATAGGGCCTGGAGGCAGGGAACACAAGCCCGATCCACACTAATGTCCTAAAATTATATCAAGTGAAAGCACTTCAGTAATGACAGGAATGTGAATGGCTTTGCAACTCCACTTCATCCTCTCCACAACATTTACACTTTGTAACTTCACATTCATCCTCTCCATTTACATAGACCACACACACCAAGCAACATCCTCTCCATTTAAAATAGGGCGCAGTCTGAGTAAATGACTCTGTGACTTCATTCTCTTCATTTACATAGAATATACGCCAAGTAACCAATGGGAAACCTCTACAGTATTGAAACTCCAGAAAATTCTGTAAGCGGGGCTCTTATGATCAGGCCCGCTCCCACACTGTGGAGTGTACTTTTGTTTTCAGTAAATCCGTGCTTTGGTTTCCTCACGTTGTGTGTGCATTTTGTCTAATTCTTTGTTCGAGATGCCAAGAACCTGAACACCTTCTACTGGCAACCTTGAAGTACATGTAGTAATTTACTAGAATACCTATGGGCATTCAGAGGAATTCACTAATTTTCTGGTGGACAGTTGCAATTGCTAGTTTTGTTTTTCCCAAATTGAGTTAAAATCTGTATCTCTAGTAGCTTCTACTCATTAACCATAATTCTGTCTTCTATTCCAACTTCTGCACTATAGTCCTTCAGGAATCTGAAGATTATTCTACCCCCCCAAACATTCCCCTCTCCCAGTAATCACTCTCTCCTCTCATGGGATTTGCTTTACCAGCCTGACTTCCATTCTAGTTATATCCCAAGGGTTTCAGTAGCATGACATCCATGATTATGATTGCTTTCTTCTTCATTTTCTATGCTTAAAAAATTTTCTATATTACCTTTATAATGACAAAATGAATTTTATTTCAAAAAAATAGACATAGGAGTCATTAGAATGCCTTCTCCAAAATACTGACTAAAATACGCCTCATGAGAAAATTGATATTGAAATCTGAAAGGAAAAGGAAAAGAACAGAGAGCAGGATGGATGAGGATACTCTGTTACTTCTTTCTAGACATGATCCTCTCAGGGTGCATAAACTCACATTAGGGATCTTTGATCTGAAAGGGCTAATCCAAGTCCCCTACTCTAAAAATGAGAAAATTTAGAACTAGGAAGATCAAATGAATTGCCCAAGTTTAAATAATTGGCCTAATGTTTTTGATAGAGCCACAAAATTAATGACTGCCCTGCTTAAAATCTTTTGAACAGTTTTCCACTGCCCTTTGCATAAAGCCCAATTCCTTATCATAAATAGCAGGGTTCTTTATAATTTAGTTCCTAACGTCTTCTCCAGCCTAATTTTAAGCCCCTCCTGAGCTCCTGAGCTCTCCTCACCTTGCACTCTACGATCCATTTATTTAATTTCTTTAAGCATTTTTTTTGTCTGCTCGGTTTTTTTGTTTGTTTGTTTTCTCCCGAAAGTCTCTGCAGTTTAAGTTCTTTTTTGCACATCTCTGAGGCTGAATATATTTCTCCTCTTCCTAGAACACGCTTCCCCATAGCCTCATTCTCTTCAGCTGACTAAATCCTACTCATTCTTCACATCTTCTCTGACCCCTAACTTGGATTAGTTCTTGCTATAGATTCCCAGAGAACCTAGGGTTTCAAATTTAGATGAGATCAGAGGATGTTCCCAGAGGATTTAGCACTACCTCTCTTTAAAAAACTCATACCCTTTTTTTGAATATGTGTTTAATATCAATCTTGCCTGCTAGACTGTAAGCACTCTGAAGGCAGGAATGGCATTTGCTTTGCTCTTTTAGTCTTAGCACTAACACATTACTAGGCACAAAGTAAATAATAAATATTCCATTTTAAAAAGGCTTAAGTTAGCTCATAATTGCTAAAAATATTTATTAAAACATTGTTAACATGCTATACAGTCACTGTTTAGTATCCTTGCAATAGACCAAGGCCCTCTTTCCATGTATAAAGCACAAAGCCCAACAGAGAACTGCTGTTATTCAGGCAAGCATCATTACTTTATTATCCAAATAGTTAAAAGAAAGTAAATAAAAATCTGATAAGAATGTCAATCATCGTTAATCATTCACTTTCAAAATCCATGCTCCAAAAGTAAAAGAAACTCTAATTATAGATTTGTCGTCTAACTTATCACCTTCCTAAGAAACTGTTACAGTTTAGAAAAGTTCAGATTCTGATCATCAAAGGGATATATAAACAAAAGAATATTGTATGTAACATCTAATAAGGGAGTACAAAGCACAAACGCCATGCATTTGGAATAATTATTAAGAGCACAGCCCTAGAGCCAGAAAGCCTGTGCTCAAATCCTGACTTTACCATTTTCCAGCACTGTGACCTTGAACAAGTAACTTAATCTGTGCTTCAGATTTACCACCTGTAAGACAGGCCTGAAAAACTGTACTTACCTCATCAAACTATCATTTTATTTTGTGTCTGTATTAGTGCTATTAAGATGAAACCTAGGCTACCATACTGCAAGATTTATGGACTCTGCTTTTTATGTTCTTCTTATGTCAGTTCTGTTTCGTCTCAACTTGTTCGTATACTAATTTTCTTTTCCTATTCTAAATCTCCTCATTGAAGTCAGTGAGAATGAAGAAATGAAATTAATTATCTCCCTTTTCTTTTTTTTTTTTTTTTTTGAGATGGAGTCTCACTCTGTCATCCAGGCTGGAGTCCAGTGATGTGATCTCAGCTCACGGCAACCTCAACTTCCCGGGTTCGAGATTCTCCTGCCTCAGCCTCCCGAGTAGCTGGGATTACAGGCACCTGCAACCAAACTGGCTAATTTTTACTAGAGACAGGGTTTCACTATGTTGTCCAGGCTGGTCTCAAACTTCTTACCTCAGGTGATCTGCCTGCCTCGGCCTCCCAAAGTGCTGGGATTACAGGTGTGAGCCACCATGCCAGGCCAATTCTCTCCCTTTGAAGAATATCAAACATACTAACAGGCAAGTACATTTTAGTGTTATATGGGAAAGTCTCTAAAAGCAGAGTAAGACTGAATCTACAGAAGCAGATGTGCCATGGAGACACTTACAGCAATGTGGTCAGTACAATGTCAGCAACACTGTTGCCACAGTCATCATGGCTTTTATCTTAGCATAGGTGGGTCCAGGCTCCTGAGGTCAGAAACAGGCTGAAACCTATTAGCTTGGCTTAAATAGATCAGAGGTAAGTGAATATTTCAGTATGAATTAACAATGATTTCATACGATTTTCACACGTTTAATATATAAGCAACTACTACATAGATTAAAGAATTAGAGTAGGCTCGTCTTAGCCCAAAATCTCCTCAAGCTAATAAGCAACTTCAGCAAAGTCTCAGGATACAAAATCAATATGCAAAAATCACAAGCATTCTTATACACCAATAACAGACAAACAGAGAGCCAAATCATGAGTGAACTCCCATTCACAATTGCTTCAAAGAGAATAAAATACCTAGGAATCCAACTTACAAGGGATGTGAAGGACCTCTTCAAGAACTACAAATCACTGCTCAACAAAATAAAAGAGGACACAAACAAATGGAAGAACATTCCATGCTCATGGATAGGAAGAATCAATATCATGAAAATGGCCATACTGCCCAAGGTAATTTACAGATTCAATGCCATCCCCATCAAGCTACCAATGACTTTCTTCACAGAATTGGAAAAAACTATTTTAAAGTTCATACAGAACCAAAAAAGAGCTTGCATCGCCAAGTCAATCCTAAGCCAAAAGAACAAAGCTGGAGGCATCATGCTACCTGACTTCAAACTATACTACAAGGCTACAGTAACCAAAACAGCACGGTACTGGTACCAAAACAGAGATATAGACCAATGGAACAGAACAGAGCCCTCAGAAATAATACCACACATCTACAACCATCTGATCTTTGACAAACCTGACAAAAACAAGAAATGGGGAAAGGATTCCCTATTTAATAAGTGGTGCTGGGAAAACTGGCTAGCCATACATAGAAAGCTAAAACTGGATCCCTTCCTTATACCTTATACAAAAATTAATTCAAGATGGATTAAAGACTTAAATGTTAGACATAAAACCATAAAAACCCTAGAAGAAAACCTAGGCAATACCATTCAGGACATAGGCATGGGCAACGACTTCATGTCTAAAACACCAAAAGCAATGGCAACAAAAGCCAAAATTGACAAATGGGATCTAATTAAACTAAAGAGCTTCTGCACAGCAGAAGAAACTATCATCAGAGTGAATAGGCAACCCACAGAATGGGAGAAAATTTTTACAATCTACTCATCTGACAAAGGACTAATATCCAGAATCTACAAAGAACTCAAACAAATTTACAAGAAAAAAACAACCCCATCAAAAAGTGGGTGAAGGATATGAACAGACACTTCTCAAAAGAAGACATTTATGCAGCCAACAGACACATGAAAAAATGCTCATCATCACTGGCCATCAGAGAAATGCAAACCAAAACCACAATGAGATACCATCTCACACCAGTTAGAATGGCGATCATTAAAAAGTCAGGAAACAACAGGTGCTAGAGAGGATGTGGAGAAATAGGAACACTTTTACATTGTTGGTGGGACTGGAAACTAGTTCACCCACTGTGGAAGACAATGAGGCGATTCCTCAAGGATCTAGAACTAGAAATACCATTTGACCCAGACATCCCATTACTGGGTATATACCCAAAGGATTAGAAATTATGCTGCTATCAAGACACATGCACACATATGTTTACTGTGGCACTATTCACAATAGCAAAGACCTGGAACCAACCCAAATGTCCAGCAATGAAAGACTGGATTAAGAAAATGTGGCACATATATACCATGGAATACTATGCAGCCACAAAAAAGGATGAGTTCATGTCCTTTATAGGGACATGGATGAAGCTGGAAACCATCATTCTCAGCAAACTATCACAAGGACAAAAAACCAAACACCGCATGTTCTCACTCATAGGTGGGAACTGAACAATGAGAACACTTGGACCCAGGAAGGGGAACATCACATACTGGGGCCCGTCATGGGGTGGGGGGAGTGGGGAGGGATAGCATTAGGAGATATACCTAATGTAAACGACAAGTTAATGGTTGCAGCACATCAACATGGCACATGTATACATATGTAACAAACCTGCACGTTGTGCACATGTACCCTAGAACTTAAAGTATAATAATAAAAAAAAACTTCCAAAAGCAAAAAAAAAAAAAAAGAATTAGAATAGGCTGAATGCCATTTCACCCTGGGTGGAATTATTACTTTTGTCTTAAATTATTTTTATTTGTTTGCCCCTTCTAGATTATCTAGGGGAATGTAACAAGTGGCACTTAATAGTGGGATACTAATAGCACTTCAAATTTGTACAGCCTATAAATATTTTAAACACTTTATTCTCAAGTTGAATGGTTTCCATTATTTTCTCCAAACAAACTTGAAAGAATGAATAATTTTCATTCATTTATTTCATTTACTTATTTGACCAATTTTAGTAGAATATCTACCATGTTTTGACCTGATAAGGGTTCAGAGGAAGTCCTCGTCTTTTGGCAGGTGTCTGTTAACAAACAACTTGGGGCCAGGCACGGTGGCTCACGCCTGTAATCCCAGCACTTTAAGAGGCCGAGGTGGGCAGATCACTTGAGGTCAGGAGTTTGAGACCAGCGTGGCCAACATGGTGAAATCTCGTCTCTACTAAAAATACAAAAATTATCTGGGCATGGTGGTGAGCACCTGTAATCTCAGCTACTCGGGAGGCTGAGGCAGGAGAATGGCTTGAACCTGGGAGGCGGAGGTTGCAGTGAGTCAAGATCGTGTCACTGCACTACAGCCAGGGCGACAGAGCAACTGTCTCAAAAACACACACACAAAACAAAACAAAACAAAACAAACAAACAAAAACAACAAAAAACCCAACTTGGTTCTAGTCTCGACAGTCCTCTCCTGCACCAAATGTAGTGCTCCAAGCTCCATTTCGATCCATAATCAGGAAATGTGAGCACACATTGTAACATAATAGGTGAAAGTCTTTCCTAAGAGAAAAATGAAATTGAAAGCTTAGCCAACTCAGTCATGCCCTCTTAGATAAAATATATTTATTTTCCAGCCTTCTCTTTCCTTTTTGCACCCTTCCCAACACTACAAAAGGTAGTCATTGAAAACATTTAATTCTTGTGTAACAATCTTGAGTGCTAAAGTTAAACCTTGTTTCTCAAATCTTTGAAGAGTTCAAGTCAATAACAAATTGGACTACACATTTATAGATGCCATTAACACTTTAAATGGAAGATATATTTCCTGTCTCTTTAGTAAGAAGGAAGCTGAGCAGCCTACACCCAAGCAATTTGTACCTTTCAGGCAGCAGCAATAAAAATGATTCTTTTACATGAAGGAATAAATTAATGTGTGACTGTTAGGTTGGAGAGCACTGTAGAGCTTCTGGTTAAATGTTAACTATTTAGAGGAATTATCCTCATTCTAGCATTTATCAGGTATTGTGTAGTTTTAACACTGCCTTGCAGATATGGAATCCGAAATTATCAAAATTGTGGTCACAATCTACTAGCTTGGTGGACTTTGACAGATAGCTCAGTAAATGCACCTGGGACCTTCCCTCCACCCCAGCCCACCCTCCAGTGTAATTTTTAGGATGTAATTACAGAGGAAAAAAGGTTTTGAAGGTACCTTAATGCACTTCCCTAGCAGCAGGATGCATGTGCTCAGAGTATCAGTGACTTGGAGATATTAATTTGTATACTCAAAGAACAGTCTGGGAAGGATTTGTCACAAACTGTTCCAACAGGCCCTACAAGTGGAAGACTTGCTATTAATAATATTAGGATTCTTCCAGAAGAGAGCTTTTGAGTATGAAAAGTTAACCTCCTTCCAAGTATTCTATGTGGCTGATAGTTGTCAAGATCCTGATTAGGAAGTACCTGCTAGCGAAGTGTTGCAAAGAGGGAAAGTAGAACATGTTATCTGGATCTATCTAAAAGGCTTGTAGTGAGGCCCTCAAAGAAAATAAAACAGTTCTTTCTGTCTTTAAAAGACATTCGTATATTTAAAGAGAAGATATTTGTTGTACAGCTCTACATTAACAATTATGCTGTAATTTATGCAGGTATATGCATCACTTTTGTTTTTTTCTTTCTTCCTAGGAGGAATCACAAGAATCTCTTAACAAGTGATTGTCTTTGGAAACCACTTTGTATTTTCTATTTTATTTTATTTTATTTTAAAGGCATAAAAGTCCAAAGAGAAAATAATAGTCACCCCACATAATTAAACATTCAGCTTGCCAATCCACGCACAGCCAGGCTAAGCCTGTGATTTCAGTGGCCAAGAGAACTGAAGCAGTTTTTAAAACATTTATAATTATTTATATCGTGATTCCAAATGGGTGGTCTGGAGAGATGTTTCGATATATCTGATTCTTGAAGAAATTATGCCAAATTAAACTTCTTATTCACTAATATCAGTATAAAGCAGTATGCACACAGGGCCGCACAATGATGTATTATAAAAAATTTGTCACCAATCACTTTCCAATACAAAATGATAATGGACAAATCAGAAATGAGGTAGCCTGGCTGGGCGTGGTGGCTCATGCCTGTAACCCCAGCACTTTGGGAGGCTGAGGCTGGCAGACCACATGAGGTCAAGAGTTCGGGGCCAGGACAATATGGTGAAACCCTGTCTCTACTAAAAATACAAAAAAAAAAAAAAAAAAAAAAAAATTAGCTGGGTGAGGTGGCGGGCGCCTGTAATCCCAGCTACTCGAGAGGTTGAGGCAGGAGAATCGCTTGAACCTGGGAGGCGGAGGTTGCAGTGAGTCAAGATCATGCCATTGCACTCCAGCCTGGGCGACAAGAGCAAAACTCCATCACAAAAAAAAAAAAAAGAAAGAAAACAAAGAAATGAGGTAGCCTGAAGCAATAGCAATATTCACGTTTGCAAGTGATGGACCATCCCAAAGTGGATCAGCTTTAGCAGCCTCATCAAATAAGAAAATGTACAGGCCAAGAACACCAACCACCAAAGAATGGCATGTAAATACCACCCTTGAGTTCCATTCAATCTTCTTTTCAAAGCTAAGACTATTGAAACTTGGAGAAACTTTTGTGAAAACCAGTAACTTACAAAGTAGAAAAGAAGCTGGAAGGTGAAAAAGCTGGCACAAATAACGCTGATGAACAATTTCGTGTTGATATTCATATTTCTTCAACCAGGGATTATAGTGGTGGAGCTGGAAATAGAAACTAATTTCTCCCTCTGACTCTCCAGTTGGTTCCTTCCCACTAGACTTTTCAGCAATGGCTGAAATAGCAAGTGGCTAAAAATGGGACCCACTTGATAAGTGTGCTGTGTCCCGGGCTGAGTTCGCTCACGGGTGGCGGCTGAGCCCAGGCGGGAGAGGGCAGCTGGTAGCTACAGGCCTCTGGTCATCCGGCCCAACCCGAGTGCTGGAGCTGGCCAGAGCCACCACGCGAGATGCTTGCAGGAGCCAGGGAAGCCACGGGCTCCAGGCCGGTTGGAGGTGTAGTCGCAGAGGCTCCAGCTACCGCTGCGGCCACCATGCCCACCCGGACTGTGGCCCACTTTGTATTTTCTAACCCACCTAATACATATATTGATTTTCTTTTATTGTTTTATAGACAACAGGAATTATTTGGATAGGGAGATTACCTCAGAGTAGTAAACTTATGAGTAACTTCTGTATTTTCTTTCTGTGTTTCAGTTTTTATTTCTATGTGTTTTCAAAATTTTCTATAGTCAACATATTATTTGAATCCTTAGTAAAAAGAAAACCTCATTTAAATCCAAGAAAAGGCTGAGTGTGGTGGCTCACACCTATAATCCCAGCACTTTGGGAGGCTGAGGCTGGAGGATTGCTTGAAGCCAGGCGTTCAAGACCAGCCTGAGCAACATAGCGAGACCCTATCTCTACAAAAAATGTTTTAAAAATTAGCCAGGCATGGTGGCATGTGCCTGTAGTACCAGCTACTTGGGAGGGTGAGGTGGGAGGATCAAACCTGGAATTTCAAGGCTGCAGTGAGCTATGATCTGATCACCACTGCACACGAGCCTGGGCAACAGAGTAAGACCCTGTCTCCAAATAAACAAACAAAAAAAGCAAGAAAAATCTTTAGGGACTACACCTTTTTGGCAAACTTCAATTTAAATAAATACACACAAATAGCTATTCTTTTAATAAAATACATTAATCAACCTTATTATATCATTTCCCTACTCAAAACCTTCATTTATAGAATTTAAAATATCAGTTACTCAGCATTACATACACAACCTATCATGATCAACTCCCACTCTCTATTTCCTGGCCTACCCCCTACATTTTAGCCAGATGGAATAAGTTAAAAATCCTCTTGTGCCATCTTTCTATCCCGTGCCTCTCAAAGTGCTATTCCTTCTGCCTGGAACATCTTTCCCGTCCCCTGACAATCTGATAAATTCCTATTTTTTCTTAGATTCCTGTTCAAAAGTTTCCACCTTTAAATAGGCACAGATATACACTGCTGGTAGTTATATTAACTAATATAACCTTTAAGGAAAACAATTTGGCCTTATCTATCAAAATTACAAATGAATGTATCCTTCAACCCAGCAGTTCCACTCCTAGGAATTTAATCTACAGATATACTCACACACTTTTGTGAAATGTTATATAAGATTACTCACTGCAGTATTGTAGGAGCAAAATATTGAAAACAACCTACACACTCACAGAGTGGGAGGGAGTTGGTTACACATATTATAGAAATCTATACAGTGAAATACTATGTAGCTTTCAAATGAACAAGGACACCCTTCATGAACTGACATAGAAAAATCAACACATACTGTTAAGTGAGAAAAGCAAAGTACAGAACATAAAAGGGCCACCAAGAGCTCTGAAAAAAGAGAACACATATAAATTTGTTTGCATGTATAAAAATATTTATAGAAGGATACTTCTAAAAAAAACTACTAAAACTGCTGGGAAAACAGGAATGGGTAGGTAACTTCACTGGATATCATTTCATATTTGTTGAAATTCTGATACTGTGTGCATGTATTATTTATAAAGTAAAATTGTAAGAGCTTAAAAATCAAAACCTGTACTTTAAAAAGTGTCTACATCTTTATGAAAATATCTCTAATTATCTCCACCATTCCTTTATTCAATAATTAGAACCTTACTGGCTGCTGACACTATGTGCCAGGTACTATGGTAGGGAGAGAGAGAAGAAATAAAACAACCCACAAGGAAAATGAACTTCAGTGTACAACTCAGAAAAGCAGATAGAATATCCCATTTCAGTTAGTTCACAGGGTGCAAGGTGTGACAGGAGCATATAGGACAAACAGCACCTACACATTTCTAACAGTGCTCACATCACTGACTCATACACGGCTGTTTACATGGCTGTCTCCCAAACTGGACTGTTATCTCTTTGACGATGTCTCAAAGCTTAACACAGTGCTATGCACGTAGGAGGTATACATGTTAAATGAACCACTAAATAAAAGTATAACAGAAATAATCACTGCATTTTTTTGTTCGTTTGTTTGATTTTTGAAACAGTTAAGAGCTAATTAAGGCTGGGAGTGGTGGCTCACACCTGTAATCTTTGGGAAGTCAAGGCAGGAGGATCACTTGAGCCCAGCAGTTCAAAACCAGCCAAAGCAACATAGTGAGGCTCCCTCTCTACAAAAAGAAAAAGAAAAGGAAAAAATTAGCTGGGCATGGTGGTATGTGCCTGCAGTCCTAGCTACTTGGGAGCCTGAGGAGGGAGAATCACTTGGACTCAAGCATTTGAGGCCGCAGTGAGCCGTGATTGCACCACTGTACTCCAGCCTGGGTGACAGAGTAAGAGACACTATCTCAAAAAAGAATAGAAAGGCTGGTCACAGTGGTTCATGCCTGCAACCCCAGCACTATGAGAGGCTGAGGTGGGAGGATTGCTTGAAGCCAGAAGTTCAAGACCAACCTAAGCAACAATGTGAGACACCCCCATCTCTACAAAAAAAAACAAACAAAAAAATTAGCCAGGTATGGTGACATGCACCTATAATCCCAACTACTTGAGAGGTTGAAGCAGGAGGATCATTTGAGCCCAGGAGTTCGAGGCTGCAGTGAGCCATTATCACGCCACTGCACTCCAGACTGGGTAACAGAGAGAGAACCTGTCTCAAATAAAAATAAAACAGGGCCGGACGCGGTGGCTCACGCCTGTAATCCCAGCACTTTGGGAGGCTGAGGCGGGCGGACCACAAGGTCAACAGTTCGAGACCAGCCTGCCCAATATGGTGAAACCCTGTCTCTACTAAACATACAAAAATTAGCCTGGTGTGGTGGCAGGCATCTGTAGTCCCAGCTACCCAGGAGGCTGAGGCAGAAGAATGGCTTGAACCCCGGAGGCGGAGGTTGAAGTGAGCCGAGATCATGCTACTGCCCTCCAGCCTGGGTGACAGAGCGAGACTCCATCTCAAAAAAAAAAAAAGTTAAAATTAAAATTAAAAAATAAAACAAAAATTCAAAAAAAGAAAACAAAAGAGCTAATTAAGTACTCAGCTAGACTCTAACCTGATTCCACAATCATAAGAACTTAGTATATGGGTCTAAGGATAAAAAGATTTAAAAATAAATTCCATATCTTATGCATACACACACACATGAATGTATTTAATTGTCACAAACATATTGAAGATTATGATTGTAACTATGTGGGATTTCATCTTCCCCCAATATATTCATTAAATATGTACAGAGTGTGTATAATTCCCCCAGGCACAATGCTGGGCTGGAAATACAATGGTAAAAACAGAAATAGCTGGCCGGGCATGGTGGCTCACGTCTGTAATCCCAGCACTTTGGGAGGCAAGGTGGGTGGATCACTTGAGGTCAGGAGTTTGAGACCAGTCTGGCCAACATGGGGAAACCTCATCTCTACTAAAAAAATACAAAAATTAGCTGGGCGTGGTGGTGCACACCTGTAATCCCAGCTACTTGGGAGGCTGAGGCATGAGAATCACTTGAACTCCAGCCTGGGCGACACAGTGAGATTCTGTTTCCAAAATAAAAAAAGCTGACATAGGGAAGTTATAGGTTAATGAGAGATTCATTAAATAATCACACAAGTAATTTTCTATACCATTAAGAGGAAGAGAGAAAGTGGAAGGCATGATCAAGATTTCTCCTAGCCCACTGTAAGGAAAGAAAAGACTTGTAAAAATCTTTGTGTCTCAGACAGTATCAGATAAAGGTTATATTAGGGGTATGTGGAGGGAGTTCATTGAATTGAACTTAGATGGAAAAAAACTATTTTCCTGAACCTCTAACTGAAATTTATCAATTCCTTCCATTATAAATGTAGCCAATAATCCACTGTGTTATTTGTGATTTTGCCACCTATAGATACCACAGATATTTTCATTCACATTATATGTATTACATATATCTCAAAATTATTTTGCATTTATAGTAGCCTCACTACCATTTCTTGCTATTTAATGTGTTTAATAAAGAAGTACTTATTACCATATCATAAATCTGATTTCTGTCTATTTTTGTAATCGTATTTTTTTTTTCTTTTGATATGAAGTCTCGCTCTGTCCCCCAGGCTGGAGTGCAGTGGCGTGATCTCAGCTCACTGCAACCTCTGCCTCCCAGGTTCAAGCAATTCTCTTGCCTCAGCCTCCCGAGTAGCTGGAATTACAGGCGCATGCCACCACACCCAGCTAATTTTTGTATTTTTTTGGTAGAGATTGGGTTTTGCTATGTTGGCCAGGCTGGTCTTGAACCCCTGACTTCAAGTGATCAGCCCACCTCAGCCTTCCAAAGTGCTGGGATTACAGTGTGAGCCTCCGCACCTGGCCTATTTTAGTAATTGTATTTAAATACAATTGATTTCCTTTGTAGTCTTATCTATTTTATGTTACACATTTAAAAACATTTTTTTCTGATAAGGGGTCCATGGACTTAACTACACTGCCAAAGGAATCCATGACCCCCCCCCCAAGTTTTTGCAAATCCCTGGGCTATAAATATGGATCAGGTTGAGATAACAATGTTGGCATACCCTAGAAACATTGGCAAGAGATTTCTGTTTCTTAATTACCTTTGGAAGGGATGGGGAAAAAAGAGTGCCAATTCACTTTAAAGTTTCCAGTAAAATGAATAATGGTAAAAGACTGGTAAGTCTGAATTTTCAATTTTATCTCATTTTTCAATGAGTATATGTCATTTTTTGATGATGAATCTGTGCATGTGCAATTTTTGTGAATATTATATAAGTGTACTATTGAGAAACACAGTGCTTATATATTTTACACAGCTAACCTAACCATGGTGATCATATGAAGGGTCAGTTAGGTCAATTATATATGTGGTAGACTATTGTTCAGCAAATACTCACTTTCCCCTCCCACAACTCCTATTGTGGAGTACCCTTTTCTTCTCCAGGATGTTGGAAGTGGCCTTTTGATTTGTTTGGTCAATGGAACATGGACAAAAGCCAAAGCGTGAGGCCAGGCGTGGTGGCTCGCGCCTATAATCCCAGCACTTTGGGAGGCCAAGGTGGGCAGATCACTTGAGGTCAGGAGTTTGAAACCAGCTTGGCCAATGGTGAAATCCCATCTCTACTAAAAATACAAAAATTAGCTGGGCGTGGTGGCACATGCCTGAAATCCCAGCTAATCAGGAGGCTGAGGCAAGAGGATTGCTTGAACCTGGAAGGCGAAGGTTACAGTAAGCCGAGATTGCGCCATTGCACGCCAGACAGAATGAGACCCTGTCTCAAAAAAAAAGAAAAAAAAAAGAATTAAATGGTGGCAATGCTGCCATAAAAAATGTAAAGAAAAAAGTTATGAAAATCTCTATCAAATTTGCCCTTAGACTGCTTGACACATTTATTAATTTACTGCCCCTCTTAAGGAAACTGAAACTAGAAGGCATATGGATTTCAGAATTCCGAAGCAAACAAAGAGCATTAAAGGCCTTAAAGCAAAATTGATAATGGAAGTTTTAAGTAAAAACAAATGTTTAAGTTAGTATGTAGCAATTTTTATCCTTCTTCTCCTGAACCAACTTTTTCTATAAACCAACTACAGCCCTGACTGTGTCGGATAAGAGGGCTTCTGTATTTCAGCCTGCCAGAAATCCTATTGTGGGCATTACAATTACAGGGCTACACTGTTTTGTTTGCTGTAAATCCTGTTTGTAAATAAGCTTGAAGTCCTTGCAATGAGTTTGAGTACTACAATTTGATTACACGTTCAGCTTGCGCACTGTGGTGAGTTTTGATGTAATATTGGTTTCTCGCCAGGCGCGGTGGCTTACGCCTGTAATCTGAGCACTTTGGGAGGTCAAGGCGGGAAGACCACCTAAGATCGGGAGGTCGAGACCAGCCTGACCAACAGGGAGAAACCCTCTCTCTACTAAAATTTCAAAATTACCCAGGCGTGGTGGTGCATGCCTGTAATCCCAGCTACCCATAGGCTGAGGTAGGAGAACTGCTTGAACCTGGGAGGCACAGGTTGCAGTGAGCTGAGGTCATGCCATTGTACTCCAGCGTGGGCAACAAGAGCAAAACTCTGTCTCAAAAAAAAAAAAAAAAAATTGGTTTCTCTAATAATTTAATCATCGTTTTGTTTTTATTTTTTTTGAGATGGAGTCCTGCTCTGTCGCCCAGGCTGGAGTGCAGTGGTGCGATCTCGGCTCACTGCAAGCTCCGCCTCCCAGGTTCACGCCATTCTCCTGCCTCAGCCTCCCGAGTAGCTGGGACTACAGGCGCCCGCCACCATGCCCGGCTAATTTTTTGTATTTTTAGTGGAGACGGGGTTTCACTGTGTTAGCCAAGATGGTCTCGATCTCCTGACCTCGTGATCCACTCGCCTCAGCCTCCCAAAGTGCTGGGATTACAGGCGTGAGCAACTACGCCTGGTCTTAATCATCATTTTAAATTTCTGTTAACCAGGCCAGGTGTGGTAGCTCACGCTTGTAATCTCAGCACTTTGGGAGGCCGAGGGGGGAGGATCACTTGAGCTCAGGAGTTCCAGATTAGCCTGGTCAACACAGTGAAACCCCATCTCTACAAAAATAAAAAATTAGCCAGGCACGGTGACATGCACCTGTACACCTAGCTACTTGGAAGGCTAAGGAGAGAGGATCACCTGATCCTAGGAGGTTGAGGCAGCAGTGAGCGACAGACCTTGTCTCATTCATTCATAAATAATAAAAGAATCAATTTGGAATAATAACTAACATACACATGCCACTTTCTATGTGCTAGGTATCCAGTGCTTTACATATATTGACAATTAATTTTCTTAAGTGCTTTACATATATTACTGATTTAATTTAAATTTAAACTTAATTTTGATTTAATCTTACAGGTACTACTAACATGATTCTGTAAGAGTTAAAGAAAGAGGAAAGAAACACGAAACACAGCTTGGCAGTTAAAGATAGGTTTACTTTAGATATAACATGAGAGGGACTTCTGGCCGATTTCAGTCCGGACTACTTTCTCTTGCAGACTCCAATTTTACAGATGAGAAAAATGAGGTTTGAGATTAAGTAATCTGCCCAAAGTCATAGAGCTAATTGCAAGTGAGGTAGGATTGGACCCAGGCAGTTTAGTTTGAGTGTGTGCTCAGGGGCTCTGCTCTATACTATCACAAAACTCACCTAACATTACTCGGTCAGATTCTCACCAAAGAAATATGGAGTTGTGATTCAGATGGTAGAACTATAAATCTGGATGCTGTGTAGCAGCAATATTCTGCCATAGAAATAAAGAAGCCAAGAAGTTGGAGACAGAGAAATAAAGTAGATGTCAAGAGAGAAGTTTTAATTAGATGGCAAGAGATAGGGAGAATGGTTGCCAGCATCAGTCCAGTACCAGCTCTGTTGCCTAGATGAACTGCCCTTGCATTTAAAGGAACACACTTTGCTGTCCACGTGATAAAATCCCTTTCTTATTTAAGATAGCACAAGATTTTATTACTTGCAACTATAAGAACCTTAACTCATTAGAACTGATCAACCAAATGATTGGTTGGATGCTTGAACTGAACTGAAATTGATATAGTGCCAAAATGTGCACTTGCTATGTAACAATGAGAATAAAAAATATTCAGATAACATTTTTAAAAAATATGGATGAATCTTAATTGTTATGTTTATTCTAATCAATATTTGAAATGTATATCTAGTAAAGATTTAGAAATAACAGTATTGATTTTATTGTTTTCTCCATCTCTGACATATGGAATTGCTCTGAATTTTGTTTTTTAATTTGGCATGCTTGATGAAATCTGTGCCAATCCGATAAGGAGGAAGTAATTACAGAATGCTTACCCTCGTCTCCCATTTATAGAAAGAGAAACTGTAGCTCCAAGAAAGAGCTCCCTTCCTTTGCTGGCACAGTGCTGCTATTTTGGTTTCTGTCAGTGAAGAATATCTATCCAGTGCCAATATAGTATAGCCATGTGTTAGTCTGATTAAATGGCTTTTGTTAAAGGGCAGTGTTCTAACCACTGGACAATCAATTCTCTTACCGTGATACTGTGACCTTGAATTTCTAGATGTGGAACATGGTAAAGCCAGAATGGGTCATTTTTCCTCCATTCTATTCTTGATAACCTAACTTTCCCATTCCCAAAGACTTTTGACACTATAGCAATCTCCACTTTTGTATGGCTGGAAGCTTAATTTTCAACTTATCTCAATCATTTACTCTTCTCATAACATCAGTTGCTGCTTCTTCCTAAATAATATTAATGTATATTCCCTTTGTGAGAACTAACCAACATGTGTAGACTAATCTCTATTTACACTCCCACTGTCAAGTGTCTAAGTCCAGACACTTGTCATCTCTTTTTACTTGCATTGCTCTAATGTCCTTTACAATTTTTTTCCTTGGTCAATGTGGGCCCTGCCAGTTCATTACTGCAAGATTCCTGCTGCAGTAATTTGATCTCATCTACTCATCAGAAGGTTTGGCCTATATATACTCCCTTCTATTGGTTCTACATTGCCTTCCCACCCTTCTGAGCTCAAACCTAAGATCTTCAGCACCATCTTCAGGGCAGAAGGCTTCAAGTTTCCTGTAGGACTGGTATCCTGATAGTGATTCCCTAATCAAGCAAAGTAATTCTCCAGGGTAACCCAACTAGTTCATTTTCTCCTTTTGTCCTCCCAACTCCTCCTGCGTCTCCAGGGTGCCTTATCTATTCATCCCACTTCTTCCTTTAGACCTTCTTCAAATAGTCTGATTAGTTCCTCCCTTATTAGAAAAGGAGACAATTAGTTACAGCTTTCACTGTGCTAAATACTTTACAAGTGCTCTCAAATAACCTCATGGTATTCCAATGAGGTAATACTATTATGTCTCTCAGTTTTCAGATGAGAAAACCAAGGCTTAGAGAAGTTACTTAGCTCACTGGTAAGTAGCGAATCTAAAACTTGAACTGAGAACTGTGTAACTTTAAAACCCCCAGTAGAGGCCAGGCGTGGTGGCTCACACCTGTAATCCCAACACTTTGGGAGGCCGAGGCAGGTGGATCACCTGAGGTCAGGAGTTCAAGACCAGCTTGGCCAACATGGTGAAAGCCCCATCTCTACTAAAGATACAAAAATTAGCCAGGCATGGTGGTGTGTGCCTGTAGTCCCAGTTACTCAAAAGGACGAGGCAGAATTGTTTGAACCTGGGAGGCGGAGGTTGCAGTGAGCAGAGATCAAGCCACTGCACTCCAGCCTGGGTGGCAGAGCCACACTCTGTCTCCAAAAAAAAAAAAGCTCTTATGTTCTGCTAGTAGTGACTAGGCTTTTGTTTAGGTTATCACAGTAAACAATATTGGTCTAGGTAATTTCTTAGTTTGCTCATGTGTGTATGATATGGAAGACATAAGAAGTTATGCTTGGCTTCCTTATTGTTTTTTCTTATCTGTAATTTATGTAAAGGGGTCTGTGATTTTCTTGCATCAACATTTACTTTTAAGGACTCAATAGGATATAATCATATTTTCCAAAGTGTGGATAGAGAGATTTCTGAATTCAATTTAGTGGGTCATAAACAATTAAAGCCTTTAAACGATTGAATAAAACAGAAAAATCCCCTTCATACATAACATGTGGCAACAGCAGGTATTGTTTAGTCAAATTTTCTTTCAGTTTTGTGTATGTAACAGCTTGCAAGGTATATTTTACTACAGATTCCTACCAAAAACATAAGAAAGACACAGGGTTACTTATGAATAAGAAAAAAATGCAGTATCCACACCTGAGAACCACTGTATTTAATCGGATTTTTACCATTCAAGGAATCAAAACACCTCCCATTATGCAACAAAGTCCAATTACAGAAAGATATTTAATTAAGCCTGTACTAAGAAAGTTTCTAAATACCCTTAATAATGAACCCAAACCTAAGGAGGATTTTATAAGTTAGCAAGAGTGTAATTTGCTTCACAGTGCAGTTATCAGATTGATGTAATCTCAGCACTCTGGGAGGCCGAGGTGGGCAGATCAACTGAAGTCAGGAGTTCGAGACCAGCCTGACCAACATGGAGAAACCCCGTCTCTATTAAAAATACAAAATTAGCCAGGCATGGTGGCGCATGCCTATAATCCCAGATACTCAGGAGGCTGAGGCAAGAGAATCTCTTGGACCCGGGAGGCAGAGATAGCGGTGAGCTGAGATCATGCCATTGCACTCCAGCCTGGGCAACAAGTGCGAAACTGCATCTCAAAACAAAAAAACAAAATGTTTGATGAAAAAATGTTCATCTCAAAGCAAAAAATTCAACATGGAATTAAAAGCAAATGAGGCCAGGTATGGTGGCTCACACCTATAATCCCAGCACTTTGGGGGGCTGAGGCGGGCGGGTCACTTGAGGTCAGAAGTTCAAGACCAGCCTGGCCAACATAGTGAAATCCTGTCTCCACTAAAAATACAAAAATTAGCTGGGCATGGTGGCTAGCACCTGCAATCCTAGCTATTGGGGAGGCTTAAGCAGAAGAATTGCTTGAACCCAGGAGGCGAAGGTTGCAATGATCCCAAATCGTGCCACTGTACTCCAGCCTAGGTGACAGAGCGAGACTCCATATTTAAAAAAAAAAAAAAAAAAAAAAAAGCAAATGATATATATTTTTATCTTGCACAATTTTAGAATAACTTTTCCAGATGAACCAAACCCAAATATTACCTCCAAAAGACGATTTTAAATTTCAAATCTGATAAAACTAAATATCTTCAGAAAGTTTTATAATACCCCAAGATCTGCATTATTTAAAAGTTTGATATATAAAACAATATTATGTGTTTCTATCAGAACTCCAAGGCTTTTCCATATTAGTCAACAAATTCTATTTAAAAATGAGCTACAGGGTTAGGAGTGGGAATTCCCTTTGGTGCAGCTAGGGTTGCATTGAGCCATAATATACACACAATCTACAAATGGAAGAGTGTTTCCTGATAAGCACATTTATATTAATTCATTCATTTTTTTCTCCCTCCCAGTCTCTTATGTGCCTGCGTCCATACACATACAAACACACAACGTCCTATACTTATTGAGCATAGGATGTTCCCTATGACTTGGTCACTGTCCACCTCTTCAGCCATCACTGTCCTCTATACTCTGCTGCTTCACATCTCTGTATTTGTTTCTTTTCTCCTTTGGCCTAGAAAACTCCTGTTAGTTTTTGAAGACTCAGCTCAGACCTCTTAAGAGGCTCTTGGCTGGGTGTGATGGTTCATACATGTAATCCCACCACTCTGGGAGGCTGAGGTGGGAGGATTGCTGGAGCCCAAGAGTTCAAAACCAGCTTGGGCAACATAGCAAGACCCTACCTCTTTAAAAAAAAATTAGCCGGGGGCAGTGATGTGCACTTGTAGTCCCAGCTACTCAGGAGAGGCTGAGGTGGGAAGACTGCTTGAGCCCAGGACTTTGAGGCTGCAGTGAGCTATGATCACACCACTGCACTCAGGCCTTGGTGACATGGTGAGACCTTGTCTCAAAAAAGGAAGAGAGGCAGGGAGGAAGGAAGAGAGGGAGGGAGGGAGGGAGAAAGAAGGAAAGAAAGAAAAGAAAAAAAAAGAGAATTCTGTTTATTTATGATGGTCCTCTCAAGATCCTCTTTTTTTTTTCTGTAGAGATGAGGTCTCTCTATGTTGCCTACGCTGGTCTTGAATTCCTGGGTTCAAGGAATCCTCTTCCTCTTGCATTGGCCTCCCAAAGTGTTGAGATTACAGGCATGAGTCACAGCACGTGGCCATATTCTGAATTCTCTGGATAAGCTTTCATGTTGGAATATTGTAAAATCAATGACTAAAATAAAATTTAAAGATTATCTACAACCGTGGATTATCCTATCCTGATTCAGTTATAGTGTATATTGTAGTTAACTAGGGGGTTGGCAATAATCTTCATATAATATATGTAATTATAAAAACATAAATTATGTATATTATACAAGGAAAGCATGCAACAGGTCAGATGTTTCTCTATTAACACTTCCAGAAAGATATTATGGTGTTTTTTTTTCCTTTTTTTTTTTTTGAGACAGAGTCTTGCTCTGTCTCAGCTCACCGTGACATCCACCTCCTGGGTTCAAGCATTTCTCATGCCTCAGTCTCCTGAGTAGCTGAGATTATGGGCATGCGCCACTATGCCTGGCTGATCTTTGTTATTTTTAGTAGAGACAAGGTTTCACCATGTTGGCCAGGTTGGTCTTGAACTCCTGGCCTCAAGTGATCTGCCTGCTTCAGCCTCCCGAAGTGCTGGGACTACAGGAGTGGTCCACCACACCTGGCTGAGTATATTACAGTTTTATTGATTATATTACAGTTTTATATCTGTTTTGCTTTTTGCAAATCTTTTTGCTTTTTTTTGTCTTCCAGCTGATTCTTTTAAACTGCATCTCTACAAAAGTGGAGAGAATATAATGAATCACTATGTATTAATACTTATCACCCAGTTTCAATAATTATCAACACATAATCTACTGGTTCATTTTGAATCTCTGCAGACATTTCATCCAAAACTATTCAATATATATCTCTAAATGACCATTTAAAAAAATCATAGTATCAGCCGGGTGCAGTGGCTCACACCTGCAATCCCAGCACTTTGGGAGGCCAAGGTGGGTGGATCATGAGGTCAGAAGTTTGAGACCATCCTGGCCAACATGATGAAATACCGTCTCTACTAAAAATACAAAAAAAAAGGCTGTGCACCGTGACTCACGCCTGTAATCCCAGCACTTTGGGAGGCCGAGGCGGGTAGATCACAAGATCAAGAGCTTGAGCCCACCCTGGCCAACATGGTGAAACCCTGTCTCTACTAAAATACAAAAATTAGCTGGGCATGGTGGTGTGCACCTGTAGTCCCAGCTACTTGGGAGGCTGAAGCAGGAGAATCACTTGAACATGGGAGGCGGAGGTTGCAGTGATCTGAGATCGTGCCATTGCACTCCAGCCTGGGAAACAGAGCGAGACTCCATCTTAAAAAAAAAAAAAAAAAACAGCCAGGCGTGTTGGCAGGTGCCTGTAGTCCCAGCTACTCAGGAGGCTGAGGCAGGAGAATCACTTGAACCTGAGAAGGCGGAGGTTGCAGTGAGCTGAAATCGTGTCACTGTACTCCAGCTTGGGCAACAAGAGGGAGACTCCATGTCAAAAAAAAAAAAAAAAAAAAAAAAACAATGCACAAAAAATTACATAATTCTCTTAATATCATTATTAAATACCTAATGAGTGGTCAAATTCAAATTTTTCTCAATTATCTTACAGTTCTTTTTATACTTTGTTCAAATTAGCATTTAAACAACGTTGATTTATTGCATCTGGTTGATATAACCCTTAAGTCTTTTAAAATCAATCTATAGCTTTCTCCTTTATTTTTTTATTTTTATTTTTTGTAATTTGTTGTTTCAAGAAATAGCCATGTTTTTAAGGTTCCTGTGCCTTAAAATAGAGAAGTAGGTCTTCATATTAGTTAGGTTTAAATGTTATGATATACTCTTTCATTCTGTTGTTTGTGATGAGTCATATTAAATATAATAAGAAGTTACTACAATTGTAGTTAAAAAGTTGATTTTGGGGGCCGGGCGTGGTGGCTTATGCCTGTAATCCCAGCACTTTGGGAGGTGAGGCAGGCGGATCACCTGAGGTCAGGAGTTTGAGACCAGCCTGACCAACATGGAGAAACCCCATCTCTACTAAAAATACAAAATTAGCCAGGCATGGTGGCGCATGCCTGTAATCCCAGCTACTAGGGAGGCTGAGACAGGAGAGTTGCTTGAACCCAGGAGGCAACGGCTGCGGTGAGCCAAGAACATGCCATTGCACTCCAACCTGGGCAATAGGAGCGAAACTCCATCTCAAAAAAAAGTTGGTTTCAGAGGTATAGATCGTTGATATCTTAAACTCAATAGCCATTATAATGATGACATCTAAGAGAAGAAACAATAAACACTTGCAAGAACTTCCGTTTTTGATTATGCCAGGACATGCACACACACTAAGATCCTGAGAGAATGGCAAATTTTTTTTACAAATATTAAAGCCAAACTAAAATTGTACTGTTATTTTCCTAATAGTTCTTCTTAGTAATAATTTAAGACCCTGAAAGTTACCTGATGTTTAGGTAGCTCAATTCTCAGATGATGTTATTACTCACTGGTAGAAACGTTACACTTCTATGAGCCTCAATTGTATGCTATGTAAATATAACTAGCCCCTACCTGATAATTATATACATATTTACAAGGCAGAAACTTAAGACAAAGTGATATTTGGCACTCTAAAATTCCTCTCAACCTCATTATATATGAAAGCATCAGCCTAACATTTTAAGTGTGCTACTGTTATATGAGTGTTTAATTATGTAAATAAATCTTTGAAAACCTGTAGACATAACACAAAGCCAACAGCAAGTTATGCCTCAGTTGCTACAGGAGTATAGATATCATGTTAGAAAAGAAAATACAGAACCAGAGTAGTGTGCAAGGCACCACCTACCATAGACCTGGGCTTGCTGATGGCCACCAGACTAGTGAGGAAGTCTTCATCGTGCAGCTGGCTGAAAACATGGGCGTCATAGGCTACCATAATGGAGATTTCTTCCATCATCTTGCCAGCTGGCCTTTCCACAGCAGCAGCTGCTGTCCCAGCTCCAGACCAGACTATCCAAGGAAAAATCCTACTGCAGCTCAGTGCCAGTGTACACACCCACCTGAGTTCGAGGGGGTGGAGTGTCAAAAATCCAGAAAGAAAGAAAGAGAAAGAAAAAAAAAGCGGCTGCTATCACAGGCTTGGCTAGCAATTCACCCCCAGTAGGAAACTAAAAGAGGTTTCTTATCTATGCAGGAAGTATACACTATAAACACCTTCTGCATTTATAACAGAGAAGCTGGAAAATTCAATTTTTGGAAACCTTTAAACTTCAAAAAAGAAATAAAGTTTCCTAACTAGAAATATCCTATAGCAATAACAACAACAAAAAAAACTGATTTGTGTTATGTTCTTGGTAATTAAAAATTTTCATAATAGCTCATCTTCTTACTGCAGTATTATTACATGAAGATTGTTCTTGGAGAAGAAGTAAATTTTCTTAGTGTTCTTAACGCTTATTTTTTCGTAATCTTAGAAAATAAACAGATGAAAACCATTTTAATTTCTCAGAATTTAAAGAATTCATAGTACAAGTGATCTCCTGAAGTCTGAAAAAAAAAATTTTCCCCTCTGAGTATTTCTGTTAAAGAAAAAAATGCCAAAACATAAAAATGAAACAGGGACAGCGATATCAATTAATAATCATTACTCCCTTTTCCTACTAAAAAAAATAAGTATTTTAAGCATAGTTTTGTGTTGTTATTCAGAAAGCAATACAAGAGTCTCATTTATAAACTGGTTGTTTTGCTCCCATAGATAAAAGTTCTCTTCATCTTTTATCTTTAAGGCTAGGGGTTTCTTTTAATTATTCAAATCAGTAGATAGCCATTAACTGTTGGTAGCTTAACCACCAGTAGTGCTTTTTAAATTACAGCTGGAGACCATAAATGAACTGCCATATTTCCAGATGAAAAGTTTGAAAGTTGCCCATAATCACCATTACAAAGTTGCTTGATCAGGAAATATAATGTATACTAATTTCATGGAAAAAGGATTAAGCAAATAAAAATAAGGGGAAGACAGATAAGGCTTCTCTGAAGTTGTTTTTCAATATTCCTAATTAAGCTAGTATCTTCCCTGCTTTTTCTAGATCATGACACTGCAGTACTTACTATGAGAAATATTCTTTGTTAGAACTAGAAATTAATTTGGCAAGTTCGTCTAAAATCAAAAGAAATAAGTTGAAATAAAACATTTCAACCAGTTGAAATGTTTAGTCTTCATTACCAATAGCAGGATTATGTTACCTAAATTTGTTTGCTTTTCAGAAAACAAAACTCAGAATGAGATCTATAGTGTTATTTTCCCATGTTTTCCAAAAGTATTTTTTTCATCTACATTAACATGATTACTTGTATAACACCTTGTCCCATTTAAATGTAATTAGTAGAGTTTTACAACTGCTATAGCATTCTAGCTTATAAGAGCGAGCACAAGGAAGGAGGGAAAAGCACCTGATTGCTAGGAAACAAGCAAATCTAATAAGCTTATTTAAACAAAAAAATGCAATATTTTAAATAAATCCACAAGATTAAAACAGCTTCAAACTGTGTTTGACCCTTGTTGGAGTCAGTAAAGCATTTTTACTTCATTTTTGTTCTACAGTGCTGCTTTGTCTGTTAAGCATTATTTTCGTTAACATTTTTTTCCTGCACATTTATCCTGACTCTGACTAACCAGGTAAAAATTAAATGATAATCAGGAGACAAGGCATTATAAGGTGTCCAGGCAGTTCATACCTTTTAAACTCCTTATCTTTTCAGAAGTACTTTAAAAGATACTGTGAACCTCTTCATGCATTCACCAGCACCAGAAGATTTCAGATTATCTTGCAACATTTTCTAGATGTGAAAGCAATTCCTCTTGCTTTCATATTTTTCTTTGCTATTCAGTGACTCAGAGCTTCCACACATGGATATCTGAATAAGGTGCACTGACAAAGACACCTGTTGTGGAAGGTAAAGAAAGTACTTCCCACAATGCCTTACTCCCTGCTGGCAACCACCCAGGGGCAAACAAGAGTTATAACCGCAGTTCAGCAGCGCCTATGCACCCTGGGAGAGTGCATTCAGCGTAACCATAGGTAATCTTCTTGGTTACGAAGAACCCTTATAACCCAAAAGAAAAGGACCAGAAAAAACAATTTTAAATAGCACCTAGAGGTGCTGTACATTAAACTCATAAAACATTTACGGCATCAGGCTATAAGCATGCAAAAACATTTTTAGAAAAATAATCAAAGGCTTTAAAAATAGTTTAAGTTTACATACACAGAAACTAATAACTTCAAATAATTCAGTCCTTTTAGAATTCTACACAGGTTCTTAGATAAATGTTTTAAAAAGCTTCTATAATTTATAACCTTCAACAGATTGTTCTAATTAGCCACAGTGACTAGAATTATTAATAACATGTCATTTCTAAACCCAAGTGGTCCTCTATTGTAGCTGCAGTGCACAGATTTTCTTGAGCAGGGACACTCTAAGTTTGATTTGCAATCTTCACCTTTTGTCACCCTTAAAATGTTCCTTAAAGTTTACTTTACTTTTCAGAGTCTGGGAAGGAAAAATTCAAGGTTTCGTTTCCCCTTATTAAGTGTACTATATTTGTGGTTCCAACGAAAAACATACTCTTTGAAAACTGATGATTAGAGAAACTGTCACTCTACCGTCATTTTCTCCGGTCTCAGAAATAACAGCTACACCAATACCCTCCAAAACTTCAGAAGCTATTGTACACAGTCCTGTCTACGAACTCCTGTTTTACCATCCCCCCAACCCATTGATTCCCTGGGTTGTTTACACCTGAGTGTCTGCAGTTATCGCCTTCACACCACGCAACTGCATTGGAAAAAAAAAAAAAAAAAAAAAAAAAGGCAGTGGTGTGGAGAATTACCTGAGATCAAGGGCTGTGGTGTGGACAATACCATTTGAAGCTAAAACTTACCAGGAGAAGAGTATCAAAACAGGCAACAGAAACCAGCCACACTCCCGGTAACCAAATAGATGGTCCTCAGTTCAAGCAGGAACTAGCTAGCTGTCCGTCCCCGGGCAAGTCATTTAACTTCGCTAGGTTTCAGTTTCCTCATGGTCATGTAAATTGAGAGGGAGAGAATAGATTCCTGGTTTCCACATGGGTATAGAAAGTCAAAAGCAATGTGTCCTATTCCTATTTCCTCCTATCAAATAGGTTTATTTGATAGAAGATATCAAATAGGTTTATTTGATAGAAATAGGTTTATTTGATAGAACCTATCGAATAGGTTTATTAGGTTTATAAACCCTTTCTGGATCTTATTAAGAAAATGTTTATGAATAAAATATCTCCAATGATTTTTAAATGTTGTTCTGAGATTTTACACTGAAAGAGTATTCCATACTAGTAGCTAATTTTGTCCCAACAGTCATCCTCCTAGAACTGTTCTTTTTAACAAAAGCATACCTGGGTCATACTATGAGTCAAATAAACCATCTATTCTCAAGTGTCAAATTTAGAGACAGCCGAAACAAAAATCAAGAAAAGCTTGAATAAGAAGTGGCTATTTTTCTATTGTGTTCTCTCCAATGCAGCAAAGTAGTTGCATTATGGGAGTAGCATTTTTTTATACATCAGTCAAAGCAGCAAGTATAAAAATTATCTCACCTCACCGGGCGCAGTGGCTCACACCTGTAATCCCAGCACTTTAGGAGGACGAGGTGCGTGGATCACAAGGTCAGGAGTTCGAGACCAGCCTGGCCAATATGGTGAAACCCCACCTCTACTAAAAATACAAAAATTAGCCAGGCGTGGTGGCGCGCGCCTGTAGACCCAGCTACTCAGGAGGCTGAAGCAGAATCACTTGAACCCGGGAGGCAGGGGTTGCAGTGAGCCAAGATTGTGCCACTGCACTCCAGCCTGGGCGACAGAGGGAGAATTCCATCTCGGAAAAAAAAAAAAAAAAAATTATCTCAACTCAGGAGAGTAGCAGTCAAGACCTTTTTCCTATATCTCATATTCTACTTGTTGAATATTCTCATCACGTCACCCATAAAATCAAGATCAGACAGAAAGAAAGACAAAACAACTACAAGAGAAATATGGCTTAGGCCAGGCACGGTGGCTCATGCCTGTAATCCCAGCACTTTTGGAGGCCGAGGCGGGTGGATCACGAGGTCAGGAGTTGGAGACCAGCCTGGCCAACATGGTGAAACCCCGTCTCTAATAAAAATACAAAAAAATTAGCCGGGCATGGTGGTGTGTGCCTGTAGTCCCAGCTACCCTGGAGGCTGAGGCAGGAGAATCGCTTGAACCCAGGAGGCAGAGGTTGCAGTGAGCCGAGATTGCACCACTGCACTCCAGCCTGGGCGACAGAGCAAAACTCTGTCTCAAAGAAATAAAAAAAGGAAATATGGTTTAGAGGGCAGAAAGGTCTTCTGCAACCCCCATATAGATGGGTAGCACCCTGGAGAAACTGTTCCTCCTGCATGACTGGCCCTCCTCTAATCTTTCATGAACATTCTTCCAGATGTTCCTAGGTAACTCTATGCAAACATTCACAAAGTATACATGACTCAATGTTAAGGATCTCCAAAATGACAAAATGTTCACAGTGTTCACAGTGAGATAAATAACTATAAGAAAGGCTGGTTGTGGTGGCTCACACTCATAATCCCGGGAGGCTGAGGGAGGAGGACTGCTTGAGCCCAGTATTATAAAACCAGCCTGGGCAACATAGTGAGACTACATCTTTACAAAAAATTGAAAAATCAGCCAGGCATGGTAGCAAGTTCCTGTAGTCTCAGCTATTTGCGGGGAACCCAGGAGGTTCAGGCTACAGTGAACTGCAATTGTGCCACTACACTCCAGCCTGGGTGACAGAATAAGATGCTGCCTCTTAAAAAAAAAAAAAATAGAACTATAAGAAAGATAAAATTCTATAAATACATTCTTAATTACAGAAAATCAATATTCCAAGCAGGTTTCTATCTACTCTTAGCAGTGTACATTACAAAGCCCATGTGCTCTAAGTGAGGTAACAAAAGAGAAAATATGAATGAGAAACCATAGAAATATCAGAAGAAAGCTTTTCAGAATTTGTATTTCAGAATAGTCTAGTAACACCTACTGAGTTTTTACAATGGGAAAAGAACAAGTAAAAGATAAGTAAACTTGTTCTCTTTAAAATTATGCAAAGGTAAATAAAGAACACCATTATTCTTGTGTTGAATACCAGCCATTCAGCTCATTATCCTTCCTATCTCTCCTAGCAGTTGCTAGGAAAATTCAAAACCTCAGAAAACAGATTGTTCAAAAAAAGAAAAAAAAAACCTAGCATTAAACTAAAAAAAGAAAAACCAGTGGGACATAAATACTTGCTTAACAGGTATGCTGGGTATCTTGCTGCCTCATTTGCAACTCACCACAAAGAATGAGGGTGAGGTAGATTCCAGACTATGAAAGAATAGATGCAACTCTTTAACAATTCAGCTTTTTACCTCATTTGAAACTAAAATCCACCGCCATCACATTCACATTAAATTTTACCTAACCAAAAGTAAATGTTTCAAGTGCTTGTAAGCATTCACCGATATTTGTTATCACTCAAAATGAAGAGTTTCATACTTACCTGAAAACATGAGTAATGCTTCACTTTGTCTCATTTTGAGCAGAGTGCACAACTGAATTCTAATTACAAATAACGATACATTAATTTCTAAAGCATTCAAATAATTATTTAAAACATTTCACTAACAATCAAATGAAATGAAATCATTTCACATGATATTCGTTTTTTCATAAGATCAGAGGGTAGGTTTAGGGAACAGCAATAGGATTTCATGCAAGTGCCCATTTCTCTCAAGTTTTTCTCCCAGCCTGGATAACTCCCTTTCCAATGGGACCTCACATGCCTGCATTATGTTATATACTGGCAGTTTACAGCAGGGCACTTGGTTAAATCCTGCAGTTAAAACCTGCAGTTAAAACTTGACAAGTTTGATGGTATGTGAATTAAATCTTTATTTATTTTAAAAAAGCAACTCAGGCCAGGTGTGGTGGCTCATGCCTGTAATCTCAGCACTTTGGGAGGCCAAGGCAGGCAGATCACGCTGTCAGGAGTTCGAGACCAGCTTGGCCAACGTGGTGAAACCCCGTCCCTACTAAAAGTATAAAAATTATCTAGGCGTGGTGGCATATGCCTGTAATCCCAGCTACTCAGCAGCCTGAGGCAGGAGAATCAGCTGAGATCGCGCCACTGCACTCCAGCCTAGGTGACACAGCAAGACTCTGTTTCAAAACAAAAAACAAACAAACAAACAAACAAAAAACTCAACATTTACTAAATGCTTATAATGTGCATAAGGGGGATTACAGATTTTGTAATCTAGTAATACAAATAATCTATAACAATGAATATTTACTAAAAATGTTATAATAGGCCGGGCGTGGTGGCTCATGCCTGTAATCCCAGCACTTTGGGAGGCCGAGGTGGGTGGATCACGAGGTCAGGAGATCGAGACCATCCTGGCTAACACGGTGAAACCCCATCTCTACTAAAAATATAAAAAAAATTAGCCGGGTGTTGTGGCAGGCGCCTGTAGTCCCAGCTACTCAGGAGGCTGAGGCAGGAGAATGGCGTGAGCCTGGAAGGTGGAGCTTGCAGTAAGCTAAGATCGCACCACTGCACTCCAGCCTGGGCAACAGAGCGAGACTCCATCTCAAAAAAAAAAAAAAAGAAGTTATAATAGTGGCAGCTAATATTTAATAAGTATTCACTATGTCCTAAACACAAAATCTCATTTCATCTTCACTGTAAATCAATAAACTAGATACCATAATTATTCCTTTTTTGTAGATAATTAAAATATGGAGAAGTTTTGTGATTTGACTCGATACCTACAGCTAGAAATAGAGCTGCTAGGATTAAAAAACAGGTGTGTCTGTTTCTAGTGTGCAAGCTAAAGGATAAGGAAGTAGGCAAACATATACCAGAATTAGCCATGTGCCAAACACTGCTGTTTCTCAAACACTGATGTCTCCTTCACACACATACATAGGTTACAGACTATAAAAAAAGCTATGTCTGTCATGTAATACAATAATTAGTGATATAGGACTGTAATAGAATGAAGTCCCTCTGCAGATGGGGAAGCCTTCATGGAAAAGATGGATTGAATTTAGATAGGCAAAGTGAAATAATTTTTTACAGGGAAAAAATAATTTAGAATGACCAGAGTGGTAAACTGATACTGGACACAGCAGAAGTTACAAAGGCAGATTTAAATTAGCCTATGGTAATTTGCAAATATCAGGTCAACAAATTAGGCCAAAGCCAGTCATTGAAGATTACTAAATTCCTGCCTTTCTAGCTTCCATTTATGCCATTAGAGAAAGGAAGTGTGGGCTCCAGAATTTAGAATAACCTGGTTTGATACTGGGCTCCACCACTCACTGGCTATGTGACTGTCTTAGTCTGTTTGGGCTGCTACTAGAATAAAATACCATAGACTGGATAACTTATACACAACAGAAATTTATTTATCACATTTCTGGAGTGTGGAAGATGAAGGTGCTGGCAGATTTGGTGTCTGGTGGGAGCGTGTTTTCTAGTCACAGGCAGAGGTCTTCTCTCTGTGTCCTTACATGGTAGAATGAGGAAGGGGTCTCCTTGGAGTTTTTTTTATAAGGGCACTAATCTCATTCAAGAGAACTTAACCCGCATGATCTAATCACCAGTCAAAGATCCCGTCTCTTAATATCGTCACATTTGGGTATTTCAACATGTGAATTTTGGGGGGACACAAACATTCAGTCTATAGCAGTGACAATGAGCAAATTACATAAGTTGTCTCACTCCTTGGTTTTCTCATCTGTATTAGTCCGTTTTCACACTGCTACGAAGAAAAACCCCAAGACTGGGTAATTCATAAAGGAAAGAGTTTTAATTGACTCACAGTTCTACATGGCTGGAGAGGCCTTGGGAAACTTACAATCATGGCGGAAGGTGAAGGGGAAGCAAGGACCTTCTTCACATGGCGGCAGGAGAGAGAAGGGAAAGCAGGGGAAATGCCAGATGCTTATAAAACCATCAGATCTTGTGAGAACTCACTCAGGATCACAAGAACAGCATGGTGGATGCTGTTCCACTCACCTCCCATGATCCACTCCCCCATGATCCACTCACCTCCCTCCCTGGACATGTGGGGATTACAATTTGAGATGATATTTGGGCAGGGACACAGAGCCAAACCATGTCATCATCCACAAAACGAGAAAATAGTAACAATGCAGTGAGGTACCTGACTCTGGAAAGCATTTGATTGATGTTGGTTGTTATTATCAATATTAATAAAAATGATGTACAGGGGGCAAAACTATTTGATGAAAACTAAAGAGAAGATGGAATTGTAACCTTTAGAAATGGGGCAGGGAGTGAGGTTCTCAGTATACGAGAACACAACCAATGCCTCCATTTTTTTTTTTCGTATTTCCTTGTCCAGGAGAGATGAATAACAGTGTCATACAATTTCAATCCTCTACCAATTTTCCATAAACAACTAAATCTTTCTGGACACTGATTTATTTGGGAGTAATTTGGTAATTTACATGAGTCCTTCTGTTAGAAATGACTGAGACAGGTTAGTGGAGGTGAAGTCTTGATAGGGAGGCCTGGGTGGGGCGTTGGGGCACAATCTCCTACAGTTTGCTGCCCTCTCCGGTTTCCTGACTACAATGCAAACAGAATTTAATCAATTACCTCTCATTAAATTGAACAACTATGAAAAGAACAGGGAAAAAAGAGCATTTGTTATATAATGATATTAATCTATTGTAACCTGATCAACAAAACACCATTACTATGGGCTATCATGTGAAAATAAATAATCCTTCTTCATAACTATATTATAATAAGGTTTTCCACAGTTCATTTTTATCTTGAGTCAAAAGAAATACCCTGTGCAATGGCTTAGAGTAGCAGCTAACTCAGAAACTAAGAACTGACCAACAAACCACTTCACTTCAAAGATGTCAACTAAGTTTCCATCAGAGGTAAATGGGGAAGGGGGAGAGAAATAACACATATTTAAAACCTACTGTGCTAGGGAGGAGCCATAATTTCATTATCTCTTTTAGTTCTTACACAATACTTTGTAGCAGATTTAATTATCCCAATTTTACAGAAGAGATACTTGCTCTAAGAGTTTAAGCAATTTAGGCTGGGTGCCATGGAAATCATGCCTGTAATCCCAGCACTTTGGCAGGCTAAGGTGGGTGAATCGCCTGAGGTCAGGAGTTCGAGACCAGCCTGGCCAACATGGTGAAACCTCATCTCTAATAAAAATACAAAAAAAAATTAGCTGGTCATGGTGGTGGGTGCCTACAGTTCTAGCTACTCGGGAGGCTGAGGCTTAACCCCAGGCGGCGGAGGCTGCGGTGAGCAGAGATCGTGCCACTGCACTCCACCCTGGGCGACGGAGCAAGACTCCATCAAAAAAAAAAGAGTTTAAGCAATTTAAAGTCACACTACTTTGGCTGGGCTCAGTGGCTCATGCCTGTAATCCCAGCACTTTGGGAGGCCGAGATGGGAGGATCACCTGAGATCAGGAGTTTGAGACCAGCCTGAACAACATGGTGAAACCCCATCTCTACTAAAAATACAAAAATTAGTCAGCCTGGTGGCATGCACCTGTAATCCCAGCTACTTGGGAGGCTAAGGCAGGAGAATTGCTTGAACTCAGGAGGTGGAGGTTGCAGTGAGCTGAGATCACGTCACTGCAGTCCAGCCTGGGTGACAGAGCAAGACTCTGTCTCAGATAAATAAATAAGTCACACTACTACTAAATGAGAGTTATGATTAAACCCAAACATGTGATTACAAAGGCTCAGGTTTTTTCCCACCTACATCAGGTTTGTCACAAATGAAAGCAAGAGAAAAGACAGGAGATTCAATTCACTTTTGAATAGCCCATTTAGAAATCCTGAAATAGAAGTTTTAAAATTTCTAATGGTAGACTCTATATTTCTCTTATCTTAGTATTTTGCTCTTAATGTTGTATCCTTATATAACGAAAATATGGGCTGAAAACTTATATTGCATCCAACAGTATCTATCTATCTATCTATCTTTTTTTTTTGGCGCGATCTCGGCCCACTGCAACCTCCACCTCCCGGGTTCAAGCATTTCTCCTGCCTCATCTTCCCAAGCAGCTGGGACTATAAGCGCACACCACCACACCCGGCTAATTTTTGTATTTTTAGTAAAAACAAGGTTTCACCATGTTGGCCAGGCTGATCTTGAACTCCTGACCTCGTGATCCGGCCGCCTCAGCCTCCCAACATGCTGGGATTACAGGCGTGAGCCACCATGGCTGGCTATCTATCATTTTTGAGACAGGGTTTCTCTCTGTTGCCCAGGCTGGAGTGCAGTGATGCATTTACAGCTCACTGCAGCCTCAACCTCCTGGGTTCAAGTGATCCTCCCACCTCAGTTTCCACAGTAATTGGGACTACAAGCGCCACCACTCCCAGCTAATTTTTAAATTTAAAAAAAAAAATTTTTTTTTTGAGACAGGGTCTCACTATTGTCCAGGGTGGAGTGCAGTGGCACGATCACAGCTCACTGTGGCCTCAACCTTCCAGGCTCAGGTAATCCTCCTCTCTCAGTCTCCCAAGTAGCTGGAACTACAGGCATGCACTACCAAGCCTGGCTCATTTTTTATATTTTTAGTAGAGAAGGGGTTTCACCATGTTGCCCAGGCTGGTCTCGAACTCACAAACTCAAGCCATTCACCCACCTCAGCTTCCCAAAGTGCTGGGATTACAGGTGTGAGCCACCATGCCTGGCCTGTAGTAGTATTTATTATATAAGGCATTCGCAAATATGAGGAGAAAGAAGACTGAAGGCAATTTATCAATTCCTCCTCAAGTTACTGATGAATGCAATACACATTAACAGACTGCTATAATAGAAAATATCATGTGAATTGAGGCAACATTCTTGTCAGCGATGGCTTCCATGATGTTAAAAATTGGCTTTATGTATGCTTTAAGAGCAATAGTAAATTGCTTAATGGTCTAAAATAAAATAATAAAAAGATTTTCATAATTCTAAAACAGCTGTCATAGTGGTGGCAGTGGCAATGCCCAGAACATTCTAATTTCATTCATTTGAATGACAGTTAATTTTTTATGTTAAATCTAAAATATGTTTTTATATTTCTATAGATAGATATAGAGGGAAAGATGAGAGAAGGAGAAAAAATAAACGTTATGGTTGAAGTTTAAACTCTTTGAATATTGGCAGGCTGGCATCTCTCTCTCTCTCTCTCTCTCTCTCTCTCTCTCTCTCTCTCTCTCTCTCTCTCCCCCTCCCTCCCTCTCCCCTCCTCTCCTTCACTCTCTCTCAAAGATACATATCTCTTAAAAATCATTTTTGTCCTAAACTATTTGGCAGATATTGTCTTTGTATCAGATAACTTACTAAGTATGAATCTTTAAACTTCACTCTAGTTATCCTACATTGTTCTCTTTGTACAGTGGTTGACAATGCAAATGAGATATGAGCACAGTTGAGATGTGAACATGATACATACAGTCTTACAGATTGCAGTTTATAAATAAGCTCTATATTAGTCAATTGTAGATGAAATGTTCTATTATTTATAGTTACTATAGCTACTAATAATCTAATATTTCCTTTTTTAAAAAGTTACAGGTTCTTGCTATGTTGCCCAGGCCAGACTTGAATTCCTGGGCTAAGCAATCTTCTCACCGCAGCTCCCGAGTGGGTGGGACCACAGGCACAAGTTACTGTGCCTGGCAATATTGCTTTAAATACACTTTATTTTATGATAGGGTAATGTCTTACTGAAGATACTCCATTAAAACAAAAAAAAATCTCTGATATCTATAGAGGATAATTAATCATTACACAAAATGATATCTTAGGAGTTCTTGCCTGTGAAAGAAAATATGCTATAAATTTGCCCAAAGCCTCTCTGCAAGATAGAATTCTAAAGCAGCCATTTTGTAAAGGAGCTTCATTCTGAGACAAAAGTAACTCTTTGAAAGCACAGTTTCTCTTTAATGTAGACTCGCTTAACACTATTAATATAAGTTGCCTGTGTTCTTTTTTGAGAGGGAGTCTTGTTCTGTCACCCACGCTGGAATGCAGTGGCACCATCTCGGCTCACTGCAACCTCCACCTCCTGGGTTCAAATAATCCCCTGCCTCAGCCTCCCAAGTAGCTGGGATTACAGGCATGTGCCATCATGCCCAACTATGTGTTCTTTTTACTGCTAATATATTTGTGCAAGTGGCACGTGGTCTTCTTTTATTTATTTATTTACTTTTTTTGAGACAGGGTCTCACTCTGTCACCCAGGCTGGAGTGCAGTGGCGCAATCTCTTGGCTTACGGCAGCCTCAAACTTCCCGGGCTTCGGTGATCCTCCCACCTCAGCCTCCCAAGTAGCTGGGACCACAGGTGTGTGCCACCACATCCAGCTAATTTTTGTAGGTTTTGTAGAGACAGGGTTTGGCAATGTTGTCCGGGCTGGTCTCAAACCCTTGAGCTCTGGGTGATCCTCTCCCCAGGCTTCCCAAAGTGCTGAGATTACAGGAGTGAGCCACCACACTAGCCTGATGCAAATGGTCTTTAATGTCTCAACACCACAGAATGCAAAGGGTGCAGTAAGAAAATTTGCTGGTATTTTGTTTTTACTTCAGGGCAGTTGAACAGAAACACAGTTGATATGGTTTGGCTGTGTCCCCAGACAAAGTCTCATATTGAATTGTAATCCAAATTGTAATTCCCATATGTTGGGGGAGGGACCTCATGGGAGGTGACCAGATCATGGGGGTGGTTCCCCCATGCTGTTCTTGTGATAGTGAGTGAATTCTCATGAGATCTGATGGTTTTAGAAGGGGCTTTTCCCCATTTTGCTCGCATTCTTCTCCTTCCTGCCACCATGTGAAGAAGAACATGTTTGCTTCCCCTTCTGCAGTAACTGTAAGTTTCCTGAGGCCTCCCCAGCCATGCTGAACTGTGAGTCAATTAAACAACTTTCCTTTATAAATTAACCAGTCTCTGGTATGTCTTTATTAGCAGCGTGAGAATGAACTAATATAAGAGTGAAGAAAATAGGTCTGAGATTTGGATAATAATACAGCTTTATATGTCATAGTGGGGAGACTTAACCTCAGACAAGTAAACACACCAAGGCTAAATTAAGTATAACAGGACATTGCAAAATGACAGCACCACTCATACCCTCAAACCTTAGAAAACCCTTAGCTCAGATGAGCTTCTGAGATACTTCTGGGTCAAACAACCAAAAGTAAAACCATCATGTATAGGTAATAGCAACGACTTCAATTTAATTTCTAAATTCCTTCTCCTAAAACCTTAATGTATTTCCTCTAAAATAATTAGCTTACCATTAAAAAGAAATATTATAGAATTCTGTATCCAGTGAATTAGAAAACTTTTTTTTTCTGTGACAGAGTCTTGCTTTGTTGCCAAGGCTGGAGTGCAGTGGCACGATCTTGGCTCACTGCAACCTCTGCCTCCTGGGTTCAAGCAATTCTCCTGCCTCAGCCTCCCGAGTAGCTAGGATTATAGGCACACACCACCACTCCCGGCTAATTTTTGTATTCTTAGTAGCAACAGGGTTTCACCATGTTGGCCAGGCTGGTCTCGAACTCTTGACCTCATGATCTGCCTGCCTTGGCCTCCTAAAGTGCTGGGATTACAGGTGTGAGCCACTGTGCCTGGCCAGAAAACATTCCTTTTTTTTTTTTTTTAAGACGGAGTCTCGCTCTGTCACCCAGACTGGAGTGCAGTGGCATGATCTCGGCTCACTGCAAGCTCCGCCTCCCGGGTTCACACCATTCTCCTGCCTCAGCCTCCCGAGTAGCTGGGACTACAGGCGTCCGCCACCATGCCCGGCTAATTTTTTGTCTTTTTAGTAGAGACGGGGTTTCACCATGTTAGCCAGGATGGTCTCGATCTCCTGACCTCGTGATCCACCCGCCTCGGCCTCCAAAAGTGCTGGGATTACAGGCATGAGCCACTGCGCCCGGCCCAGAAAACATTTCTTAACTCAGCAAATATCATTGATAGGGTATTCTGTTAGAAAAGATTAACTAAAGTAAATGACAAATACAGCAATGTTACTAAGAGGTTGAAGGGAGAAAAAAGAAGTTCCCATTAAATATACTGTTTTTCTTTTTTTTTTTTTTTGCTACAAACAACTCATGTACAAATTAATTATAAAAATGCAGGCCAGGCACAGTGGCTCACCCCTGTAATCCCAGCACTTTGGGACGCCGAGGTGGGTGGAACATTTGAGGTCAGGAATTCGAGATCAGCCTGGCCAAGATGGTGAAACCCCGTCTCTACTAAAAATACAAAAATTTGCCAGGCATGGTAGGTGCGCCTGTAGTCCCAGCTACCTGGGAGGCTGAGGCAGGAGAATCACTTGAATCCAGGTGGCAGAGGTTGCAGTGAGCCAAGATCGAGCTACTGCACTCCAACCTGGGCGACACAGCAAGACTCCATTTAAAAAAAAAAGAAAAGAATTAATCATAAAAATGCAGAAATCCGAAGAAATACCAAAGTGAAACAACTTCCTCTTGGATTTGATGGTTAATACACAAATATATAAATTTAAAATAAGTAAATCCTTCAAGCCTTTACTAGATACCTAGGTCTATTAGTTATTTAGGCAGTTGCTAAGCAACGTCCTCTTCCGTAGGGCTAAAGTGCATGAAATTAGCAGGTTTTCAGGAAAAGATAAATTGAATGAAAAATTAGGGAACAGCCAAAAGGAAAAAGCATTAACTTGCTAATTAGGCTGTAAGAGAGGTTTAGTGACTTTTAGCAATAGTTTTTATGCATTTCGTTTTCTACTAGCACCAAATGAGATGGGTACTTTAACACATTAATATTTTAATTTTATCAAAACAGTGATCATTACACCCACTTCTACACTTAAAAACTTAATTATATAATTAAGGTATTGGATCAGGATAACTGGGGTATCCTGATCCAATGCCCCAATTACTACTACTAACAATGATCTCCATAGATCCCTTTCTCTAACAGTACTGTTTTTCAAATCACCAGTTTCAGGGTATGTCACACCCCTGGGTTTGTGCTTAAAAAAATTTTGTTGTAACATGAAATCAGTAAAGATACAGCTTCATGATGCTGCTTAGAAACTACTAGATCTCTCTTTGACAAGGGCACCAAGGAGAATACACAATGGGGAAAGGATAGTCCCTCCAATAAACGGTGCTGGAAAAACTGGATCTCCACATGCAAGAGAATGAAACTGGACCCTTATCTTATACCATAACAAACATTAACGTGAAATATTTAAAGACTTAAATTTAAGACCTGAAATCACAAAACTCCTAGAAGAAAACTTAAGGGAAAAACTCCTTTACACTCATTTTGGCAATGATTTTTTGACACAAGCACAGGCAATAAAAGCAAAAATAAACACGTAGGACTACATCAAACTAAAAAGCTCTGCACAGCAAAGGAAACAGTCAACAAAATGGAAATGCAACCTAGAAAATGGAAGAAAATATTTCCAAACTATATATCTCATGAGGGATTAATATCCAAAATATTTAAAGAATTCATATAACTCAACAGCAAAACACCAAATAACCCAATTTAAAAATGGCCAAAGGACCTGAATAGATATTTTCCCAAAGAAGTCATAAATACAGCCAGCAAGTATATGAAAAGGTGCTCAACATCATTAATCATTAGGGAAATACAAATCAAAACCATGAAATATTACCTCATACCTGTTAGGATGGCCATTATTTAAAAAAAAAGAGATAACAATTGTTAGTGAGGATATGGAGAAAAGAGAACTTTTATACACTTTTGGTGGAAATGTAAATTGGCCCAGTTACTATGAAGAATAGTACAGAGGATCTTCAAATATAAAAAATGGAACTACTGCAGCAATCCAACTTCTGGATATGTAACCAAAGGTAATGAAATCAGCATAGTATCTCGAAGAGATATTTGCACTCCTACATTCGCTGCAGAATTATTCATAATGACCAAGATATAGAAATAACCTAAGCATCTGTTGATGGATGAATGGATACAAAAAAGGTGGTATATATATTTACATTTATAGATATACATAATAGAATATTATTCAGTCATAAAAAAGAAGGAAATCTTGCCCTTCATGACAACATGGATGAAGCTGGAAGACATTATGCTAAGTGAAATAAGCCAGACACAGAAAGACAAATATTATATGACTTCAGTTACAGATGGAATCTAAAAATGTCAAACTCACAGAAGCAGAGAGTAGAATGGTGGTTGCTCCTTGTCGGGGGATAAGATAGAGAGATGTTGCTCAAAGGGCCCAAATTTCAGTTATAAGATGACAAAGTTCTGAGGATCTAATATACAGTATGGTGACTACAAGTTCATGATACTCTACTGTATATTGAAGTTTGGTAAGGGAGATGTAGATTTGCTAGATCATAAGTGTTCCCACCACACACATACACACACACACACACATTAACTATATGGGGTATTGGATGTGTTAATTAGCTTGACTGTGGTAATTATTTCACAATGTATGCATCATGTTATACACCTTAAATATAAATAATTTTTATTTGTCATTTATATCTCAATAAGGTTGGGAAGGAAAGAAACTATTAGATCCCTAAAAACTTTGTTCTTTACTATAAGCATTTTGGAATAACTTTTTTTTGCAGATCTTACTATATCAATTCAATAAGTAAAGAAGAATGTTGTTTAATCTACTGGGTATAACAATGGAAACCATTAAAAAGGAAATAGGCAAATAACCGAAGGGAAAATTACTGTGGAATTTCAAATGTTGTGAAGGAAGGAGATAAAAAGTGGAATATACAGTTTTATTATTTTGAGGATTCAAGGGAAAATTCCCCACCCTACCTCTCTACTTGTCCTTTTCTTCATTTTTAAAAAATCACTTGATTTTTAATTTTTTTTTAAACAGGGTCTTGCTCTGTTATCCAGATTGGAGTGTAGTGGCATGATCACAGCTCACTGCAACCTCAACTTATCTTGCCTCAGCCTCCCAAGTACCTGGGACAGTAGGTGTGTACCACTGGGCATGGCTAAGATTTATATAAATAAAATATCCTTCCACCTCCGTCTCCCTAGTCATTTTTTAATATTGTGTTGCGAGTTGTGTAAATGGTGCCAGGATACAATTTCTAATCCCCTTACTCACTAAATCATCTCCTTCCTGATTTTCGTAAAGTCCACACTGAGCAAACCTTGATGCAAAAGCTAGTGAGGGCCATATAAGAACCACATAAAGAACCTACATTTGTGATGAATTTTGTCATGAAGGAGGTGACTTGTGTCTGGATTGTGATCATGTAATCATGCCTCCTTGTATTAATCCTGCAACCAATATACCATGTGAGCTTAGATAGTGAGGCTCTTACTTTATTTGGAAAAAAAAAAAAAAAAAAAAAAAGCATTGGACTAAATGATTGGTCAAGTCTACTGAAGTTTAACAGTCCATGACATCATTTTAAAGCATACTGCTATATAAAAATTGTTATTTCTAATTTTTTTTTAACTTTTAAGTTCAGGGGTACATGTGTAGGATGTGCAGGTTTGTTACACAGGCAAACGTGTGCCATGGGGTTTTTTTGTACAGATTATTTCATCACCCAGGTATTAAGCTTAGTATCCATTAGTTATTTTTCCTGATCCTCTCCCTCCTACCCTCTGCCCTCTGGTAGTCCCCGGTGTGTGTTGCTCCCCTCTGTGTGACCATCATTTAGCACCCACTTGTAAGTGAGAACACACAGTATTCGGTGTTAGTTTGTTAAGGATAATGGCCTCCAGCTCCATCCATGTCCCTGCAAAGGACACAATCTCATTCTTTTTTATGGCTGTATAGCATTCCATGGTATATATGTACCACATTTTCTTTTTTTTTGAGATGGAGTCTCGCTCTGTCTCCCAGGCTGGAGTGCAGTAGCACAATCTCCGCTCACTGCAACCTCTGCCTCCTGGGTTCATGCCATTCTCCTGCCTCAGCCTCCCGAGTAGCTGGGACTACAGGCACCCGCCACCACGCCTGGCTAATTTTTTTTGTATTTTTAGTAGAGATGGCGTTTCACCATGTTAGGCAAGATGGTCTCGATCTCCTGACCTCATGATCCACCCGTCTTGGCCTCCCAAAGTGCTGGGATTAAAGGCGTGAGCCACCACGCTCGGCCTCACATTTTCTTTAAACAGTCTATCACTGATGGGCATTTAAGTTGATTCCATGTCTTTGCTATTGTGAATAGTGTTGCAATGAATATACGCATGCATGTGTCTTTATAACAGAATGATTTATATTCCTTTTGTTATATAACCACTAAAGGGATTGCTGGGTCAAATGGTATTTCTGTCATTAGGTCTTTGAGGAATCGCCACACTATCTTTTCCACAATGGTTGAACTAATTTACACTCCCATCAACAGTGTAAAATATTCCTTTTTCTCAACAACCTCACCAGCATCTGTTATTTTTTGACTTTTTAATAATAGCCAGAATTGTTATTTTTCAAAGATTATTTGATCTTTAAACCTGCTCAGATGAGACATTTATTACCAGATAGTAGGATCTTTTGCTTTCTTTTTTGTTTTCCTGTAGTAATAATAAGTGTCTCAGGCCAGACTTAAGAATCCATTGTGAAGGTCTAATAGTCTAGGTAAGGATAAAAGGCCAAGAGTCAGCAAGCAGTTGGTAATGGTACACATGGCTGAACTATGACATTATAATGACCTTCATTTTATTTTCACAACCTCTAGAATTAAATATGAAAAGACTCTCCAAATCATAGAACTCAGTTGAGTCACACAGTCACATACGGAAGAGTTTTTCAATCTTGGCACTATTAGTGTTTTGGAATGGCTGACTCTTTGTTGTGGGGAGCTATCCTGTGCATTTAAAGATGCTTTGCACAATCATTGGCCTCTGCACACCAGATACCAGTAGCATCTCACAACCCAAGGTTATGGCAACCAAAATATCTTCCAGACATTGCTAAATGTCCCCTCAAGGCAAAATCACTCCCTGTTGAGGACCATGGATATACAGTATATTAAAATTACTGGTCTAGTGTGTGGCTTATGCCTGTAATTCCAATACTTTGAGAAGCCAAGGGCAGGAGGATCACTTGAGCCCAGGAGTTCAAGACCAGTATAAGTAACGTAGTGAGACCCCATCTCTACAAAAAAGTTTTAAAAAAATTAGCCAGGCATGGTGGCACATGCCTGTAATCCCAACTACTTGGGAAGCTGAGGTAGGAGGATCATCTGAGCCTGGGAGGTCAAGACTGCAATGAGTGCCACTGCATCCCAGCCTGGGTTACAAAGTGAGACCCTGCCTAAAAATACACAATAAAATAATTAAACAATAAAACAATAAAATAAAATACAATTATAGAGAGGAGTTGTTTTTCACCCCAAATTAACTTTTAACTATTAGACTCTTAAAAATATTTTTTATAATTTCAGACCAATCTGATATTGTTTCTGACCCTACTGAAAATTGTCAGTAAATGAGTCACTGAATTAGTATCTGTGAAAAACTTTCTTTTATTTTGAGAAGGTTCTTGCTCTCATAGATTACAACAAGAATACACACACTCTTAAAATTAGGAAATCACAAATCAGTTACTGACAAGTCACCTGTGGGTGTCTCATTGTTATCAATATTATTAATACATATCATTATTAATTATATGTTGGTGTAGATATTATTGAAATTCATCAATCAGTTCTATATAGCAGTATCTGTGAATTTCAGAGATAGGAGGGTTATAAAGGGTTTTCAGATTCTTATGTATTCCAATCCATGGTTTATTGATGAATTTATTATCAAAAAGATGATAACTATATTTACTCATAAATATAAGATACAATGACTTCACAGAGTATTGGAATTGGCTTTAGAGATTATTATCTAATGCCTGATTTACAGCTGGGGAAATGAAAGCCTAAGTCTTAGACAAATGAAAAAGCAAAAATAAATTTCATTTTTAAAAATTAGGAAAATAGGAAATGGAGAGGGTAGCAACAGAAGGAAGCAGATACAAAGCCAAGAGAGAAAAATGTCTCTAATGGTGTGTGCAGGGTGTGACAAACCAAAGCGTCATAAATGGCGGCTCTCAGGCCCTGGGACTCATATAGAACAAGAACAAGGGAGGTTCTGGGTATAATTTTACAGCTCTGAACAAAGTCAGTACTTCCTATCAAGGGAAGTTGTTTCTAGTGTAGACCTGTAAAAGCAGACGACAGTGGGCAGACAGAACTTCCCTGGGGCAGTGGTAGAATTCTAGGTTGACATTTTATACCACTTGATTTAACTTGAGATGTTGTTGTTTGGTTGGGTGGGAAGAAGGATGTACTGAGCATATTTTACACTTGTAAATTTTGAAAGTTTTTTTCATGTGTTTATCCTGGGGCTTTTAAACCCAAAGGTCTAACTTTTTTTTTTTTTGGAGACGGAGTCTTGCTCTGTCTCCCAGGCTGGAATGCAGTGGGGTGATCTTGACTCACTGCAACCTCCGCCTCCCAGGTTCAAGTGATTCTCCTGCTTCAGCCTCCTGAGTAGCTGGGATTACAGGTGCGCACCAGCACGCCCGGCTAATTTTAGTATTTTTAGTACAGATGGGTTTTCTCCATGTTGGCCAGTCTGGTTTCAAACTCCTGTCCTCAGGTGATCTGCCCACCTCAGCCTCCCAAAGTGCTGGGATTACAGGTGTGAGCCACTGCACCTGGCCTCAAAGGTCTAACTTTAATATAAAATACATAAAATAGCAAAGTAAAAGGTATGTCCAGTAAAACAGTGGTTGACCTTTGGATGCTTCTGTTCAGTTTTAGTTGTATTTTAAAACTGTCCAGGTATTCCAATGTGTAATTGGTTAGTCTAATCTGAGAATATTTGTATGGGGCTAGAAGTATATAATATTTTAAAAATAAGAGCACAAGTTGTCTTACTTTCTTTTCTTTTCTTTTTTTTTTTTTTTTATTGAGAGGGAGTCTTGTTCTGTCACCCAGGCTGGAGTGCAGTGGCACGATCTTGGTTCACTGCAACTTCCGCCTCCTGTGTTCAAGCAATTCTCTGCCTCAGCCTCCCGAGTAGCTGGGACTACAGGTGCCCGCCACCACACCCGGCTAATTTTTTGTAGTTTTAGTAGAGATGGGGTTTCACCATCTTGGCCAGGCTGGTCTTGAACTCCTGACCTTGTGATCCACTCGCCTTGGCCTCCCAAAGTGCTGGGATTACAGGCGTGAGCCACTGCGTCCAGCTTGTCTTTCCATTTTAACTGGCCAACTGAAAAAGCTACGCTCTGCCAGTACAAACAAAAATAAGTCATTGCATGAACACCAAGCCATCATTAAAAATAGGCTTAAAGAAACTTCAAATACTAAAAAGTAGTTTATATAACTTTACCTTTTCAAGTGGGACTTCAGTTAAATTCAAGAGAACACACAAGTTGCTAAGTGCTTTCTATGTACAAAGCAGAGTGCTACACATCTGGGGTAGCAGAATGAAAAACTCAAGAACTCATATTTCTGTAAATAGTCTATAGTAACAAACTGAAATTTCTATACATAATAAAAATAAGTGAGTTAATCCCACATTCTCCACACACACAAAAATACCTTTTAATCTAAATCCATTTCAAAATTTCTTTGACTTGAGACTTTCTTTTCAAAAACCTGCTTTAAACAGGCTCTCAAGAGCCATGTCTTTGTTTAATAGGGGCAGAAAATGAGGCCCATAGAAGTGGAATGCTTACTTAAGGATCCTATGAAATCACAGGTGGAATTTAGACTTATGTAAGAGCTGGACAGGCCCTCTGGAGTCCTCTAACTTAACTGCTTATGTCAAAGGCCTGGTATCACATAGCTATTCAGTGGCAAAATTAAGATGTGTAGCAGCCCTTCTGACTCTTAAGCAAAGGCCCTCATGGAAACTAAAACCATGTCTTGCCCTTGGTTTATGTCTAGGATACAGTTATTCCTAGTGTTCCACAGAGCACAACTGAACTCTTGGAGCTAAATAAGGTGGGAAGAAGCTTCCTCCAGTGTCTTTCAGACTGGGGAAGCTCTAAGCTTGAATGGGGCCATCAGAGTGGTGGTCTACCTGGCTGCCTGGTTCAGATTTGCTATGACCCTCCAGAACAAGGCAGAAAATAGATTGGTCTCTACTACTAGAATATATGACCTACGCTCAATGGTAATTTGACTTCCTACACTTAATATAAAATCAGGTTCCTGATTTTATGTAATTTGTTCTTTATTGAGAATATCATAGGGAAAATCTAACTTGAAAAGGGTTTACATAGGAAAGAAAGAGGGAGCACTAAAAAAGGCATTTATGGGCTGGGTGTGGTGGCTCACTCCTGTAATCCCAGCACTTTGGGAAGCCGAGGCGGGTGGATCACTTGAGGTCAGGAGTTCGAGACCAGCCTGGCCAACATGGCGAAACCCTGTCTCTACTAAAAATACAAAAACTAGCCAGATGCGGTGGTACGTGCCTGTAATCCCAGCTACTCAGGAGGCTGAGGCAAGAGAATCACTTGAATCCTGGGGGCAGAGGTTACAGTGAGCCAAGATCACTGCGCTCCAGCCTGGGTGACAGAGTGAGACAACGTCTCAAAAAAAAAAAAAAAAAAAAAAAAAAAAAAAAAAAAAAAAAAAAAGCATTTATATTGAGTCTATTGCAGTTATAATTTAAAAGGTAAAAGTTTTTTTTTCAAATTCACTGGTGGAATCTATAAATCTATCACTCATTTCCTGCTTGCTTAGGCCCTTAAGGGTCTAATTGATTTCCTGAGCTGAAACTAGGTAATGGAAAATACTTAGAATAATAATCATCCAGTGAGATGGGCATTTGGCATCTATGAACCCAAAATATATTCTTGCTCATAATTCCCTTCAGTAATTTATATGGTTTCTAAAGGAATAATCTCACCTTTACAATGAAAGGTCTTCGCTTAATAAAACACAGTAAGGCATTTCCCCTAGTGTTTTATGAATAAGGGCACGCCTCTGTGACATTCTCTAGCCTCAACACCTATGTAATATAAGGCCTGGAAGTGTATTACCTGCTTTCCTGCCAAACTATTCATTCATGAAGTCAATGAACAAAAAATAAAAACAAAAACATGAGGTCAATATTATTACTGTGACAAATCTGAGATTTTCATATTTAAGTGATGGAAATCTGTTATTTAAGCTTATTATACCACCTATTTGCAATACTGTCCCAAAGCTGCAGAGGCCCAAATTAGTTAAGGCAAACTACAGTGTGCTGATGCTGGATGTACTATGGGCAGCCTGCAATCTGACATTCATTATACTTCTCAAAGTCTCATTCCCACCAATTTCTTTATCACTGTGGACTGTACATCATTATTGACCATAAGCATTCCTCTGTCACATCTGTTGTAAGATGCAGGGTCCAAACTGTATTTAGCCTAGGAGAAGCATTATTCAGAATATAAACATGCCAGAGGAAAACTCCAAATGCAGAGAGAGCCAAACATGACTTTGAGGTGATCTGTACCATACTTCCCTTTCCTTTAGCAAAGCTCATCAAGAGATAGCTTAGAAAATAGTCTACCAGAGCCAGGTTTGGGCTTTGGAACAAAGCTAGCCTTTTTGTTTTTTTTGTTTTTTTGAGATGGAGTGGAGTCTCGCTCTGTCGCCCAGGCTGGAGTGCAGTGGCGCCATCTCGGCTCACCGCAACCTCCACCTCCCAGGTTCAAGCAATTCTCCTGTCTCAGCCTCCCGAGTAGCTGGGACTACAGGTGTGCGCCACCATGCCTGGCTAATTTTTTGTATTTTTAGTAGAGACAGGGTTTCACCGTGTTAGCCAGGATAGTCTTGATCTCCTGACCTTGTGATCCACCTGCCTCAGCCTCCCAAAGTGCTGGGATTACAGGCGTGAGCCACTGCAACCAGCCCAAAGCTAGCCTTTGAAATGAGACCTAGGTTTAAGGAACTCAGCTCACACAGCTCACTTATGAGTTATATATAACTCTGAAACCTAAGCCCAGAAGATTTCAATTTCTTTTAAAATAATATCTGTAAAATATGGTTTATACAGAAAATAAAGCTCAGTATAATATATAATTTGACTAGATGATGTCAATCATGTTTTACTGGATGTTAAAAAAAAAAAAAACAACCCAGCCTCCTTTCTTTCAAGTGGCATTCTTATCATATTATGCAAATTATTACCTTTTTATAATTGAGACACCAATCAGTGATAAAGCCATTTTATGTGTTTTGGCACAGAGCATTAATATAATTTTTGCTACTCTAAATGCCTCAATCCACAACAGAATCAGCAATAATGCAGTTTCATTCCTTTTAGAAACATTAAAAACAAAACAAAGCAAAATATTTAATTTCATTTCCTAAAGATAAATAACAAACTTCTGCTAAAAATGATCAATATTATCTTTAAAGAAACTTGATTATCCTAACAATATAGAAACATTTTTCTACTAGTGATACTCCTTTACAGTCATTAAAATCAGTTGTTTAAATTTTTCTTCATGGGTTCTACTTTTTTTTGTTTTTATTTTTTTTTTTGAGACCAAATCTTGCTCTGTCACCCAGGCTGGAGTGCAGTGGCATGATCTCAGCTCACTGCAGCCTCTGTCTCCTGGGTTCAAGTGATTCTCTTGCCTCAGCCTCCTGAGTAGCTGGGATTACAGGCCCATGCCAACACGCCCAGCTAATTTTTTTGTATTTTTAGTAGCGATGGGGTTTCACTATGTTGGCCAGGCTGGTCTCGAACTCCTGGCCTCAAGTGATCAGCCCGCCTCAGCCTCCCAAATTGCTGGGATTACAGGTGTGAGCCACCATGCCCAGCCGAGTTCCACTTTTATCACAGATAAATCTTTTTATAATACACTGCACATAAGGCAGAAGCATTCCTTGACCTCAGCAGGCTTACAACAAGTCCCTGAAGTCATCTAAGAAAGAAAAAACTGGACCATGTAACTTACTGGCAAAAAGAAAAAGCATCACAACTCAGTAACAGAGAGTCACAGTCTTATTGCACTTGATGATGGATGCTATGGACTCCTGATGCTGACTTGCAGCATTTCTGTTGTGTGCTTTTCTACTCAGAATGTGAAGTGATGGGAATCACAGAAGCAATTCCCCACACTCTTGAATCCTCCGACACTCTTCAGAAACCTTAACCAATATGTTTCTTCTCTGTGGTTCTCAAAGTTACTTTTTTCAGGTAAAAGTTTACAAAAGTACTATCAATTAAATAAAAAGTAAATAATAGCTTTCCACACTGTTAAATTAAAAGAATTAATTGAAAGGTAAGTTCTAGTGTATAGCAACTTAAAAGGTAAACTACCTTTATTCAGTCTTGGATAAAACTGCCAATGGAACAAAATTGGGTTAATTTAAGTGAAACTCTAGAAAAACTAAGGTAGTCAAAGAATTCCAGTGTTACTTGATTGCACTATCATATCAGAAATTTCTCTCATGACCATTTAAATCCAGGTCACATAAACCCAGGAATTTTTAGAAAGGTAGGAGTTAATTTCCTAAGACATCCAAAGAAAAGGCCAGGTGTTGTGGCACACATTGTAATCCCAACACTTTGGGAAGCTGAGGTGGGAGGACTGCTAGAGCCCAGGAGTTCGAGACCAGCCTGGGCAACCACAGAGAGACTCTGTCTCTATCAAAAAAAATTAAAAAAAAAAAAAGCTGTGCATGGTGGTGCGTGTCTGTAGCCAAGCTACTCAGGAGACTGAGATGGGAAGATTGCTTGAGCCTGGAAGGTCAAGGTTGCAGTAAGTGGTGATTGTACTCCAGCATGGGCGACAGAGCAAGGCCCTGTCTCAAAAAAAAAGAAAGAAATGGCAACTTCTTCATTGAAAATACAAGATTATTTAAAACAGAAATGCTAAAAAATTGCTTCTAAAGACTGAGACAGATATAAAAAATTCATTCTCTGCACAATTGGAGAAAGTAATGAAAAGACAGCAGAGCATATTCTACTTATGGCACCAATGGAAACGATGCAGCCTCTGGCTGACACATGACACTGTTCCACCGGCTCTGCAGCTTCTTTGGCACTACCCATCACACCCAGACTGGAGGGAATATGGCTCCCATCTCTAAAGCCTCTGAAAGCCCACATGTATTAAAGTTTTAGAACATAATTTTGCTCTATTAGTTTCTACTCCTATATAACATATTTAGCAGCTGAAAACAATATCCATTTATTATCTCACATCCCCATAGGTCAGGAGTCCCAAGTGGGCTCTGCTCAGGGTATCACAAAGCTGAAATCAAGATGCCTGTTGGGCTGGACTCTCATCTGGAGACTGGGGAAGAATCCACTCTCAACCTCTTTCAGGTTTTTGACAGAGCTAGTAGTTCCTTGAGGTTGCAAGGATTTGGCCAGTTCCCTTGCTAGCTGTCAGCTGGGAGCTGCCCTCAGCTCCTCAAAACTACTTGCCTTCTTTCTCAAGTGGTCTCCTCCACTTTCAAAGCAGCTATTGCACACTGAGTCCTTCTCATACTTCCAATCTCTTTGACTTTCCTTCCTGCCATTAGCCAAAGAAAGCTCTCTGCTTTCAAGGCTCATATGATTCGATTAGGCCCACTCAGATAATGTAGGCTTGAATTTCCTATTTTAATGTCAACTGTGCCATATGGCAAAACATAATCACAGAATCAGTAATAGAGCATCATATTCATCATGATTCCAGGAATTACGGTGGGACATCTTTGGGGAAGGGAGGTATTTAAGAAATTATGCCTACTACATTTACTGAAAACGTAAGGTAAACATAATAACAAAAGCCAAACAGTGTTGTCAACTTGTTCAAATGTAAAACAAAGATGTTCTAAATTCCTCATACTTGGATGAGTACCATATGCAAATGGTACAAAACACAAAAGGTATAAAAGATATACAGGAAAAAGCAAGACTTCTTTCTAATAATGTCCCTCAGTCCCAGTTCTGTTCCCTGGGAATAATAACTGTTTACTAGTTTCTCATGTGTCCTTCCAGAGATATCCACATTTATTAAAGCATATGTATTTGGGAAGACTGAGTTGATTTATTCCTGAAAGGTTTGGTAGAATTCTCCTGTTAAATCACCAAGGCCTCAGTAGAAGAAAGTTATTCTAGGGTACCCCGGAGGTTTCCTGCACTGGTGTTCCCACGTGTGGCGTAAACCTGAGGGCATCATGTTATGAGGAGATGGGGGCTGCAGTGACTCGCAGGATCAGGAATTTCAACCTAGAGAACTGAGAGGAATGGGAAATCAACAAGATGAAGCCCCCTCCCAATCCCAGACACCCCTCTACCAACAGCCTCCTGCAAGAGCAGATTAGTTTCTATCCAGAAATTAAGGGAGAGATTGCTCATAAAGATGACAAGCTGCTGTCATTTCTAAAAGATGTGTATGTTGATTCCAAAGATCCTGTGTCTTCCATGCAGGTAAAAGCTGCTGAAAGATGTCAAGAGCTGAAAGAATTCAGATTGCCTTTTGGCCATCACTTTAATATGATAAATATTAAGATCATTCCCAAAGGCAAAATTTCCATTGTAGAAGCATTGACACTTCTCAATAATCATAAACTTTATCCAGAAACATGAACTGCTGAGAAAATAGCCCAAGAATACCATTTAGAACAGAAAGATGCGAATTCAGAAGTCGAAATCTCCTGAAGACAAGAAAGCAATACAATCAAAATGAAGAAAATCACAACAAATTCCTAAGTGTACTTCTCATCCTGTATATTTTCTCATTTTTCACATATTAAATTGTGTTAATTACCATGTGTTTAATGCTAATTGTGAGAGCATACTCTTAATATTTATTGACCTCCCTGACTTTTCAGGATTGCCATAGAATGTATTTTGTTTTCTTTTAATTTGGCATAGGCATATTTTATATGTACATGTCAGCATGACTAATCACTACATCTGTACCTTTATTATAAGTAAAAGAGCGTGTTATTTTAGGCACATCATACCAACTTTTAAATTCGTCATATGGCCCCTTGGGAAATATCCTGAATCCCTCATTTAAGTTTTACTGTCCAGTTTAGGTGTTTAGTTCATTCTTCATATGTGATAGTGAAAGTAAAAGCTTTCCTGACTCTTAAGACTGTGACATTTTCAAGATGGCCGAATAGGAACAGCTCCGGTCTACAGCTCCCAGCGTGAGCCACGCAGAAGACGGGTGATTTCTGCATTTCCATCTGAGGTACCGGGTTCATCTCACTAGGGAGTGCCAGACAGTGGGCGCAGGCCAGTGGGTGCACGCACCGTGCGCGAGCCGAAGCAGGGCGAGGCATTGCCTCACCTGGGAAGCGCAAGGGGTCAGGGAGTTCCCTTTCTGAGTCAAAGAAAGCGGTGACGGACGCACCTGGAAAATCGGGTCACTCCCACCCGAATATTGCGCTTTTCAGACCGGCTTAAAAAACGGCGCACCACGAGACTATATCCCACACCTGGCTCGGAGGGTCCTACGCCCACGGAATCTCGCTGATTGCTAGCACAGCAGTCTGAGATCAAACTGCAAGGCGGCAGCGAAGCTGGGGGAGGGGCGCCCGCCATTGCCCAGGCTTGCTTAGGTAAACAAAGCAGCCGGGAAGCTCGAACTGGGTGGAGCCCACCACAGCTCAAGGAGGCCTGCCTGCCTCTGTAGGCTCCACCTCTGGGGGCAGGGCACAGACAAACAAAAAGACAGCAGTAACCTCTGCAGACTTAAATGTCCCTGTCTGACAGCTTTGAAGAGAGCAGTGGTTCTCCCAGCAAGCAGCTGGAGATCTGAGAACGGGCAGACTGCCTCCTCAAGTGGGTCCCTGACCCCTGACCCCCGAGCAGCCTAACTGGGAGGCACCCCCCAGCAGGGGCAAACTGACACCTCACACTGCAGGGTATTCCAACAGACCTGCAGCTGAGGGTCCTGTCTGTTAGAAGGAAAACTAACAAACAGAAAGGACATCCACACCAAAAACCCATCTGTACATCACCATCATCAAAGACCAAAAGTAGATAAAACCACAAAGATGGGGAAAAAACAGAACAGAAAAACTGGAAACTCTAAAACGCAGAGCGCCTCTCCTCCTCCAAAGGAACGCAGTTCCTCACCAGCAACGGAACAAAGCTGGATGGAGAATGATTTTGACGAGCTGAGAGAAGAAGTCTTCAGACGATCAAATTACTCTGAGCTACGGGAGGACATTCAAACCAAAGGCAAAGAAGTTGAAAACTTTGAAAAAAATTTAGAAGAATGTATAACTAGAATAACCAATACAGAGAAGTGCTTAAAGGAGCTGATGGAGCTGAAAACCAAGGCTCGAGAACTACGTGAAGAATGCAGAAGCCTCAGGAGCCGATGCGATCAACTGGAAGAAAGGGTATCAGCAATGGAAGATGAAATGAATGAAATGAAGCGAGAAGGGAAGTTTAGAGAAAAAAGAATAAAAAGAAATGAGCAAAGCCTCCAAGAAATATGGGACTATGTGAAAAGACCAAATCTACGTCTGATTGGTGTACCTCAAAGTGATGTGGAGAATGGAACCAAGTTGGAAAACACTCTGCAGGATATTACCCAGGAGAACTTCCCCAATCTAGCAAGGCAGGCCAACGTTCAGACTCAGGAAATACAGAGAACGCCACAAAGATAATCCTCGAGAAGAGCAACTCCAAGACACATAATTGTCAGATTCACCAAAGTTGAAATGAAGGAAAAAATGTTAAGGGCAGCCAGAGAGAAAGGTCGGGTTACCCTCAAAGGGAAGCCCATCAGACTAACAGCAGATCTCTCGGCAGAAACCCTACAAGCCAGAAGAGAGTGGGGGCCAATATTCAACATTCTTAAAGAAAAGAATTTTCAACCCAGAATTTCATATCCAGCCAAACTAAGCTTCAAAAGTGAAGGAGAAATAAAATACTTTACAGACAAGCAAATGCTGAGAGATTTTGTCACCACCAGGCCTGCCCTAAAAGAGCTCCTGAAGGAAGCACTAAACATGGAAAGGAACAACCGGTACCAGCCGCTGCAAAATCATGCCAAAATGTAAAGACCATCTATGCTGAGAAGAAACTGCATCAACTAACGAGCAAAATCACCAGCTAACATCATAATGACAGGATCAAATTCACACATAACAATATTAACTTTAAATGTAAATGGACTCAATTCTCCAATTAAAAGACACAGACTGGCAAGTTGGATAAAGAGTCAAGACCCAACAGTGTGCTGTATTCAGGAAACCCATCTCACGTGCAGAGACACACATAGGCTCAAAATAAAAGGATGGAGGAAGATCTACCAAGCAAATGGAAAACAAAAAAAGGCAGGGGTTGCAATCCTAGTCTCTGATAAAACAGACTTTAAACCAACAAAGATCAAAAGAGACAAAGAAGGCCATTACATAATGGTAAAGGGATCAATTCAACAAGAGGAACTAACTATCCTAAATATATATGCACCCAATACAGGAGCACCCAGATTCATAAAGCAAGTCCTGAGTGACCTACAAAGAGACTTAGACTCCCACACATTAATAATGGGAGACTTTAACACCCCACTGTCAACATTAGACAGATCAATGAGACAGAAAGTCAACAAGGATACCCAGGAATTGAACTCAGCTCTGCACCAAGCGGACCTAACAGACATCTACAGAACTCTCCACCCCAAATCAACAGAATATACATTTTTTTCAGCACCACACCACACCTATTCCAAAATTGACCACATAGTTGGAAGTAAAACTCTCCTCAGCAAATGTAAAAGAACAGAAATTATAACAAACTATCTCTCAGACCACAGTGCAATCAAACTAGAACTCAGGATTAAGAATCTCACTCAAAGCCACTCAACTACATGGAAACTGAACAACCTGCTCCTGAATGACTACTGGGTACGTAACGAAATGAAGGCAGAAATAAAGATGTTCTTTGAAACCAACGAGAACAAAGACACAACATACCAGAATCTCTGGGAGGCATTCAAAGCAGTGTGTAGAGGGAAATTTATAGCACTAAATGCCCACAAGAGAAAGCGGGAAAGATCCAAAATTGACACCCTAACATCACAATTAAAAGAACTAGAAAAGCAAGAGCAAACACATTCAAAAGCTAGCAGAAGGCAAGAAATAACTAAAATCAGAGCAGAACTGAAGGAAATAGAGACACAAAAAACCCTTCAAAAAATCAATGAATCCAGGAGCTGGTTTTTTGAAAGGATCAACAAAATTGATAGACCGCTAGCAAGACTAATAAAGAAGAAAAGAGAGAAGAATCAAATAGACACAATAAAAAATAATAAAGGGGATATCACCACCGATCCCACAGAAATACAAACTACCATCAGAGAATACTACAAACACCTCTACACAAATAAACTAGAAAATCTAGAAGAAATGGATACATTCCTCGACACATACACTCTCCCAAGACTAAACCAGGAAGAAGTTGAATCTCTGAATAGACCAATAACAGGAGCTGAAATTGTGGCAATAATCAGTAGTTTACCAACCAAAAAGAGTCCAGGACCAGATGGATTCACAGCTGAATTCTACCAGAGGTACAAGGAGGAACTGGTACCATTCCTTCTGAAACTATTCCAATCAATAGAAAAAGAGGGAATCCTCCCTAACTCATTTTATGAGGCCAGCATCATTCTGATACCAAAGCCGGGCAGAGACACAACCAAAAAAGAGAATTTTAGACCAATATCCTTGATGAACATTGATGCAAAAATCCTCAATAAAATACTGGCAAACCGAATCCAGCAGCACATCAAAAAGCTTATCCACCATGATCAAGTGGGCTTCATCCCTGGGATGCAAGGCTGGTTCAATATACGCAAATCAATAAATGTAATCCAGCATATAAACAGAGCCAAAGACAAAAACCACATGATTATCTCAATAGATGCAGAAAAAGCCTTTGACAAAATTCAACAACCCTTCATGCTAAAAACTCTCAATAAATTAGGTATTGATGGGATGTATTTCAAAATAATAAGAGCTATCTATGACAAACCCACAGCCAATATCATACTGAATGGGCAAAAACTGGAAGCACTCCCTTTGAAAACTGGCACAAGACAGGGATGCCCTCTCTCACCGCTCCTATTCAACATAGTGTTGGAAGTTCTGGCCAGGGCAATCAGGCAGGAGAAGGAAATAAAAGGTATTCAATTAGGAAAAGAGGAAGTCAAATTGTCCCTGTTTGCAGACGACATGATTGTTTATCTAGAAAACTCCATCATCTCAGCCCAAAATCTCCTTAAGCTGATAAGCAACTTCAGCAAAGTCTCAGGATACAAAATCAATGTACAAAAATCACAAGCATTCTTATACACCAATAACAGACAAACAGAGAGCCAAATCATGAGTGATCTCCCATTCACAATTGCTTCAAAGAGAATAAAATACCTAGGAATCCAACTTACAAGGGATGTGAAGGACCTCTTCAAGGAGAACTACAAACCACTGCTCAAGGAAATAAAAGAGGATACAAACAAATGGAAGAACATTCCATGCTCATGGGTAGGAAGAATCAATATCGTGAAAATGGCCATACTGCCCAAGGTAATTTACAGATTCAATGCCATCCCCATCAAGCTACCAATGACTTTCTTCACAGAATTGGAAAAAACTACTTTAAAGTTCATATGGAACCAAAAAAGAGCCCGCATCGCCAAGTCAATCCTAAGCCAAAAGAACAAAGCTGGAGGCATCACGCTACCTGACTTCAAACTATACTTCAAGGCTACAGTAACCAAAACAGCATGGTACTGGTACCAAAACAGAGATATAGATCAATGGAACAGAACAGAGCCCTCAGAAATAACGCCGCATACCTACAACTATCTGATCTTTGACAAACCTGAGAAAAACAAGCAATGGGGAAAGGATTCCCTATTTAATAAATGGTGCTGGGAAAACTGGCTAGCCATATGTAGAAAGCTGAAACTGGATCCCTTCCTTACACCTTATACAAAAATCAATTCAAGATGGATTAAAGATTTAAACGTTAGACCTAAAACCATAAAAACCCTAGAAGAAAACCTAGGCATTACCATTCAGGACATAGGTGTGGGCAAGGACTTCATGTCCAAAACACCAAAAGCAATGGCAACAAAAGCCAAAATTGACAAATGGGATCTAATTAAACTAAAGAGCTTCTGCACAGCAAAAGAAACTACCATCAGAGTGAACAGGCAACCTACAACATGGGAGAAAATTTTCGCAACCTACTCATCTGACAAAGGGCTAATATCCAGAATCTACAATGAACTCGAACAAATTTACAAGAAAAAAACAACCCCATCAAAAAGTGGGCGAAGGACATGAACAGACACTTCTCAAAAGAAGACATTTATGCAGCCAAAAAACACATGAAAAAATGCTCATCATCACTGGCCATCAGAGAAATGCAAATCAAAACCACTATGAGATATCATCTCACACCAGTTAGAATGGCGATCATTAAAAAGTCAGGAAACAACAGGTGCTGGAGAGGATGTGGAGAAATAGGAACACTTTTACACTGTTGGTGGGACTGTAAACCAGTTCAACCATTGTGGAAGTCAGTGTGGCGATTCCTCAGGGATCTAGAACTAGAAATACCATTTGACCCAGCCATCCCATTACTGGGTATATACCCAAATGACTATAAATCATGCTGCTATAAAGACACATGCACACGTATGTTTATTGCGGCATTATTCACAATAGCAAAGACTTGGAACCAACCCAAATGTCCAACAATGATAGACTGGATTAAGAAAATGTGGCACATATACACCATGGAATACTATGCAGCCATAAAAAATGATGAGTTCATGTCCTTTGTAGGGACATGGATGAAACTGGAAACCATCATTCTCAGTAAACTATCGCAAGAACAAAAAACCAAACACCGCATATTCTCCCTCATAGGTGGGAATTGAACAATGAGATCACATGGACACAGGAAGGGGAATATCACACTCTGGGGACTGTTGTGGGGTGGGGGGAGAGGGGAGGGATAGCATTGGGAGATATACCTAATGCTAGATGACGAGTTAGTGGGTGCAGCACACCAGCATGGCACATGTATACATATGTAACTAACCTGCACAATGTGCACATGTACCCTAAAACTTAAAGTATAAAAAAAAAAAAAAAAAAGACTGTGACATTTTCTTGTTAGGGAAAGAGACTTGATAGTGAGGTAGACTAACAGTATTTCCCAAATAAAGGCACAGAGGAAAAAATTACGAATCAGTAGAATCTAATTAAAATTACTACTCCAGGGAGTAAGAAGTATCGAGGATTTATTTTATTTTGAATTGGTTTTAAGTATGGAATAATTGTTTTTACAGTTATAAAAAGTAATTAGTGGTGTTTACAAAATGTTGGGAATTTTTGCTTTGACAAACAAATAGGTAAGTCCCATGGCCTTCAGAGAGGCAGGCAGCAGTAGAAACTTTCGAAAAAGTAACATTTCTCTGGATTTAACATGGAAATAGAAAAATTTAAAGAATAATTAAATAAGAAAATGATGGTAAATGAAATTTAGTGATTATATATAGTTTTGGATGTTAATGCTAGTTGAGAGACGAGAGAAAAAACATCAAGTGGAAGCAGAGAACAGGATCACTGAAAGGGACCTGAGAAACTGCTGCTTCATCCATTTTAGCAAACTTATGAGCATACCATGTACCAGCACTAGGATCTTGAGTAAGATTGTGTGAGTTTAGCTCTGCCTAATATATTACTATTGTGGGATCTTTGGGAGACTGTGTATCCTCTTTGAGACTGAATTTCTTCTATAAAATGAGCATACTGCTACCTTACTTAAATTTAAGGGTTATCATGAAGATAAATGAAACAGTAAAGGACTACAAAGGGCCAAGCAAATATGAATTATTTATGCAGTGGAGAAACAGGCTCCTGGGGAGAATATATGATCTATGGTTCTGTAGTTTATGACCTAACCAGGCCCAGAATTTAGGTTTTCAAATCCTAGTAATGAGTTTTTTCTGTTGTGCCAAAAAGTAGCACACCTCAGGAGAGGGAAAATGTGTGTACTGTGGGTATATTGGGGTTATCAGTGCTTCTGAAGGAAGACAGGCATCACTACTTCCCAGAGATGCCCCTGGAAATGATATAGAAGATGCTGAAGAATTCAACATGATGACGGAAGGAGGCATTTGTAGTAATGCTAAGAACAGAAAAATGGACTAAGTGGAAAATTTGTAAGCATGTCTTTGAATGTAGATTTGTTATATGAACAAACTATATACCTAGTTTATTTTTGGTTTAACATAATAATTCTTTTGAGAAAACATGAAATAACTACTCAATATAAAACGCATTTTAAAACTGCTATAAATCAGTCAAAACTTTATTCCTTTTATCATAATGGTCACTATTTGAGTCACTAGTGCTATTTCTGAGCCATCTCCTATTGGCATCTACATTGTGGTTAGGCAGCTGTTATATGGTTTCACATGACAAAATAAAGGACTTCCTATATCAAAAAAAAAAAAGAAAGTTATTCTGTGCTAATAGTTTAGATTTTCTAGTTATCTAAAGTTAGTATTTATTTTTTCAATTTTCCTAGAAAATCATCCATTTCTTCTAGGTTCTCAAATTAATTTGCACAGGATTGAACAAAATATTTTCTTAGGATTCTCTTCTTTTCTATTTTTATCATTTCCCCATTATTTCTTGGTTTATGCCCTTTCCTGTCTACTTTTTGATTTTATAAACTTAATATCATATTTTTAAAAAATCAGCTCTTTTATTTAGCTGATCAATTTTTGTCTAATTTATAACTTTTATTCCCTTCTTCTGCTTTTTTATGTTTATTGATAATTTTTCTAACTTTGAGTTAGATATTTAATGGAGTTATTTTCTTTCTTCATTAAGATAAGTGCCTCTGAACTCTATTTTAGCTCCATCTCACAAGTTCTGATATGTATTGTTTTCATTATGCTTTTGTTTTAGATTTTCTATAACTTGTTTGGTTTCTTCTGATCTAAGAATTATTTTAGTAGGAAATTTAAAATGTCCAGGTGATGATATTCTTTTTCCTAAGTTCTACTTTTATTGCAATGAGATCACAGAATGCTGTATATATTTACTTTGCCTTTTGAAATTCTTTGAAATTTTCTTTATGGTCTATTTTTGTGAATGTTTTATTTGACATTCTTAGTTTTCAGGATACAAAGCTTGACAATCTCAAATATTGACTTCATTATTTTATTTGGGTTTTCTTTCTCTTAGTTGTTGTCCACTTGATCTCTTATGAACTAAGAGAAGTGAATAAACATTCTTATCACTACTATGTAACTATTATTCTTTATATTTTCTGTAGTTTCTGCTTTATGGATGTTTAATGCTATACTGTTGCTTTGAATTATTCCTCATTGCCTTATTTAAAACTTTTCCACTAAATTCAATCTTGTCTGACAGTAAAGATATAATCTCTACTTTTTTCTTTGTGTTTCCCATGTTTTCCATCTTGTCTGTGTGATTCCTCATTGAGTCTATTACCCTTCTTCTTCTTTTTTTTTTTTTATTTTTTTTTTTGAGACAGATTCTCACTCTGTCACCCAGGCTGGAATGCAATGGCTCAATCTCAGCTCACTGCAACCTCCACCTCCCAGGTTCAAGCAATTCTCCTGCCTCAGTCTCCCAAGTAGCTGGGATTACAGGTGCCTGCCACCACGCCCAGCTAAATTTTTTTCTTTTTTTTTGTTTTTTTTTTTTTGTATTTTTAGTAGAGACAGGGTTTTGAGCTCCTGACCTCAGGTGATCCGCACGCCTCAGCCTCCCAAAGTGCTGGGATTACAGGCGTGAGTCACCGTGCCCAGCACCCCCGCTTTCTTCTTTATACCCTAGGAAGGCCAAGAAAGCTCCTGCTGCTAGTACACAAATCCTATCCCATAAACTGGGCATTATTGGTTTTGCCCCCTAGAAAGTTCTGCCAGCTTTGTGTGAGATCTGCAGCTGTGGGCATTTTTAACTGCATTTATCATTCTTCATCACATTTTGTAGTCTGGAGTTGTGCATATATCTTTCTTTGAAGATAGGGTTCATGTTTCTACCATGTTGCTCTCCCAGTGCAGTTGGATAATTTGTAAGGGAGAAGGAAAATAATGCTGTAATCTTTGTTCTGTCATTTTAAAAATCAGAATCTAGAATTTATTTTTTGCCAATTCTCCTCCTCTATCCCATACTCTATGTCATGCTTTCTGGCCAAATGCTATGCTGTTCTGTGCTCTGCAGATGTTCTGATGTTCTAGATAACAGTATGTTCTGGTCCTTAGTCCCCTAAATGTGAATGGCCTATCTAATATAGTATAATAGTTCAGCTTTCCTTAGTTCTGATGACCAACATTATGCATATATTATCTGGTTCCTTGAAATTCCTCCCATAGTTTCTTGGCTGTTCTACACTGTCTATATCTATCTCTCCCAGAAATTTCTGGAAATCCGACTCTTGTCTCTAACTTGTATCTCTCTCTTCAGTTCAGTTTAGTCTGCCTGAAAAAATATTTTTACCAGGCAGTTCAAAGCTGCTGCTAAACCTTAAGACAGAACCATAGCTGGGCCACATTATGTACTCAATAGTGTTTCACCTATTATATACAGAGCCCTCTCCTGGGAATTGGTGAGGCACACCAAGATGAGTGCTTCAGGAACTCAAAATCTAATAGGGGAGAAAGAAAAAATATTGTTCTGAAGCTATTTTGCTAAATGCACATTTCCACGTAGTCTCCTCAATGCCAACATGTGCTATTAGTGTTAGCCATCTTTCTCTGAGCCCTCCCTGTAATGCATCACCTCTCTTAAACAATTAGGATTATATACGTTACTTTTTCCTATTCAAGGTCAATATATTCTTGGGTGGCCACAAAACTGCTATTGTTCATCAGTCCTTGCCTTGGTTACAGAGCTAAAATAATAAACACTGAACTCATAGAACAGCTGTATAAATTAGGATCCTTTGACCACAAAGAATAGAGACTCAGTAAAGTTGTCTCAAGTATCTGTGTGTGGATGTGCATGTGAGAGGGGTAACTGGGAACAGCTATTGTAAGGTTTCACATGAAAATAAGGAACAAAGGTATGTTTTGTGGCTAGGCCTTATGGGAACTCATGGAAAGTAGTTTAACCAGGTCTCATGAAAAGTATAGGAACACAGATGGAGAATTTCAAGTTGTTCAGAATCCAATAGATAAGTAATGATGTAATTAGTTCTTTATCCCCTTGGCAGCAATTTGTTGACCATCCTCTTCCCCCACAGATACAATTTAAATATATGTATCTACCCCCACCCCTACCAACACACACACACACACACACACACACACGTAAAAAAGTTCATGACTTAGCTCATACTTACTTGTCACTCTTGCTTATTCATGGCTTCTACTGACTCATGTCATTTTTTTTTTTTTTTTTTTTTTTTTTTTTTTTTTTTTGAGACGGAGTCTCGCTTTGTCGCCCAGGCTGGAGTGCAGTGGTGCGATCTCGGCTCACTACAAGCTCCGCCTCCCGGGTTCACGCCATTCTCCCGCCTCAGCCTCTCCGAGTAGCTGGGACTACAGGCGCCCGCCAGCAAGCCCGGCTAATTTTTTGTATTTTTAGTAGAGACGGGGTTTCACTGTGGTCTCGATCCCCTGACCTCGTGATCCGCCCGCCTCGGCCTCCCAAAGTGCTGGGATTACAAGCGTGAGCCACAGCGCCCGGCCCATGTCATTTTTGTCTGCCTCTTTTTCTGGTTAAGCAGTTGGTGTTTGCTCCTATCAAATAATACTCTCTATTTCAAATTAAAAATTTCCTAAGAAAGAACATCTGATCAGTCCACTATGTCACTATCATCAGTTAGATAAAACACTTGTACTAGGTCGTTAAATCTGTCAGCCTTCAAGCTACCTGAATGCTTTAGGTCAAATGTTCTGAGATGTGGTCAAGATGGTAAAGTCATGCAATATAGAACATGGCCATCTATATGTATCTAGCTAGAGTTGGTATCCTTAGCAAGAGGCTACAGGTAGGACCCCTTAGGAAAGGACTCTGGGTATACAGAAACTCCTAGATTTCACCTATCCAATATAGTATAATTGTTAAGCTTTCCTCAGTTCCAATGATCAACATTATGCATTTTATCCTAGGTTCTCTATGATTAGCAAGAAACATTAGTCTTGTGAAACAGATATGCTCATTTTATTGCATTTTAAGTATTTCTTTTATACTTACACGTAATCACTGCCAAGATAAATGTCCATATGCTATACCACCAAAGGCATGAGAACTTAGCCTGGCCAGCTAGAAACTTTTTGGAAAGAGGTATATCAAATAGCTACTACTACTAGTTTTCAAGGGGTTAAAGGGATTAATATATCTACTTCTATAAAGAGACTATCCATTCACTAGGGTCAAGCACTAGTATACCTAGCAGAAATTAGGGCTTACTTATAATTACATTTCTGCCACCTAAGACCACACAGACAAAAGATTTTTTTATTTCACTTTTGACAAATCAGCACTGAATTTAGGTCTGCTCATAACAATTCCTATGAGAATAGCTTTTATTATCATCATATAAAATGGGAAAGAAAATAATTCTAGATGCTAACAATGCCATCATTCTAGATTAGGGGTACACTAGATTAAAAGAATAAACTCCTTTTGTTTTAGAATTTCAACCAGGACACAGCTGTAAACTTCAGCCTGGCCTGGCATCTGAACTGAGGCAATAAATGCCATATTTGGCATAGCATTTGTTTGCCCAAATCTAACCATATGCCACTGGAATTGAAGAGGAGGCAATTCTCCACAGGGCCAGAATGTATTCCTTTAAAGCTCTCATGGGGGCATGCTCTTCCACCTGTCCCTGTGTGTGAGATTTGCCCAATTCTTGCAAAACTATAAACTCTACCAATCATAAAAATAATCTGATAATTTTTTAGAGTACACAAGTAGAAGATACATTCATCAAACAAAGGTGATAACAACTTAAGATCCTTACACAATAAACATCATAATGAGAAGTTTCTCATAAAAATATTTTCAATTTCCAGGTAATGACCTATATCTTATAGACATATTATTGATGTGGTTAAAAATAAATTCTTTATAGTGAATAATACAGAAAATTCATTCTACAAGGAACATTTTTTTTTTTTTTTGAGACCGAGTTTTGCTCTTGTTGCCCAGGCAGGAGTGCAATGGCACGATCTCGGCTCAGTGCAACCTCTCCCTCCCGGGTTCAAGTGATTCTCCCACCTCAGCCCCCCAAGTAACTGGAATTACAGGCATGCGCCACCACGCCCAGCTAATTTTTGTATTTTCAGTAGAGATGGGGTTTCATCATGTTGGCCAGGCTGGTCTTGAACTCCTGACCTCAGGTGATTTGCCCACCTTGGCCTCCCAAAGTGCTGGGATTACAGGCATGAGCCACTGCGCCCCGCCTGGAACATATTTTTATTAGTCAGATACATACCACACTACTTTCAGCATTCATTTGGTTTTCATCCAAGGAGTTACAAAGCACTTATAATATCATTTTGCCAGGAATCATGCTGGGTGTTCAGCATAGGGAACTGAATTTACCTCATACCTTCCCTCAAGAGAAGGAGCGATGAAGCCAACAATGCAAAAAGACTGATAAGTAAATATAACAGAGAACAATGTCAGAGTATGTCTAGCTGGCTAATCCATTGGCCAAAGATACAGAGGGCACATTCTGGCTTCAGCAAGTCCTATCAGAGATATGTCACACTTTGCATACTCTCAAAAGCGTTTACCTCAAGAGATACTATGAAATCTACTATCAGATGTACAAAGGAAGAAAACATATTTCTCAACTTTGATTTATGATTATTTTGTATCCCAGTGTAAAAACTTGATTATTAAACTGGGCAAGAAGAGAGAGATCAAGATTGTCATCAAGTCTCTGTTTTACAATGAGGGTGCTATTAGCAGGTGGAAAGAAATAGCTACAGAAGAATACATCTTTGAAATGAATTACTGGGTCAGACAGAGGGAGAGAGAAAAACAGATTATCTGATATGGAGCATAGAAAGAAAGTATATCCTTCAACTCCTCTCTCATACCTCAAACATCTTAGCTTCCCTCACTCCCTGTACAAACCTCCTAACATCCTAATCTACTCAATTTGCCTGGTCATGTATGACAGAAAATACATGTTGAAAAAAAAGAGAAAAGAAATGAATGGGAATAAAATTATGTTCTTGATACCACCTTGAAATCAAATTAACATCTTTTAATATATGCTAGCTGCTGAAGCAGTTGAATTACAGAATCTCAATGATTTAAAATAATAGTTTATTTTTTTGTTTATGCAAAGTTCAGATGGCAGAAAAGTAGGCATGGGGATTCTGAACCATGCAGTCATTTTAGGAATTTCAACTGAAGGTGGTTCTTTCACCCTCAATGTGTGGCTTCCGAGGTCACTTTGGGTGCCAATATCCAGTTGACACAAGGGATAGACAGCATGAAAGCTGCATAAGGAATTTTTTTTTTACATAACCAGACCAAAGGAAGAAATATACATCACTTTTATTCCCATTCCTTGGCCCAGTCTCAGTCACATGCCTATACTAATAAAAATGAATTTTTATTTCACGTTTGACAATTCAGAACTGATTTTAGTTTGCTCATCACAATCCCTATGAGAACAGAGTTTTATTATCATCTTATAAAACAGAAAAGAAAATAATTTTAGAAGCCAGAGGAGGCTGGGAAATATAGTCCAGCTGTGTCAGCAGAAAGAAAAGAAAATAGATTTGGTGAACAGTTAGCCAATCTCTGCCACAGCGTCTCTCTCCGAATATTTTACTTTATCTGCAAATTCATCCAGCTCTTCTGTCCCAGGAATGTGAATTTAAATGAATGGTGTATTTATTGCATTGAAATTCTACTTTAAAAAATTTGCCTCTCAGTGAAATTTACTATAAATTGAATTGCCTATAAAAGGTAAATTTTCATTATCATTACATCCTGACTTGTTCGATTACGAGTTCAACTAACTAAGAATATTTTAAAAACCTCTTTAGTTTTATTATATCAGTGGTACCATCTCCATTAGCATTCTTTATTTATCAAACTTAATATTTCTAAAACTGAACTCTTGATCATTCCCCCCTCCAAATTTCCTCCTGACTTCCTCAGCTCAGAAAAAAAGACTTTTGGACAAGCAGTTTTTCAAGTCAGGTGCTTAGGAATAACCCTTTATATTTTACTCACTCTCAAGTCTTTCATCTAATTTATCAGCAGGTTAGACACATTTTACCTTCAAAATGTATCTTTAATCCATTCATTTCTTCCAGTTTCCTCTAATCCAAGTCATATCTCCCTCTCACCTGGAATACTGCTACAGTTTCCTCTCTCCTTCCATCTTTAGAGAGGAACCCTTCAAAAGATTTGCAGGATACAATTCAAACTCTTAACCAAGGCCTTCAAGGACCTGCATGAATCTGGTCCCTGGCTTCATCTCCAACCTCATTTTCCAGCACTTATTTTGTTCTATGTGTACCAGCCTTTTACTTTTTTGAAAAAGGCTAAATACCTTTCTTACTGAGGGCCTTGCAATATAGTATTGCTTGTCTAGAGAGTTTTATGCTTTTCTTTTTATGATGAAATGTATTTGCATATAAAAATATAATTGATATATATGACTCCCACCCATTCAAGCACTAAGGTTAAGACAGGCAATTATCCCAACAGCATGTCTGTGGGAAGAACAGGTTAATGGGGGGCGGCGGGGGGGGCGGGGATGGGCTTTTTCTCCTAGTTCACTTACTGAGAGAGAAGTCTTTGAGAGTCCTGGCTTTGCCTTTTGTCTCCTGCACAAGATCTATTAAAGCCCATGGTTTTGGCCACGAGGGATTGGCAAATGCCCAGAGAAAAAAAACACAGGTTTAGAATTTACTTTTTTTTTTTTTTTTCAGACGGAGTTTCACTCTTGTTGCCCAGGCTGGAGTGCAATGGTGCCATCTTGGCTCACTGCAACCTCCGCCTCCCAGGTTCAAGCGATTCTCCTGCCTCAGCCTCCCAAGTAGCTGGGATTACATGCGTGTGCCACCACACCCTGCTAATTTTGTATTTTTAGTAGAGAGAGGGTTTCCCCATGTTGGTCAGGCTGGTCTTGAACTCCCAACCTCAGGTGATCTTCCCGCCTTGGCCTCCCAAAGTGCAGGGATTACAGGTGTGAGCCACCGTGCCTGGCCTAGAATTTACTTCTATATCAGGATTCAGACTTTCTCATAATTCCTGGCTTCTAAAAATGCTCCTTATTTTCCTACTAAGCCACACATTAAAAATTTTTAATTATTTTAGGCAGAACTTATATTGACATCTAGTCTACTATTTTTCCAGAAATACAAGCTCCTCTAAAAGCATACTTAATTATTCCTCTTTAGCTGGTTAGCTCCTATTGGTCTGTTAGGGCCTCAACTTACAATGTCACTTCCTCAGAAAAGTTCTCCTTGATCATCATTCCTCAATCTAAGTTAGCTTCCTACTATTTTCTGTCTTAAAACAACTTTCTGTTTCCTTTTGTAACATTTATCACAACTTGCGATTTTATATTATTTTTGTGTTATCTGTCCCTTCCATTATCCTGAAAGCTTCAGGAGGATAGGAATATTTTCTGTTATGATCATAACTGAATGGAGTGCCTACTGCAGTACTAGGACCTAGTGGGTACATAATAAGTGGTAAAGATTAAGTGAAAGAATGAGTGGATGCCATGTAAATGATCATACTGCACTAGAGTAGTCTTAAATTCTGTTACTGGGCTGGGTGTGATGGCTCATGCCTGTAATCCTAGCACTTTGGGAGGCTGATGCAGGTGGATCACTTGAGCCCAGGAGTTTGGGCAACATGACAGAACCCTGTCTCTACTATATATATATATATATATCTCTACACACACACACATATATATATACACACACACACATACACACATACACACACACACACACACACACACACACACACAAATTAGCTGGTTGTGGTGGCATGCGCCTGTAGTCCCAGCTACTCCAGTAGCTGTGATGAGAGGATCTCTTGAACCTAGGAGGTTGAAGCTGCAGTGAGCTGTGATCACACCACTACACTCTAGCCTAGGTGATGGAGTGACACCCTGTCTCAGAAAATAAAAATAAATACATTATGCGACTGATAAATACTGGCAGTAATAATCAACTTTTAAATTTTGACTGCCTTCAGAAAATATGTAGTAAAGTGTAAGATTAGTACAAAAATAGTGAGTAAAAGAGGTAGTAAAGCAAAGACTCTGAAACCATACTGCCTGGATTCAAAATTTGGCTTTGTCATTTATTAGCCAAGTAGCCTTCATTAGGGACTTACACATTCTAGGCCTGTTTTCTGATCTATAGAATTGGGTCAATAAGAGTATTTACTTCATGGTGTTGTGATGATTAAATGATAAACATGCCAGGCATACAAGGAAGCAGGACATTATTGCTATGGTGGTTGCTATCACTACAAAGTTATTGTTAACCAATGCACTGCTTTCAAACAAAAATGGCAAACAGCATAGAATCATAAGGGAAAAATATGTAGGAGTGGCAAGCTGGAGAAAGGGACCTGGGGCTACAGATGTGCCAGCAAAAGTCATGAACACACAGAGACAGCCAGGAGGAAGGTAGCCAGTAGTGGCTGTGGGTGTGCCCACTGTCAGCACATGGATGTAACTGACATAGAGGTCATGGGAGAAGGGGCTGCTGGAGGGAGCCTGAACTGGGTCTGTGATCTCCTTTTGCAACATGCTCATAGCACTTAGTTCCTAAGATCCATCACCAACTCTCTGTGGGGAAGGATATCTTTGGATCTGTTTTTGGGCGCAGTTCATCTAGAATAGTGGGGAACATCAGCCAAAGAGGCAAAATTAAGTTGTGCACCTTTTGACAGCAGCAAGTATCTCCAGGCATTAAAGGCAAGTTTTGTCTAATGTAGTAGTTTTCCTGACAAATGCAGTACTCTACTCATGGACCTCTTTTTTCTTTTCCTTTTCTTTTTCTTTTTTCTTTTTCTTTTTCTTTTTTCTTTTTTGAGATAGAGTCTTGCTCTATCGCCCAGGCTGGAATGTAGTGGCACGATCTCGGCTCACTGCAACCTCCACCTCCCGGGTTCAAGCGATTCTCCTGCCTCAGCCTCCTGAGTAGCTGGGATTACAGGTGCCTGACACCACACCTGGCTAATTTTTGCATTTTTTGTAGAGACAGGGTTTCACTATGATGGCCAGGCTAGTCTCGAACTCCTGGCCTCAGGTGATCCGTCTGCCTTGGCCTCCCAAAGTGCTAGGATTATAGGCATGAACCACCGCACCTAGCCTGGATCTTATTTTTCAAAAGACAAAATACTAGATCTTTTGAATTTTCTTTTGTATTCTTTCTTGTTTCCACCGCATTGTTCTCCAAATACTGAGAATGTATTACATGATCTCCTCTCCTTTGCTTACCCCCAACTCCACTCTCCTACCTTAGGTGTTAGATCAATCTAAAGTTAAGTCACTAGAATTTGGATCTTGTGATATTTCACTGACTATACAGGTCTGATTATTTTATAAGGAACAAAGTTGTAGCGTTTTATCTAGACATAAAGCTAGTTTTTTTTTAGTCACCTAGAGGTTCTACCCATGAACCTCCATGAAAAATTTACATTAAGATGAGTCTAAATATATTATCCATAGAAAGAATCTAAGGTTATATCTGTTGGGATAAAATGACTAATGCTGAACCTTGAGATGAATTAAAACAAGAACAGATTAACTAGGGCCAATCAAAGAGTCTGTCTATAGCAAAACACTGAATAGTTAGGTTGATATTATATGGAAAGCTTTTGTTTGGTTCTCTCATATTTTCAATTGGTCAGTGTCAGAGAAAGAATTGCCAGTTGTCCTTTCTTTAAGACAAGGTGGACTCATCCTCAGGAAAAAAGGGCAACATTTACCCTGAAAAACCAATTGTAATATTCAACTTTAACTTCCTATTTAAATTGGAATATATGAATTTAAAGGTCAGCTGCTGCTGTATCTTGGCTAAGAATGTAGGTACTTTGGGAGACTCGGAGTACTCTCTTAGTCTTTAATTGCAATATTCTCAAGTGCTATTTTCTTAAGAAAGTGTTCATGTTAATTTTGGCAAATGTATTCTCTTCCTCCATTGATTTATGTTGTCTAAAACGTTCTTTTTAGAGTTAGCATTGTTCAACAGAACAATGAACCAGCACAACCAAAAGATACCAAAGTATTGTCAAATTAAAATAAAATTAAATAAACAAAATTGAAAATTTCCCTCAAATCTCCTATAAATTATTAATAACCATGAGGTAGACAACTGAAACAATTCTGAGCCTCCTCCGAACTCTGGAAACCCACCTTTCTGATGTATGATAGAATCAGTATCATAGGTTAGATGCTCCTTGTAATCAGAGTATCTCTACTCAAATGTTATTACCAATTCATAATCATCTACTGTTTCTGCTATCAGAGACCCTAAACTGATGCCAGGTTCACTCATTCATTGGTTTTGTGAAGTATTTTTGTTTTGTTTGAAAAATAACAGCTCACCAGGTGCGGTAGCTCATGCCTGTAATCCCAGCACTTTGGGATGCCGAGGTGGGCAGATCACCTGAGGTCAGGAGTTCGAGACCAGCCTGGCCAACATGATGAAACCTTGTCTCTACTAAAAATACAAAAATTGGCCAGGCATGGTGGCACATGCCTGTAGTCCCAGCTAGTTGGGAGGCTAAGGAAGGAGAATCGCTTGAACCTGGGAGGCAGAGGTTGCAGTGAGCCGACATCGTGCCACTGCACTCCAGCCTGGGAGATAGAGTGAGACTCTGCCTCAAAAGAAAAAAAAGAAAAATAACACCTCATGGCAAAAAAAAACCAAATTATATAAAAGGAAATTATTAAATCACATTATAAATAAAAATAAATAGATTAAATTAAACAAAAAGTATTAACGAGTAAAAGCAAATTTTATTGAATGGGAAGGAAGTCTCCTTTCCACACCAGACTTTCAGCTCTCTCCTCAGAAACTAAGCTAGTTTTTTTTTTTGTACTGAAACACAAATTTTCCATGCATGAATGTGGCAGATTGTTACAGGAATGGCTTCTAATCAGTCATGACTCCTGGTATCCCTTTCCCTTGTGGTATGTTTGAAACAGCTTGATAAAGTGTTTGTGCACTGGATCTTGCCTTCTTGAGAACATGGATCACAGTATTGTGAAGATGCTGAGCATGAGTAAGCATGGGGAAAGAGGGGCCCTGTTCTAAGCTGTTCCAACAGTTGAATGCTACCACATGAGTGAATCCAGGAGATACCAACAGAAGAACCACCTAGCCAACTCACAGAATCACGAAAAATATTGTTGTTTTAAACCTGTAAGTTTTGGGATGGTTTGTTATACAGCAATAGATAATTGATACAATGGGCAACCATAAATATGCAGATATACTCATGACAGTCTTTGAATTTATGAAGAAAATAAATGGATAATTATGAAATGCATAAAAAATTGTACATCAAAATATAAAATGTGATTATAACTTCATACATAAAGATGGAAATAACTAGTCTATCATTTGTGATCTATTAGTAATTATATTACATTAGTAATTACATTAGCAATCTTTTGACTATAAACTCTTTTAATCTGACATTCTACTCTGTTTTAAAGTCTGTGGCATATACATCTTAGCCTCAATTCTTTCAACACAGTTATTTTGATCACACACGACTAAGAAACTTATGCAAATGAAACTTGAAAAAACTTTTAGTATCCTAAAATCACTGTATAATAATCCAAAAAAATCTAATAGGGATGAGGGAGGGCATCTGGTTATCCACAACATCAAGGAAGAATGATGACCTTCTATCTAAGTCTTAACGGTCTGGAATGGTGGAAAATTCACAAATTTATATTGCATGAGCCCTCTAAGCTACACAGTATAATAAACACCACTCTTAAAAGCAAAATTCAGACAGATTTCACTTTTTATTTCATTTTTCTATAGGAATAAACCTGGAATACCACTCAGTGTAACATTTGAGGATTTTCCTGTTTATTACCAGAAGTATTTTCAGGGAAAATGCAAAGCCCAATATTCTTCATCTTTTATAAACAGGGTTTGTTACCTCAATAAATATAAATAAATAGTAGATGGACTCCTTGATTCATCTACTATGCTAGGTGTTGGTTCAGGCATCTAGGGAGGGGCAAGGAAGAGTCACAGCCTTGAGGACCTCACAATGAGAGAAACTAGAGTCATAATGACTATCTTGGTTGTACACTAATTATGGACTACATTGTGCCAAGTTTCTTATTTATATTATCCTATTTATAATCTTGATAGCAATCCTATTTCATAGAAAATAGGATCTCCATTTTACAGAAGAGATAACTGAGGTACAATAAGTAACTTGCCAGAGATCAAACAGCTACTAATTAAATGGAAAAGGCTAAATTTAAACTCCAACAATGTGGCTTCAGAAAACCACGTTCTTAACGCCAACAGTGGTGCTCTAGTGTAGGAATTGCCAGAGTCAGAATAAATAACAGCCTAGGTTTCCAGAGCAGGTGATGTTTGACCTGCAACCTAAAGGGTAAATAGGAGTTTGCTTGACTACATAGCTACAACAAGGAATTAATTTAGCCAATGCTTCACACATGTGTTTAATTTAATTAATTCTTACAACATCTCTGTGCAGTAGGTATTAGCCTTGTTTCACGATGAGGAAACTCATACTCGAAGGAGATCAAGTAACTTTCTCAGGATCACTCAGTAAGAACTGGAGCCAGAATTCAAACCTAGACTTGTCCACTCCCAAAGCCTCTGCCTTCTCCAGGCACTCCACAGACAGAAAGCAACCTAGGCAGCAGAAACAGGATGTGACAAGGCCATGGCATATTGGTATGAGTGAAAGGGAAGTGTGCCAACCTGAGGTGTGTGGGATTGTCTTGCAGGTAACAGGGAGCTTCAGTGTCCTCTGAGGAGTGATAAACTGAGGTTAGTTTTCCAGACAGACAACTCAAATGGTCGCATGCAGAGGAAACTAGAGGGGACAGAAACCAAAGCCGGAGAGACCAGTTATGAGACAGTTATAGCACTCCAGACAAGCAATGTCAGGAACCTGAAACTGCAAATTCTGATGGCTCTAAGAAGATCCTACTATGTCAGACAATCTTCAAAATGTTTCCTTCACAGAAGCAATGTCTGCCATCTGGCTTCTTAAATAATGGCCATCCTAAAATTGGGTCAAAATTTAGGGACAAAAGTTTTTATGTAAATAATTCTAGAAAGTAAACTAAGTACCTGTGTCCTATATAGTATTCAACATATGTTGTTGCTTAAAATACTCTATTATAATACAATATAGACTTTCTTCTACCACTGGACATTGTGCAAAGATACAACTTACTTGCACAATTCACTGCCTCTCTTTCAGGAAAAGAGAGGAATAAGGCAGGTTATGGTCTGCATAACATAGGATACAATATAAAAGCAGGATTATAAGAAAGTTAATGCAACAAGACCATACTAGAACAGGGTATGTAAGGTAAATTAGAACTTCTAACAAGCTATCATGCATGCCAGAGAAAATTCCTTGCCAACCAAGTGGGCTGATAGAAGTGGAGGGTGGAGCTGTAAAAAAAAATAGGATCTTTTAGATCATCTGAGAGTTTAGGAGAAAATGGGTGATGTTGGGTATGCTGACAAAAATAGGAAACTGTCACGTGTTATAAGATATTGGAGGTATAGCTCAGAGCTGCCAAGCAAGATTCACGTTCAGAAGAGAATGTTTTCAGAGAAATTGAGAAGAAATGCGCACTCAGTTACTATGAGAACAACACTGTTATGGGGTGAATTGTGCCCCCCCAATTAATATGTTGAAATCCTAACTCCCAGTACCTCCAGTATCTGTATTGGGAGATAAGGCCTTTAAAGAGACAATTAAGTTAAAATGGGTCCTTAGGGTGGGCTCTAATCCAATATGACTGGTGTCCTTATAAAAAGAGATTAGAGCTGGGCACAGTGGCACATGCCTATAGTCCTTGCTACTCAGTAGGAGGCTAAGCCATGAGGATCGTTTGAGCCCAGTAGTTCAAGATTGCAGTGAGCTATAATCACACCTGTGACTAGCCACTGCACACCAGTCTGGGCAACATGGTGAGACACCATCTCTTAAAAAAAAACAAAGACAGAGAGAGATTAGGACACAGATAATATAGACAGAGGAATAATCATGTGAGGATACAATGAGATGGTGACCATCCCATGTGGAAACCAAGAAGAGAGGCCTCAAAAGAAATCAACCCTGCCAACATCTTGATCTTGGACTTCTAACCTTCAGAACTGTGAGAAAGCAAATTTCTGTTGTTTAAGCCTCCCAGTCTATGCATCCAACCAGCCTAAACACATATGAAGAAATGCTCATCATCACTAATCATCAGAGAAATGCAAATCAAAACCACAATGAGATACCATGTCACACCAGTCAGAATGGCTTTTGTTAAAATGTCAAAAAATAAGATGTTGGCGAGGCCGCAGAGAAAAGGGAATGCTTATACATTGTTGGTGGGAATGTAAATTACTCTAGCCACTGCGGTGAACAGATTAGAGATTTATCAAAGAAATGTTGAATTACTATTTGAACCAGCAATCCCATTACTGGGTATACACGCAGAGGAAAATAAATTGTTCTACCAAAAAGACACATGTACCTGTATGTTCACCACAAAGCTATTCATAACAGCAAAGACTTAGAATCAAGCAGGTGCCTATCAACGGTGGACTGGATAAAGAAAATGTGGTGGCCGGGCGTGGTGGCTCACGCTTGTAATCTCAGCACTTTCAGAGGCCGAGGCAGGTGGATTACCTGAGGTCAGGAGTTCAAGAGCAGCCTGGCCAACATGGTGAAACCCCATCTCTACTAATAATACAAAAATTAGCTGAGGATGGTGGCACACACCTGTATTCCCAGCTATTCAGGAGGCTGAGGCAGGAGAATCACTTGAACCCGAGAGGCGTGAGGGAAGATCGCACCATTGCACTCCAGCCTGGGCAATGAGAGTGAAACTCTGTCTCCAAAAAAAGAAAAAAAGAAAACTGAAATCACCTTTTCTGCAGCAACGTGGATGCAACTGGAGGTCATTATCCTAAGCAAACTAATGCACAAACAGAAAACCAAATACTGCATGTTTTACTTATAAGTGGGAGCTAAACATTGAGTACACCTGGACATAGAGATGGGAACAACAGATACTCAGGACTATTTGAGGGAGGCAGGAAGTAGCCAAGAGCTGAAAAACCACCTGTTGCGCACCAAGCTCACTATCTGGGTGAGAGATTCCTTTGTACTCCAAGCCTCAGCATCTCGCAATATATTCATGTGACAAACCTGCACCTGTACCCTTGATTCTTTTTTTGTTTGTTTGTTTGTTTTGAGACAGAGTTTTGCTCTGTCGCCCAGGCTGGAGAGCAGCGGCACCATCTCCAGTCACTGTAACCTCTGCCTCCTGGGTTCAAGCGATTCTCCTGCCTCAGCCTCCCGAGTTGGGATTACAGCTGGGATTACAGGCATGCGCCACCACACCCAGCTAATTTTGTATCTTTAGTAGAGATGGGGTTTTGCCATTTTGGCCAGGCTGGTCTCAAACTCCTGGCCTCAAGTGATCCACCACCTTGGCCTCCCAAAGTGCTGGGATTACAGGTGTGAGCCACCATGCCTGGCCACACCCTCGATTCTAAAATAAAAGTTGAGTAAAGAATCCTTCCAGTGTGTATTTATTTTGTTAGGGCATCCCTAGAAAATGAATGCAGATGTAAAACAGCAGACATGAGAAACAGAAACAAAAGTATGACCTCTTCAGGAACCAATTTTGTAAGAAACTTCAGCTAAAACTTTTCAGGATAAAAGTAGCAAGAGTTAGTAGAAAGTATGGTGACTCTACGGGTTAGGGATAACAGAATAAGGCAGTGCCTGGAAAGGCTAACACACTGATAAATCTGTTGAACTTGTGCCACAATGAGAACGTGACGCTTCTCCTAGCCTAAACTACTATCAGAACACTGTTTTACCACCTCTTTATGTCGTTTGTACTCCAAGATTCCTTCACATTATAAAAATCAAAAAAGCAAAACCAATAATGAGTATTTAAAAGAGACTATATTAACTACATATACAGTAATGATTTGGGTAGGAAGTGCCTCAGGCTAAGAAAAAAGGCAAAAGGTAGATGTTCTAGATGAAAGCAATAGCTCTGTTCCTCTCACAGGTTGAAGTAACAAAATCCCCAAGTCAGAGGGTTTGGCAATGAGAAAAGAATGCCCATTTGATCACAACTATTAACTACAGCAAGGAATATAATTTTCTCCTCAGTAGTTTGTTGTCTTTAAGTGGAACTTCAGAAGGCTTGACAAACAACAGTTGGAGATATGTGAACAACATTTAAAATATTTCGCTTTTTTTGGTTGCTATGGTCATTTACATGTTGCTGCCACCATTTCAAAAAAAAAATTTTTTTTTAGGAACAGTAGGGGAGAGAGGAGGAGAGAAAAAGGCCCAAGAGTGAAATAAGCAATTTCTCCAGAATATTAATTAGATTTAGTTATTTGCAAGGTAAATGGATCTGAGTTGGAGAAATGAAAATATGAAAAATTACTCAGTAAATCTAATATAATTATATTTTATATTCCCCAGAGTACAGGCATTGGTATCTAAAACAGTTGTGCTTTAAGTGTTTAGAACACTAAACCCTCAGGATCCAATGGCCCAACCTTCCTAATGTAACTTATCTGAAACACCTAAGTTTCATTTAAGTTTATTTCTTATTTATTTAGAGACAGAGTCTTGCTCTGTCGCCCAGGCCAGAGTGCAGTGGCACGATCTCAGCTCACTGAAACCTCCCCCTCCTGGGTTCAAGTGACTCTCCTGCCTCAGCCTCCCAAGTAGCTGGGACTATAGGCGTGTGTCACCATGCCCAGCTAATTTTTGTACTAATATATATATAGATATGTATATATCTATATCTATATATTTTTTTTGAGATGGAGTTTTACTCTTTCGCCCAGGCTGGAGGGAAGTGGAGCGAACTCAGCTCACTGCAACCTCTGCCTTCCTGGTTCAAGAGACTCTCTTGCCCCAGCCTCCCTAGTAGCTGGGATTACAGGCACGTGTCACCACACCTGGCTAAGTTTTGTATTTTTAGTAGAGACGGGGTTTCACCCTGTTGGCCAAGCTGGTCTCGAACTCCTGACCTTAGGTGATCCACCCACCTTGGCTTCCCGAAGTGCTATGATTACAGGTGTGAGCCACTGCGCCTGGCCTAAATTTTGTATTTTTAGTAGAGACAGGATTTCACCATGTTGGTAAAGCTGGTTTCAAATTCCTGACCTCAAGTGATCGGCAAAGTATCCCAAAGTATTGGGAGGCAAAGGCAAGTATTACAGGCATGAGCCACTTACCCAGCCAATTTCTAATTTATTTTTACTGATACATAATAATTGTACATATTTATGGAGAACATGCGATATTTTGCTCCCTGAATGCTATGTGTAATGATTACATCAGAGTACTAGGATATCGATCACCTCAAACATGTGTCAATTCTTTTTGTTGGGAACCTTTTGAATCTTCTATTTTGAAGTACACAATAAATTATTAACTATAGTCACCCTGATGTGCTACTGAATACTATAACTTATTCCTTCTATCAAAGTGTATGCTTGTGTGCTCATTAACCAACCTCTCTTCATTTATTTTTATTGTTGCCTAACATAATGAAATTATTTCCAGTGAGAAGCAACAAGGGTTCAGAGGAATGTTTTCTTTTCTTCTGTAAATCGGATCCCCAAATACAAATCATGAAGCACACTTTAAACATAATGTTAATATGAATTCAAGTGATAATAAATAAATAAAATAATTCAAAGAAATGTAGAATCACGGTAAATGGTTGCGGGAAAATTATTGATTACTGCTGTTCCCAATAGTGAAGACAAGTTCTAACGTTATGGCAACTCTGATAGATATAAATCACAACTACTGGATAAAAGGTAATTGGCAAAACACTTCAGAAAGGTAAACAAAATATGGAAACTCTTATTTAAGAGCATAATCATTAGGTTTTGATCCATTATAAGACTGCTGGGCGTGAATTAGGTGCAGGGAAAAAAAGAAAACTTAAAGTTTTTGAAGAAAAATAAACTACTAGGTGAGATAGCAATTCTGATGTTCTTTTTGTTGTTAATTATGCATGGAATGCACATAGTTCCAATTTTGGAACGTCTATAAAGGCATAATGCTCTATTCCTATGGTTTACTATTTGTTTTTCTAAGAAAAGAGTTGCCCAAATATAAATCAATTTTTATATCCATTAGTTTACCCATCAGGTTAATTTTAAAATGTATGTATGGCTTTCTTTTTAATGAACTGCCAGAAAATGACTGGCAGAAGTAGGTACAGGGTAGAAACAAAATGGCAGAAGCAAATAAAGAAGACAAATGTGTTCTAGCTCAGGGGTCCCTACCACCAGGCAGCGGACCAGTACCGGTCATTAGGAACCGGGCCACACAGAAAGAGGTGCCTCGTGGGAGAGCAAGCATTATGGCCTGAGCTCTGCCTCCTGTCTGATCAGCAGTAGCATTAGATTTTCATAGGAGCGTGAACCCTATTGTGAACTGCACATGCAAGGGATCTAGACTGCTCTGTCTATGAGAATCTAATGCCCTCCCCCTCCACCATGGAAAAATTGTCTTCCATGAAAATGATCCCTGGTAGGAGACCACTGTTCTAGCTGATTAGGAAGGGCCACAAAAGCTGAGTTTTTTAAATGTGGAAGGTGCCTGATGCCTAAGCATCTGGAGCTCTGACCTGTTTCCTCTGCCTGTTATCAACTGTTTCAGAACATGTCCAACATTAACATGTTCCCTGCTCACTGGGAATAAAACAAAACAATACCCCAATCTAAGGTGCACTGAAGACTATGAGTGTTAATAGAAGTCTCAAAGGCAAACAGTGGCAAATGCTTTGATATAGAAACTACTTCATTATCAATTTTTTTTGTTTGTTTGAGACACAGTCTTGTTCCATTGCCCAGGCTTGCAGTGCAGCGGTGCAATCTCCGCTCACCACAACTTCCGCCTCCCAGGTTCAAGTGATTCTCCTGCCTCAGCCTCTCGAGTAGCTGGGACTACAGGCGTGCGCCACCATGCCCGGCTAATTTTTGTATTTTTAGTAGAGACAGGGTTTCACTGTGTTGGCCAGGTTGGTCTCCAACTCCTGACCTCGTGATCCACCCGCCTCGGCCTCCCAAAGGGCTGGGATTACAGGCGTGAGCCACCGCACCCAGCTTTATTATCAATGTGTTAATTATCACATCTGTATCCTATAACATGATAACATTTCTCCAGCAGAAGATTATGACACTAAACCTAACAACTCAAATGTGGTTGTCAACATATAGAGGTCTTTATAGAAAAGGAACACAAGATGTGTTTTAATCAAAAGTGAATCTTTTCAATGGTGTACATAAAAGCACACATTTTAGATCCATGAAGTTGACAAAAACTTCTGTAGGACCTCAGTGCTAATTCAAAGAAAGCCTCTATTTCAGAGAGTACATTCTTGTTCACGTACAGCAACAACAGCCAGGAATAAATAGCAAACAGCATGAAGAAATTAGAGGTAAATTGCTTTTAATGCAATTGTTCTTTACAGTTTTGCTCTACTGTGAAAGTTATTTTCAAAAACATTCAAATCCAGTTATGAATATGGAGGTCTTCGGAGAAAAAAAATTAAATTCTAGATAAAGGAATCTACCACTGTCTCATTAAAAACATGATTTGTGAGGGGTAAGATCAAATTGTATTTGCAACTTTGGGAGAGTAGAAAATAGTCCAGCACAATATATAGGTAATTGAGCTGGAGCAGAGCTTAGAATTTTCTGAGGCAAGTAGGTGATAAGTAACATCTTATCATTGGTAGCTACCTCTTTAGCACGGGGTAGGAAGACAATTTTGGTGTGTGAGAAGATGCTGGGTCAGGATTCTGTTTTTAACCATGAGTGCCCTTCCTCATTCCCTCATTCCCGCTACCTGCACTGCCTCTGCCATCTTTGTCTATTCCTCCCACAATGCATTTCCAACTCTTAATCATGTGATCAGAGTAAAATGGTAGTGATGGTGGCAGAATTATTAGGACAAAGAGAAGTAAATCATAGGAGGTGGCCATGAATGCCAAAATAGTAATTGGCATGGTTTTGCTGCGATCACTGGAAATTATGAGCACAGGGCAGTTTTTTTTTTTTTTTCTTTTTGAGATGGAGTCTCACTCTGTCGCCCAGGCTGGAGTGCAGTGGTGCAATGTCAGTTCACTGCAACCTCCACCTCCCGGACTCCAGCAATTCCCACGCCTCAGCCTCCTGAGTAGCTAGGATTATAGGCACGTGCCACCATGCCTAGGGAAATTTTTGTATTTTAGTAGATACGGGTTTTCACCATGTTGGCCAGGCTCATCTTGAAGCCCTGAGCTCAGGCGATCTGCCCGCCTCAGCCTCCCAAGGTGCTAAGATTACAGGGGCGAGCCCAGGGCAATATTACTTTCTAGTATCAGAAAGTTCTCTTTAAAATATATGAATTTTTGAGAAAAAGATGCTTTTTATCTTGGGTAACCCCCAATAAGGGAATTAATCTCCTCTTCCGCCATTCTTCCTGAGTCCAATAATTCTTTGTTCCCTTCTCCCAGGCCCTTTTCTTGTAGTCTTTCAGTCCCATCTATCTTCACTCTCTTTTCTATTAATTAGACTCCATTTCCCATCATGTCAACCACTCTCCTGCTATTAGCCTCATCTCCTCAACCCTGTGGTGTACCAGTGTCAGAAACTACCAGCTCAAAAGTGGCTCTTAATATTCAGAAATTGAGTGGGGCGGTTAAGTCATTGGTAGCTTGAAATTTGGCCATGGTGGGAGTATTCATACCATGGAAATGGGCAAACGCTACAAATCAGGGATACCTCTTTCTCTACTCCCTCTTACTCCCCAACCCAATATACAGTTTATTAGCACAACTGCCCTGGCCCCATGTCCTTCCTTTGCCTCATATTGGCAAACCTCAACTGTGGTTAAAATAACCTTCTGTCTTCTTCATATATACATTTGGACTACTAAATGTTTCTAAAGAAAATTACAAAACACTGTAGATTTTTGCCACTATGAACTCATAGTCTACAACAATATAGACTAGCTGTTCTTTTGAGTTTTTCCAGTCTAAAAGCTCTTCCATGTTTCTCAAAGCTGTCACTTTACTGCATTCCCTTCATCCTAGATCCTGTTTAACAGAAACAATAGAAAACTTCAAATGAAATATCCTCAATTTCTTCCTCACCAAACTACACATTCACCATTTTCCCCATCCTTCCCTTGCCTATTCCCTCCAGCTTGTAATGAAAGGTCCATTCTTTTGAGGTTAATCCCTTACCTCCTCAGAGTCCTTTTCCTGTTAATATATTTCCCTTTCTTTATTTAATCTTTAACTTTTCTCTTTCTGTGGGCTTTTCCTTCTTATTGGTAGATGAAGTGGTTTGGTCCCTGGATATCAACTGTCATCATTCTCTGAAGTACAGTCAAACTGGCCTTCTCCTAGTTTCTACAACTTACTATATTCTCTCCCTCTTCACAGGCTTTGCATATGCTGCTTTTCAGTCTGGAATACCTTGTAATCTCAGTTCAAGAATGCTTTCTCTAGATCATTGAGTCAAGGTCAGGTTCCTTTGCTCTTTGCTCTCATATATCTTTATTATATCTCTTCTGAACATTTATCTCACTCTGTAAGTATACATTTATTAAGGTGATTAAATTAACACTGTGAATTCCATGAGCTCTGAGAGCATATGTGCTTTTGCTCAATCTCATATTCCCTGGGTCTATCTGGTACAATGCCTGGCATATAGTAGGTGCTCAAAGAAGAAATTAAGAGTCATTGGAAATTTTTTTAGCATTAAAGACTCATCTTTCCCATCCTCCAAAAATCCATCTTAGTCTCAACATCCTCTTATCTCTCTCTCTTGTACTTACTCATCTCTCTCTCTCCCATACTTACTCTCAGGCTTGCTGACTATCTCTTTTTTTTTTTTTTTTTTTTTTTTTTAGAGACAGGCAGAGTCTTGCTCTGTCACCTGGGCTGGAATGCAATGACACAGTCATAGCTCACTGCAGCCTCCAACTCCTGGGCTCAAGCCAACCTTCCACTTCAGCCAATCAAGTAGCTAGGACTCCCGGCATGTGCCACCATGCCCAGATAATTTTTGGAGTTTTTTTGAGACAGGGTCTCACTCTTGTCACCCAGGCTGGAGTGCAGTGGCATGATCTTAGCTCACTGCAACCCATGCCTCCCAAGCTCAAAAAATCCTCCCATCTCAGCCTCCTGAGTAGCTGAAACTACAGACACATGTCACCATGCCTGGCTAATTTTTTTTTTTCTTTTTTACTGGTAGAGACGGGGTTTCACCATGTTGCCCAGGCTGGTCTTAAACTCCTGGGCTCAAGTGATCCACCTGTCTCAGCCTCCCAAAGTGCTGGGATTACAGGTGTGAGCCATCACACCCAGCCTTTTCAAATATTTTGTAGAGATGGGGTCTCACTTCGTTGCCCAGGCTGCTCTCAAACTCCTGACTTCAGGTGATCCTCCTACCTCCGCCTCCCAAAGTGTTGGGATTACAGGTGTGAGCCACCATGCTCAGTCCAATTACCGGCTATCTCTTCCATTTTCCATCCTCTCCCCATACTAACCTTCTTAGAAAAACAGTCTCATCTTCATTTCTCTATTTACTCACCTGCTATTTATTCCTTGAATCATTGGCTTTTATTTGTCATAACTTAACTGAAACTACTTTCATTAAGACCATTAAGGATGTCTTTTCGTTAAATATTGCACAATAGCTACTTTCCACTTCTCAGTACCTTATACATGACCTCTAGGTACCACTGACACTTGTTCAACTCCTTCCTTCTTGAAAACAAACACCTTTTCCCTTAGTGTTCACAGTCATACTCTTCTGGGTTTCTTCCTGCCTTCTAGTCTCACCAGCTTCTATTCCCTCATCTGTATTTTACATGTGAATGCATCTATCCTCCACCCTTCTCTCTGCTCATTGTATATACTCCGCTATAAGAATTCACCCACTCCCATGGTTTCAATGCTGATGACTCCCAAATGTCTACTTTTAGCTCAGATCTCACTTCAGTATCCACCTGCCTATTGGATATTTATATCTACTTGGATATGAGTTGTGGATATGTACCACGAACAACATATTCAAAAGTTAACTCATTATCTTTAGTGCTTATAATTTGTTCTCTTGTTTGTTTCCTTTCTCAGTGTGATTTCCACCAAGTTGCTTAAGTAAGAATCCTAAGTGCTATCGCTGGCTCTCTTTATCTGCCCTGAGGCTCACATGTAATCACTAAAATCTGTTAATTTTATGTCTTGAATGTCTCTGGAATTCATCCATAATTTCTTCAGCCTATTACAAAAACTCTGGTCTCTTCTCACCTAGATGACTGCAACAGCTCCTGAAATGGTCTGTCACCAATACCGAATCTTAACCCTTTCAATCCATTCCCACACAGCAACCAGAATGACCTTCCTAACAATAACCTGATAATTTATGTCTCCTATTTTAAATCCTTCAGTGCTTATCACTCCCCTCAGGATAAAATCCAAATTGCTTACCGTGGTTTACAAGGCTCTGCACAAGCTGGCTGGCTCCTGCTTACCTCTCTAGTCTTTTCTCTATCTACTCCCCTAACTGCCTCTCCCTCCTTGCAACCTACTCTCCAGTCATGACCTACATTCAGGTCTTGGGCAACTCCATATTTTTTTTACCTATGGGCTTCTGCATATTGTCTGCATGAAACATCCTTCTCCCTGCCTTGATACACTCCTTAACTCCTAATAATCTTTCAGATTTCATTTTAACTCTTACTTCCTCTGAAAAGTCCTCTTGGCATAGTTCCTGGGACACAACAGGCACTCAATAAATAACTTTTCTTTCCTAATTTTCTTCCTTTAGGTTAATGTCAGATTTTGCCTTTTAATTTTGCTCAAATTATTTTACTAATGAAATACAAGTGAAATAAACTAACATATTTTAAAAAGCTCTATTATAAAGCTCTACCAACAGAAAATTTTGGATGATTGTGCTTATGAACTTTGCTACTACTGAAGTCCATCGTAAATATGGTACTTGGAACATTATTCCAAATAAAAATCAACTTAAAAACAAAACAAAACAAAAAAAAAGGACTGACCGAGTGCAGTGGCTCACGCCTGTAATCCCAGTACTTTGGGAAGCCAAGGTGGGTGGATCATGAGATCAGGAGATCGAGACTATCCTGGCCAACATGGTGAAACCCTGAATCTACTAAAACACAAAAAATTAGCCAGGCATGGTGGCGCACGCCTGTAGTCCCAGCTACTCGGAAGGCTGGGCAGGGGAACTGCTTGAACCAGGGAGGCGAAGGTTGCAGGAGGCAGGGATCGCGCCATTGCATTCCAGCCTGGTGACAGAGCAAGACTCCATCTCAAAAAAAAAAAAAAAAGACTTGTTTCTTAGCCTTTGGAGAATAATTCTCAGGAAAAGTTTACATGGCCATAGAGCTAAGCTACATATGCACCTATTTGAGCTGTAAGGAGGCATAAAATACTGAATCATAAATCATAAACCAATCAAATACCTGACAGTTTCTGACCAACAGGAATGGTAATTTCATCAATTCAACCTGATACAATATAAATGGTATTGAATAAAAATATGTAGAAAAACAGGTAATCAGATCAAGAATTATAAAGATTATGTGTATATGCACTTAATAAAGCTATATATTACGAGGCCTGGTGTGGTGGCTCACGCCTGTAATCCTAACACTTTGGGTGGCCAAGGGGGGTGGATAACCTGAGGTCGGGAGTATGAGACTAGCCTGATGGAGAAACCCCATCTCTACTAAAAATAGAACATTATCTGGGCGTGGTGGTGCATGCCTATAATCCCAGCTACTCGGGAGGCTGAAGCAGGAGAATTGCTTGAATCCGGGAGGCGGAGGTTGCAGTGAGCTGAGATGGCACCATTGCACTCCAGCCTGGGCAACAAGAGCAAAACTCTATCTCAAAAAAAAAAAAAAAAAAAAAAGCTATGTATTATGTTACTAAGAAAAACAAAATGCTCATATGTTCATACAAAGAAATTCAAATTTCTGGTAATTCAGAGTCTCTGAAGCCAAAATCCAAGTTTAAGAAGCTCTGCAATGGCAGCATTTTTAACTATAAGGCAAAAATCAAAGTATGATATTTAATAAAAACTGACTCCCTGGGAAAATACAGGATATTCATATTAGGCACTTTAAACATCTTTTATTTAGGTCTTGATTTCAATATTAAAAGTAACCAAATGACTGTTCAAAGTAAAGCCTGATGGGTCAATATGTTTTCTGATTTTGGCCTAGTTGAAACCATAGGAACAGAAGGGTATTAGAATAACTTGGAGTCACATTAGTTAAATTACCAGTTTAGAAGCTATTGAAAATGTTCCTGATATTTAATGTCATACAAGTTTTGGAAAAATAAAATTATTTATCCAATCTAATGTGCTTTATTAACAAATCTTGTTGGTACACTCACAGAAATAAACCACATACAGAGCTAACAAGTTATTTTTTGCTTGCAACTGCTGCATCTATTTTAAAGCCAGTTTCAGTTTCACTGAAATCACTGGTTACAGTTCCTTAAAATTAAAGGAAAGTGATTATTTTGGGGGGTAATTAAATGGGAACATGTCCATTCAAAAAAGACACAACTATATACAACACCAACTTTGAAAATAATTTAAAAATGTTTAAAACTTGATTACTTTTGGCAGAAATTCTATCTTTAATCTTAAATAGGCTATGGATAAGGAGTTAAACTTTCTTGCCTATTCCATGCCTGCAGTCACCTTTGTCCATGAATGCTTTGTCTAACACATAAGTCTCAGTCTATAAGTCCATCATCTCCTAAAATTTCCAACTGCCAGCACAAGCTGCTGTAATGATGGCATGATGACTCACATCCTTACCTACACATGCACTTCCATTATTCATTGTAACACCTCGTCATCTACAGCCTCTCATGGGTTGTGGCAGATCAGAGTGGGGAACGGGGAGGTGGTAGGAACAGTGGGATAGGTCTTAGTGTTTTTTCAAAACTACAAGCTATTGTAAAATCGATTTAGTGGGTTGTGGTCAGCCTTTTGGTTTGGGGATTTTCTTGGGATCCGGGGAGAAGTTTAAAATACAATACAATACAATACAATAGGTTGGGCAATGGTGGCTCACACCTGTAATCCCAGCACTTTGGGAAGCTGAGACGGACGGATTACTTGGGGTCAGGAGTTCGAGACCAGCCTGGCCAACATGGTGAAACCCTGTCTCTACTAAAAATACAAAAATAGCCAGGCGTGGTGGCACATGACTGTAGTCCCAGCTACTCAGGAGGCTGAGGCAGGAGAATTGCTTGAACCTGGGAGGTTGCAGTGAGCAGAGATTGTGCCACTGCACTCCAGCCTGGGCAACAGAATGAGACTCCATTTCAAAAAAAAAAAAGGAAATACAATACAATAGAACAAAAAACATCAGAGTGCCTCAGTGTAAGGGTAAGTATCTCTTCAGTTATGTGTATGTAAGTACGTACATATAGTCATGGTCTTGACATAAAAGCAACCAAAATATAGGTCTTGGTTTAAAAACAATTTTAGACCTTTGGATTGGAGACCTACATTCTAGTCCCAGCACAATCCCAGCCCAATACTGGATGACTTATGTCTTCCTTCTTTCAGTTTCACCTCACATCTGCCTCACAATCATTCACTCTACAATTATATGTTATAAATGAAATGGTGTCCCGTGGATACCGTCTTAAATATCCAAGAAAAAGGCATTCTCCTTAGATAATGCAAAGAAAACCCCACAAAAAACTATTAAAACTTTACAAATTATTAAATTATTAAAAATTTTAAATTATTGAAATCTTATTAAAAGCTTTAAAAATATTCATATTTACCTATTCATGTCCAAAAAATTTATTCTGGTTGTACCCAGCACTTCCCTTCCAGGAGCAGTCCATTTGGATTATATTTTGAACTTGTTTTCTAACATTTTACGCTTCTCCATCTCTCAGATCCCATGTTTCTGGATTGATAATAACTAGCCACCTCCAGGAACTTCATAAATTATATTGGAGAAAAAAATTTTCCCTATACATTTCATGTTTTTCAATTGTTTTCCTGGGTTTCTTTTGTCCTCAGTGACTTGGCAATCCTCTGAGATTTCCCTTGAAAACCTTTAACTTTTCACCTTACCTGTACCTCTTATTTCTCTACTCTTTTATTCTTAGAAATAAATATTTTATTTTAAAGGATGCCTACAACATTGACCCAATTTACAATACTTCTCTCTGGCATCTCCGAAACAATCAGTTGGCTGAAGCCTACCTTTCAAACTCACCACCCACAAAATTCAGTCAAAGGCATCATGCCCACTAGAGTATACTTTCAAAGTTACAAATAAATGTGGCTTACACTTTGGCCAAATAAAACAATCAGTCGTGAAGGCTTTAAAGAGTTTGCATTTCAGAATGAAAACTTCAGAAATCCATCTTTCTTATGATAGCTTTGGAAAATGATCTCTTTGAATATAAAGCTCACTTGAAAGACAAAATAATTTTTTTCTGCCCAGTTACTTACTTTCAGTGTACTTTTTAACTGTACTTTTTAACATTTATAATTTGATTTAAATTTAAAAAGATTGTGTTATACCAAAAAATGTTACAGTGGCTCTGGTGCCTAAAAGAAGTCTGTGTCAAAGTACCTTTTAAGTAATATGCTTAATAAGTTGATGGTGACTCTTATCTCCTAGTTGCGTAGTTCAAAATCAGTGCAATCATTTTAACTCTTCTTTTCTCCTCACACTCACATTTAATATATCAGGAAATCTTATTGGTTCTCTTTCAAAAATACTCAGGTTCCAACCATCTCCATCTCCACTCCATCTCTATCTCCACTGTTAACACCCTGGTTCAGTCTATCATCATCTCTCAAGAGGATTACTCCAAAATCTCCTGTTTGATGTCCCTACTTCTCTTACCTTCCTATGGTTGTTTTTAACAAAATAGCCATTGTGATCCTTTAAAAACCTCAGACAGATCATATCATTGCTCCACTAAAAACCCTGCAAGAGCTCCCTGCTTCACTCAAAGTAAAGCCTAAATGCTTACAATGGCCTACATTTTCTGGCTCTTTGTGAGCATTCCTACTACTCCCATTTCATTCACTTCACTCCAGCTGCACTGGCCTTCCTGTTTCTCAAGCCCACCCAGGCATGAGGCAGTCTCTGGACCTTTGAACTGGCTATTGACTCTGCCTAGAAAGCTTTTCCCCAGGACATCTCCATGACTAATCTCTCATCTCCTTCATTGACTCAGTGAGGTCCACATTGACTATCTAATAACAATCATAACCTTTGCTCCCCCACTAATCCAACCTCCCTTTATCTTCCCCTACTCTCTTTTTTTTCACAGCTATTTATCACTTTCTAACATGTTAAATAAATAATGTATTTATTATGTTGCTTATTGTCTGTTTCCTTCTGCAAGAATGTAAAGTCCCTAAGACCAGGATCTCTGTTTGTTTAGGAAAACAATTTATATTTACGTTATGGTTAGGTAAAAAGATACCCTGGTATATTGTAGAGGTATAAGAATTAACATCAGTAAATTGGTTCCAAATATTTTAAGAGTGCTCTCTCACCTTAATACTACAACTTTCTGGAAAGAGTTTTCAATTTCAAATTGATTTATAAAATGTGTTTAGCTTTATCAGACATGTGACATGGACCAATGTATCCACAGATATTTGGCAGGTGTGGGATGGGAATGGGCAGATCAAGACTCAAACTTTCCAAGTCACTTAGAGAAATGAAAGCATTGCCTAAGCAAGCTTTTCTTGCTTTGTCCTAAATAATCTTAAAACAGATGGCAAAAGCTAAATACTAAGTCTGCTTCCATGGAAACCACTATCACAGCAGCCCACTCTAGAGCCCCACCTATGAGATAAATGTTTATCTTCCTATTGTTATAATCTGAGCCTGCCAACTTTAAGTCCTACTAGAAGGTACAGCTACTATACACACATTAGCCTGACAAACACATCTGGGAGAAATCAGTTCATACACAATCTAATCTTAAACATAATCAAACCTTGCAACATATAAAAAAATTTTTACATAATTTGTCATATTATTCTGCACTCATATTTTACCTTTATTATATAAAAACTCATGTTCTTACTTTAATATTGCAAGCCTGCTCCATCAGTCTTCTTGCATTTTCCTCTGCCCTGTATCTCTTTGGAAGCTGAACTCTAAAGAACTTTAAAGCACCTTCAAAATCAGCCTGCAGAAGGTCTTCCTTTGAGGTCTGCAAAATAATCATCAAGAATCGTCATTACATTTCAGCCTGCTTTGAGGACAAATATATTTCAAAAAGAATTTATATTTTCTTGAATATACTTTTATAGCTAAGATCTAAGTTAGTTCCAAACATTTTAAGAAGATATTTCTAACATTTCAATATTTAGATGATGTTACTATAAGCTGAAATAAATCACCATAAATCACAGAAGCAATCTAAGAGTTAATGAACAAACTAACATACTGAATTCATATTACCTGAAAATTAGAATGATGGTTCCTGGCAAAGCTTACCAAGTTACAGCTCTGAGAAAAGAATAAGGCTAAAAAAGGAAAAGAAACTGGACTCTAGGACTAATCTGTGACTTCAGCTCAATGAACATTTTAAGGATATTATTAAAAAGCTGGCTGAAGACATAGAAAATGCAACCAAAATACATCAGTTACACAATAAACACCTAATGGGAAGATGGCTTTTCAACTAATGACAGCAGCAGTTCAAGTGAAAAGAATAGGAAATTGATCCCATACCTTGAAGAATGCTATGAAAAAGTAAATGAAACAAACCACCTAACTACTGATCTCTTCTGAAAACTATTGTTTACCAAATTTACTTCTTCAAAAACTAAAAAACCATTTGGAAATAAATATATCTGTGCACAGAAAAAAGACTAAAAAGAAAACAAAATGTTTATCTGTATAGTGGAATCATGGGTTATACCACTTATTTTTACTTTTTTTGAGACAAGGTCTCCTGTTGCCCAGGCGGGAGTGCATAGTGCAATCATGGCTCCCTGCAACCTCAACCTCCCAGGCTCAAGTGATCCTCCCGCCTCAGCCTCCTGAGTAGATGGAACTACAGGCACACACCACCACACCCAGCTACTTATAATTTTTTTTTTTTTAAATAGAGATGGGAGTCTCACTCTGTTGCCCAAGCTGATAACTCCTGGGCTCAGGGTATCTTCCCACCTCAGCCTCCCAAAGTGCTGGGATTACAGGCATGGGTCACTGTAACCTGAAGGTTATTTTTTTCATTACATTTTGTTATACTTTCTGTATAACGCTTTTATAATAAGAAAGACAATAAATATTTTAATAAACAGCTATAAACAACTTTGGCAAACACTGTGATACATATTATAGATTTAGGAAGATGAGTACACAGAAGCCAAAAACAAATTAGATGTTTTACAGTCAGTACTTAATAGTCAAAAACTTCAACAATTAAAAAAGCACCCAGAAATCACATAACTACATGCTGTGTCAAAATATTACTTTATTTAAATTAAAATGTAAAGCTGATTAAAGACTGCACTGAAAAAGTAGGCAGGAAGCCAGAGAAATTCCTGCTTGTAACAGGGTCTCAGTTTTCGTCATCACCACCCTGGTCCAAGTCATTATCATGACTAGCAAGACATGTAGTCCAATCCTAGCAACATCTTGTAATCTAGATTTTAGCTCAATATAAGATCTGAGTGAGACCTTCTCTGAGCACTTAAATTCTTCCTCCTAGCCCATTCCCCACCAATTCACTTTCCAGTTTTATATCTGCTCCCCTTCTTCCCCTCTTTGTCTGTCTTTCACACTGCTACATCCACAGCAACAAGAACAATGCCCAGAATATAGGAGGCACTCAAATTTCTAACAGAATAAATGAATGAAATCTACTTTCATCTCTCTTTTGCTAGAGTTTGCTTCCCTTTTCCCCTGCCCTTTAAACAGAAATGTGAAAGAAAAGAACATATTCATACCAGGCAGTTTCACAAAGGTCCACAAATTAGTAATCAAAAAATGGAGCTAGGCTAACAGTGGTAATGAAAAAACAAAAAACTCCAGTACATCTCAGATTTCTCTTTCCTCATAAACATACAGATGCAATAGCAACAAGTGGTGGAGAATGCTTAGCATGCTCTCAACTCACCTTAACTTAGCTGGAAAAGGCAGTTACTGGAAACAACTTCAGTCTGAGAGAGAGCCTCTCTAACTAAAATATCAACGGCTGAATTATGGGGGAAAGCATCCAGCTACCAATTCTACCAGATGTACCACACATCCCTAGGCTTCGTTTTTCACATGTAATACCAGTTCTGATGATTAGCTCTCTGGTAGTGGTTTGGACAATTCCAGACAAACTGCTTCCAGGGTTTGTGGAGAAACAGGATTAACCCTTTCCTCACTACCGAAAGTCCTCTGAAGGCACCTCTTCTATTTTCAATGCAATTAACCTCTAGTTACCTGGAAACAGATGCCCCAAAATGGTGATGGGCGATCTCTTCTCTGCAGACAGTAGCATAGTTATCTAATTTTCTAATATTGCCAAGGCCTAATTTCAAATCCAGCCTTTTAGCACATACAAAAGCAGATAGATTGGTATCAAGAATGAGGAATCCTACATTCTCACACACCGGACCTCTAGTCAAGCAGGGATGGCCATGTAGGCAGAGATGCTGCTTAAGAGAGGCTAATAGCCTCAGGGAGGGTACAGCAATGGGGTTCCCACCAGGGTGGGGCTGAAGCCTAACTCAGGTTAAGTCTCTGGACACGAGAAGCCAGAGTTCCCTGTGGCTGTCCTTTCCTAGACATTGTTGGTGTTGATATTGCTGCAAATCACATGGATTGCCCAGCTCAGTTAAGCTCAAGAAGAGAAGAGATCTGGCAACCATGGGGCAGGGAGGCTCAAGTATACAAAGGTGTGAAAACTGCATCTTATTCAATTTGCTAACCTCAGCCTCTGGAGTACTTGACACATTAAAGGTACTCAGGGTTGCAAAGGATGTAATAAATTCATTTTAACTTCAACTTTGGCAAACTTGTAGTGCTATGTAAGTTTTCCCATTTAAAAAATGGGAATATCTTTAATCACAAGTATTTGAGAATGAGGCCGTGCTTGGTGGCTCATACCTGTATTCCCAGTACTTTGGGAGGCCGAGGCGGGTGGATCACTTGAGGTCAGGGGTTCCAGATCAGCCTGACCAACACGGTGAAACTCCATCTCTACTAAAAATATAAAAAAAATTAGCCAGGCGTGGTGGCGCATGCCTGTAATCCCAGCTACTTGGGAGGCTGAGGCAGGAGAATCGCTTGAATCCAGGAGGTGGAGGTTGCAGAGAGCCGAGACTGCACCATTGCACTCCAGCCTGGGCAACAAGAGTGAAACTCTGTCTCAAAAAAAAAAAAGAAAGAAAGAAAAACCAACACACACACACACCAAAAAAACAAGTATTTGAGAATGAAATAATTTAAGGTATAAGAGTGCATTTTTTGAATTCCAAAAGAAATATAAGGGGTGATAGCATCTGTGTTGCTCAAATATGCTCAAAAATAGATATCTTAGTGGCTAAAAGCAGTACCTTGCTCTCACTGAATTTTTTGTTTGTTTTTTGAGACAGGGCCTCAATTTGTTGCCCAGGCTGGAGTACGATGGTGCAATCATAGCTCACTGCAGCCTCGAACTCCTGGGCTCAAGAAACCTTCCCATCTTAGGCTCCCGAGTAGCCAGGACTACATGCGTGTGCCACCATGCCAGCTACGTTTTAAGAATTCTTTTTTGGCTGGGCACGGTAGCTCATGCCTGTAATCCCAGTACTTTGGGAGGCTGAGACGGGCAGATCACGAGATCAGGAGATTGAGACCATCCTGGCTAACACGGTGAAACCCCATCTCTACTAAAAATACAAAAAAAATTTTAGCCGGGCATGGTGATGGGTGCCTGTAGTCCCAGCTACTGGGGAGGCTGAGGCAGGAGAATGGCATGAACCCAGGAGGCGGAGCTTGCAGTGGGCCGAGATCGCGCCACTGCACTGCACTCCAGCCTGGGCAATACAGTGAGACTCCATCTCAAAAAAAAAAAAAAAAAAGAATTTGTTGTTGTTGTTGTTGTTGTTGTTTTGTTTTGTTTTTGGTAGAGATGGGGGTCTCGCTACGTTGCACAGGCTGGTCTCAAACTCCTGGCCTTAAGCAGTCCTCCCACCCAGGCCTCCCAAAGTGTTGGGATTACAGATGTGAACCACTGTGCCTGGCCTCACTGATATTTTTAATTCCATAAAGTGGGCAGTCTAAGTTGGAAGAACTTATATTTTTCTTATGGGCTGCAATACAGCTAATTTCATTGTGAACGAAAACAAAAATGCCAGTAAGCACAAAACACATAAAACAAAAACCTTGCTGCCAGTATTCTAGAAGACAACCTGTAGTTAGTCCTACTTTGATTCTGATGGGTTTTTTCCTCCAATTTTCTATCTTCGAGAGACTTCCATAATCATTAAGTATTACCTCAAATGCCTTTGTAATGCCATAAGCAGATTATAAGCTTACAGAGATAACTCTTCATTTGCTGACAACTGTATCTAAGAGGTTTTTCCCTCTACAATCAAGGGATAGACACTTCTTGCTCGGCAAAGATTGGATGTTTTCTTGTTCTGCAAAGATTTGGATGTTTCACTAAGAATTTATCAAAAGTTGTTTGGCTTTTTTTTTAAAAGAATACTTTTTCAATCATAATTCGTACATATGTATGTGTATTGTCTACATGGTGGGGTCATAAACTTTTTCTTGATTACATATTCATGGCCCAAAATAAAAAATTTTTTAAAAGCCTAATATAAGGTCTGACTACAGAGATAAACATAATTAATATTTTATTACATTATTTATAGTCCTTTACCCCATCATTACATACATATCTTACACATATTTAACAAAATTTGAATCACCTATACATATTATTTTGTTAAATATATATGCTTTACAGGCCAGGCATGGTGGCTTACACCTGTAATCTCAGCATTTTGGGAGGCCAAGGTGGGCGGATCACTTTGAGGTCAGGAGTTCGAGACCAGCCTGGTCAACATGGTGAAACCCTGTATCTACTAAAAATACAAAAATTAGCCGGGCGTAGTGGCACACGCCTGTAATCCCAGATATTCTGGAGGCTGAGGCAGGAGAATTGCTTGAACCTGGGACATGGAGGCTGCAGTGAGCTGATATTGCACCACTGTACTCCAGCCTAGGTGACAGAGTGAGACCTTGTCTCAAAATAAATAAATAAATAAGCTTTATGAATGTCAAGCATTAATGTAATGTAATTAGTCTAAAATACAAGTAGTAGTGCTGTTTATGAAAATAAAACATGGTGTCAACCAGGGCTCCAGAACCAGTTCTCACCATCCTAGTGCTACTATCTCACCATCCTAGCACTAATTATTGTTATTATTGTTGTTACTTTTTTAGAGGCAGGGTCTTGCTCTGTCATCCAGTCTGAAGTGCGGTAGCACAATCATAGCTCACTAGAGCCTCAAACTCCTGGGCTTAAGCAATCCTCCTGTCTCAGCCTTCCTAGTAGCTTGGACTACAGGCATGCACCACCACACCTGGCAAATTTGTTTTTTTGTTTGTTTCTTTTACAGATGGGGTTTTGCTATGTTGCCCAGATTGGTTTTTAACTCCTGGCCTCAAGCCATTCTCCTGCCTCAGTCTTCCTAGTAGCTAAGATTACAGGAGTGAGCTACCATGCCTGCACACATACTAATTATTAATGAGCTGGCTCTGCAGATAATTAGTGCTCATAATTGAGTTTATAATTGTATGAATACTAAACCCTTACCCTGACAATGAAGAGGCTTAACGAATGATCTTGCGATCATAAGATCTATGCTTTAAAAATGTACCCCTAAAAGGCAGACTAACACTTCAAAAACCAAACCAAGTACCCAAAATAGGTTGTGCTGGCTTCTGGTTTACAATTATACATCTGTGCTCACTGAACAAAATCCCTTCAGGCTAGAAAAACTGATTTAAACTGGAAAGGCTGTTCTTCAACTGGGAAATTGTTAGAGCTTTTCTATATTGCTTTCAGAACAATGGCGAGGGAAGAGTAAAATAATGAAAATGCAACTCCTTTCCCAACATTAGTTAAGTAATGTTAGCCAGAAGATAATACGAATAAGATTTCGACAATTTCAATAAGCAGAGGCATGTTTCCTTCCCTTGGAAAATAAAGAAAATAACTCTACCAGCTTTTAAATAAGAACTAATAGGCCGGGCGCAGTGGCTTACACCTGTAATCCCAGCACTTTGGGAAGCCGAGGAGAGTGAATCACTTGAGGTCAGGTGTTCAAAACCAGCCTAACCAACATGGCAAAACCCCATCTCTACTAAAAATACAAAAATTAGCTGGGCGTGGTGGCACGCACCTGTAGTCTCAGCTACTTGGGAGGCTGAGGCAGGAGAATTGCAAGAACCCAGGAGATGGAGGTTGCAGTGAACCGAGATCATGCCACTGCACTCCAGCCTGGGCAACAGAACGAGACTTTGTCTCCAAAAATAAAATAAAATAAGAACTAATAAAGGATAACTTTTTGAAATTAGTGGCTCTACTACACAACCGTCTTTTGCTCCCTGAGCTTTCTGACAAATCCTTTTAAATAATATGAACCATGTTTACCAATTACATTTCAAAGGTGACATTACTTCTTTCTTCATTTGCATAGAACTATATAAAAAGATAAAAGTAAAGTCATTTAAACAAGTCCTACTTCTTTTCCCTTTCAAGTAGGTAGGAAGAAATATCCAGAGGGAAAGGTAAGTAGAATGTTAATGTAAGTATCCTTTGCACTTACCCCAGTGATATGAATTAAGCAAATTGCCTGACACATAATAGATATCGACATAAATTTGTTCCATGAATTTATTAAGGCTCCACTTCAAGCATATCCAATATTCAAAAGTTAAGATGTATACAATGGAAATTATGGAGTGTATTTAGGACTTATTTTCATATAAAAATTGATTTTTAGATTTTTTGGGGGGTATCAGAAGTATACATGGCAACTTCTGCATTTGGGTTTTTAACTTCTGTTATAAGTTGTAACCTCTCTTTAAAGAGCAATCCTTGCAGCTGTTAACAACAGAGGTAAAAAGGGAAGACATATTCTCCTCTGCTCTTTCATCCTTCCTTAAACTTAATGTTTAAGAAAGTCTACAAAGTTAAAAACAAACAAGATTAGGATGCAATTTATCAGCATAAGTACTTTGACCAAAATGAAACCTTAAAATGGCTACGAAAAGGGACAGCTAGATCATTTGTGTATGTATAATCAACCCTCCTTCGATTCACTGTGGAAAATGAGTAGCTGTATTCAAACTCCAGATAACACTAATTTTAACATAAAATGATCTGATAACTTCTTATGGCATATAGTAGCAAAATTAAAAATCCCGAGGGAGGCCGGGCACGGTGGTTCACACCTGTAATCCCAACACTTTGGAAGGCCAAGCTGGAGAGATCGCTTGAGCTCAGGAGTTTTAGACCAGCGTTGGCAAGAATTTCCCAGGTGAAGAACAGCCTTTCCAGTTTTGTAGAGATGAGATGAAACCTCAGTTCTACAAAAAATACAAAAATAAGCCAGGCATGGTGGTGGGCGCCTGTAGTCCCAGCTGCTCAGGAGGATGAGGTGGGAGGATTGCCTGAGCCTGGGAGGCGGAGGTTGCAGTGAGCCAAAATCACACCACTGCACTCCAGCCTGGGTAACTGAAACCCTATCTCAAAAAAAAAAACAAAAAACAAAACAAAACAAAACAAACAAAAAAAAAACATCCGCAGGGAAAAGGGGAGATTTTGAATATAAGCAAAGTCAAAGTTTCTCCTCCTTCTCCAAATATCACACACTTACAGAGTATGGACTCTGGCCACATGCCACCACTGATACCATTTTCAATGTGTTTTTCCCACTGAAAAATTCAGTGCAAGAGTATCATATTTTAAGGTGAATTTTTTTTTTTTTAGACGGAATCTCATTCTGTCACCTAGGCTGGAGTGCAGTGGTGCATCCCACCTTCTGGGTTCAAGTGATTCTCCTGCCTCAGCCTCCCAGAGTAGCTGGGATTACAGGCGCCCACCCCCACACCTGACTAATTTTTGTATTTTTAGGAGAGATGGGATTTTGCCATGTGGGCCAGGCTGGTCTTGAACTCCTGACCTCAGGTGATCCGCCTGCCTCAGCCTCCCAACATGCTGGGATTACAGGCGTGAGCCACTGCGCTTGGCCTGATTTTTTTTTTGAAAGAGGTAGGGTGGGTGGAAATATTTCCACTGTTTGAGTATTAGCTCCAGATGCTTCTATTCCAAACTTCTCACTATTCTTGAATAAATATTTCTTTAAGGGCCTCTAATAAGCAGCAGATTCTATGTTTGATTCTTTTAGGGGACTATTTGAAAAAAAAAAAATCTAAATGTGATTCTCTTTCTTATCTTCACTATTTTTATCCTAAATGGCTTCTTTTTCCTTTAGTTATGGTATCTAACAGAATTTTTATTCAGCTAAAAATTTCTGGAGGTCTGAGAATCATTTGAAAGCACAGGCTTTAGAAAAGGGAAATACCAGTTAGCTGATGTCTAGGATGTTTGCATCTCCTGTTTCAGTATTTTAATTTCACAAAAGAAAAACATGTTTGGTGAATGTACACATAGAATTTAGGCCTTGTGGTAATATCTAAAATGACATGCTTGCACCTGATTTATTAAAGGAAAATTGTCCTTAACTGGGTGTACCTTTGAAGGGTAACAAGCAAAAATTCCAAATGTGCATCCTCTATTATATCAGTAACCTCCTTCCAACTGAAGGTTAAAGAAACCTAGAGTTCTAGTAGTTTGACGATCCCTCTGTGAATCAGGGAACAATAAGTAATAAGGCTCAGAGACCAAATCCACAACACTATCTTGGTAAATCTTCATTTATTTGATTTTTTTGAAAAATGACTGGTTTTATGATGAAAAAAAAATAATGGGATCTTAAAAGTAAAATAAAGTACTTGTATGTGCTTAACCCACAAGCATTCATGTTTGAAACATGACTAAAAAGGTAAAGAGATGTTTTACACTTTAGTACTTCCTCTTGACTAGAAATGAAAAGATTGCAATACTGCATGTGGCAGGATTCCTCTTAGGAGTGTCCTGTGCAGATTAGCCATTGATCCCACATCATTAGCCAGTTCAATAACACAAGGCTGAACAATTTCCCCCTGGTACACATGCTAAACTTTGAGCAGTAACTTACTGAATAGCAGAGCCCAACTAACAGCCATATTGCTAATTAAAGAACTTGTAATTTCCCAAAATGTAGAGTACCCTCGTATTACCAATAATTTTTCAAGTGCAACTGTGTAAAACAAAGCCAGAGATTTTCAAGTGGCCCCCAAGATAAATCAGCGTATGCTTTTCTTTTTCTTTTTGAGATGGAGTTTAGCTCTTATTGCCCAGGCTGGAGTGCAATGGCACGATCTCAGCTCACCGCAATCTCTGCCTCCCGGATTCAAGCAATTCTCCTGTCTCAGCCTCCCAAATAACTGGGATTAAAGGCACGTGCCACCACGCCCGGCTAATTTTGTATTTTTAGTAGAGATGGGGTTTCTCCATTGTTGGTCAGGCTGGTCTCAAACTCCCAACCTCAGGTGATCTGCCCGCCTCAGCCTCCCAAAGTGCTGGGTATACAGGCTTGAGCCACTGCATCTGGCCTAGCATATGCTTTTCACACATAATGCAGGTGGCATTATTACTTAGGCTCTAACTGATAGAGCCTAAGTAAGGTCTCAAGACCACCTGAGAGATGCACTACTTCAGATGCCTAATTTGGCAACCAACCAGAGTTGGTACAATTGCAATACACAGATATACATGACCTCCAAAGAGCTCAAGCTTGAGAACCCAACTCCCTGTGGATTTTATTGCTAATTAATTTTTTCAGACTAGAGGCAGTTTAAATTCATCCCTAATGCAGAGTTGAGTATGCAAAATATTCTTAATTACCAATTTATGTTTTCCTTCAAAACACTGAAAATGTAAATGCCAAAGAGAGGTGGCACCAAATTACTGGAAAGTTACCATTGGAAGCCTTTGAGTCACAAAGTTGAGTAGTCTTTAGGATGCAGAAATATATTAGACCAAGCCTGATTCCTCAGAGATGTAGAGAATTTGTTGAAATATAGTTTAGCACTTCACAATATCAAAACTCCTGAAATAAAATGCTTCTCATTTCACTTACAAAACAAAACAAAACAAAACAAAACTCCTTTCTAAATAGAATCATGAATCCTTAGTTTTCTCCTTTAAGAAAAAGATGAGGTTCAGGGAAGTAATGACTTCACCTGGACATTAAAACACATGTCTTCAGCTCTTTTTATTTCTTCTTTAAATGACAAAGGAACTACATTTCTCAAAAATATCCCCCCTATAATTGTATGCTAGTCACTGCATCAAACTTTGTTTTGGAATGACAAATAGACTTTCCTTAGGATGGGAAATTTCTTATTTACATGGCTATCTAACATGTCTGTTATGATTGTACAGAAGAGATTATATTTGCATGTAAATACATACATAAAGACTGAACTAGTAATTGTAAAGATAAGTATAAATAGAGATGAATTATAGTGAAGGGAGATATAGGAGAGAAAAGAGTTAAATTCAGTCATGTAAATACTGTACTGAAAAGACTCTAATATGAGAGAACCATAGTGAGGAAATAGTCTAAAATGGTATTAAACTCCATTCTATAAAACAGACAAGGCTAAATTATTCTTATTCCATTACCACATAATGGTATAGGACTACTGTAAACCAATTACCTTATAGAATAGTTGCTAGGTATAGTTCTCAAGCCTGCAACAGCGATTGTGGGTATTTAATTTTAACCCTTGGTAGGAAATGAGGAAGGGTGATTTTTCTCTTATTCAGGAAATCAAATAACAAGCAAGTCAGACTTCCCAGATTCACAGCACAGAAGCCAGCAGCTTTAAGCTGTTTCACAGATAAACAGTTCAATCATTCTAGGAGAGAAACCTAAAATTTCCTACCAAAGTATTTTTAGGTGGTAAAATTCTCTATCAAAAAACAAAACAAAACAACAATCAAATTGGCAATCTAATGGGGAGGTTAGAAAGCAAACCACACACAGTCTAGATAAGTTGCTATGTCTGTTGTAAAATTTAACCCTTTGGAGATATACATAACAGAATGCCTACATCAAGCACTTGGGTATTCTGCTTTATTGCTGAGCCTAGCCAGGCAGAAAACCATTTTTTTGCTGCCACAGAGATAATGCCACTAATGTGACCCTGGGCTCTGAGAAAAGAGCCATGATCTCCTCTAACCAATTAAGGGGTGGTGTGGACCAGGCTCCAAATGAGCTGCACAACAGTGGCCACTCAGCATTTCCTTCTCGGCAGAATGGGGAGAAGGAGAAGAAAACCAGAGACAACAAGCCTCTTTCAGAGATACAAGGAATTTTCACAGAGGATAGCAGATTCCCTACAAATGAAGTTCAATGAAAAACAATCTCACCGCCAGAAGCCGAGGCACAAACAGACGATGCCCCATCCCCAGAAGTTCCAGCACTCGACACGCATACTCATTCACCAGCTTGCTCCTCTCGTCGTGCATGTCCTGGGACTTTTTGACAGGAGGTGTGAGCTTAGCAGCTGGGGCTGGGCAGGGCACCCCTTCTTCCATGAGCACTAAGTAGGTATCCAGAATGAGAAAGATGGATCTCTTATCCACAATATTAAGAACTGCGGTGGGAGGGGAGCCAGGTTTAGGTCTCCCTGGGAGGACGTACAAGCCAGTCTGTGGTGGGAATTGTCAGCTAATGTCTCCACAAGAAAAACATTTTGGCTAAATTATCCACTGCGAGAACCCCAAAGTAGACTGGAAAATGAAAATGAAATCAAGTACTGATCTAAATAAAAAACGGCAAAAGCAATCGAATGCGAGAAAATGGCCAAGAGTGATGCAGGAGAGTTCAGATACATGTGTAAAAACGGACAAGCTGCTTAGAAGGGTCTAGCATGTGAGAATGTGTGAGAGTGTGTGTGTGTGTGTGTGTGTGTGTGTGTGTGTGTGTGTGTGTGTGTGCGAGAAAGGGTGTGTGTGCGTGTCTATGTGTGAGAAGACAGCAGCAGCAGTAGCCAGGAAGCCAGGGCAGTTGTGAAGCTGCAAGGAGAAAACGATGAGCTCATTGCAATCCTCGATTCGTGACAAGCAGCGCTGTTGTTGCTGCTGCTGCTGCTACTGCTGCTGCTGCTGCCTCTCGCTGTGAATCAGTAATGAAGGGGTAGGGAAGGAAGGGGAGGGAAGAGGAGGAGGTAGGTGAATGAGCATGCAGAGTGTGTCTCAGGGGAGAATGCTGTAATAAGAAGCCAATGGCGAGCCATTGGACAGATGCGCTTCCCCCTCCCAGTCTACCTTCAATCAGTGTTAGTCTGACAGCTTATGCTGTTGAATCCTAAGCCACAGAGAGATGAACTAGCTTTTCCTAACATGTGACGCTCACAGAAAAAAATCAGACAGCCAGTCATCTGAACAGCTGACCTTTATTCACTCTTGCTTTCTAACAACGAGAATAGATCTTATACTTGGATTTAAAGTGGGATGTTCCAATCCTTATTAGATGACTGAAACCGCTACAGAAGAGAGGTATTAGGGTAAAATGATAGAGTATGGACAGAAGAGCCAAAGACCAAGCAACCAAGAAATGACACACCCTCAAGTTGAAGTGTTTATGCAATAATAATGACTCTTTGCAATGCAAATACAAGAAGCATTTCAGGATTCTGGGAAGGCTGGCCATGATTAAAAGGAAGATTTTTGTAAACAAGCAATATGATAAATAATAAAAACCTAACACGTATTAAGAGTATACATTTAAAGAACTATTAGAATTGAAATTCTCAAAGCAAAAATAACTTTTGTATGCCACAGACCTTGATAAACACTCAGCTAATAGTTGAAAACATTGTTCTGATAAATCTCTGGTCAAATTAATCCTTCCCCAGTAATATAAAAATTATCCATAGTTCAAAATTTTACAATCTTAGTGCTAATGTGTTATATTAGTTTACTTGTTGTGAATAAATAATCAGTTGTAGCCAAATGAAGGCAAAATGACCAAATCACCATAGGGACAGTCTCTTAACTTTATCCTAACAATTAACTAATCCATATTCAGCATCTTGATTCTGTGGTTCTGTAGTTGCTCTCTTAAGTACCAGGCTGGTTTCTCCATACAAATTATAGCATGGTACAAAGAGAAACAAGGCTAAGAGAGCCAGAGCATGTATTTTGTGAGTCTTAGTTTTCTACTCTGACAAATAAGAGTTACATATCTACAAATAACCAAATAGAAACATATTTATTGATGTATGTCTGTAGGCCTAAATAAATAGATTAATTATGAAAATGAGCTTAAAGAAATAGGAAGGGAGATTCTGCCTCCCTTAACAATATATTATTTGGTTTTGTTTTTCCAAAATCTCAGAAAAACAAGAATTTTAAGAAATTTAACATTTAAGTATTATTTAACAAGTTATTTTAAATGAAATATTTATATATTGCTGTCAAGCCTTTTATCTCTTCCAAAAATGATTTCTTTTTTTTTTTGTTTGAAACGGATTGTCGCTCTGTCACCCAGGCTGGAGTGCAGTGGCAGCATCTCAGCTGCAAGCTCTGCCTCCCGGGTTCACATCATTCTCCTGTCTCAGCCTCCCGAGTAGCTGGGACTACAAGCGCCCGCCACCACACCCAGCTATTTTTTTTTTTTTTTTTTGTATTTTTAGTAGAGATGGGGTTTCACCGTGTTAGCCAGGATGGTCTCGATCTCCTGACCTTGTGATCCGCCTGCCTCGGCCTCCCAAAGTGCTAAAATGATTTCTTAACAAACTAAATAAAGTAGAGCTAGGAACAGTAGTGTGTGCCTGTATTCCCAGCTACTCCAGAGGCTGAGGTGGGAGGATCCTTTGAGCTCAGGAGTTCCAGGCTCTAATGTGCTACGTTCCTGCCTGTGAACAGCCACTACACTCTAACCTGGGCAACATAGTGGAACCCCATCTCTAAAAACAAAAACAAAAAACTATGCAAAGTAAAGATCTTAATGTAAAATGATCATAAGCATAGAATATTACGTATATACAAATAAATTTCAGGTCCTAAAGTTCTGGAGTAAATGTTTGATGTACTGCCTAGGATGAGGATAGGTTCAGCTGGAAGAGGGAGGCCATAAGAAGGAAAAGGTTCTGGGCCTTTCATACTGTATCCCTAAACACACACACACACCCACACCCACACACCACACACCACACCCCACACACACACACACATCCCCCCACACCTCCCCATACCCCACACCACACACACACTCCCCACACACCCCCCCACACACCCACACTCCCACTCCACACTACACGCCCACACACCACCACATACACCCCCACACATCACACCCCCCACACCCTCCTGCACACACCCACAGACACACCACACACACACCCCCTACACACACATCCCACACACCACACACACACACCCCCCCAACACCACGCACATTTAGACACACACACACTCCCCTCAGCTCCATTTTTACCTTGTATATATACTGGTGTTCTGCATTAAATTTTGTTTGATAGGACTGTGCTACTGCTATGTACAGCACTGCCATAGACATTTCACATTTAAGAACAAGGGAACATCCTGAATTGCTCTTAAATGTGAATGAAGAATTCAGTGACTTCTTAGGTTATAGGATTTTTTTCTAGTTGACTTTTTAAAGGGTAGGGAAGATGTTTCCACTCAACTAACTTGGTCTTGAAAAGTACTAGCTGAAGCATTTTTTCTTACATAAACCAGAAACAGGACTTGCCCAAAAAGATTCCAGTAAAAATAAGTAAAAATTAATCAAAATGATTTTGGAACTGTATGGTTTGGCTCTGATGCTCACAAAAAGAAGTTAAAATCATATATACTATGTATTAAATGTAATAATTAAAATATGATTTTTTTTTTTTGAGACAGAGTCTCGCTCTGTTGCCCAGGCTGGAATGCAGTGGCGTGATCTCAGCTCATTGCAACCTCCGCCTCCCAGGTTCAAGCCATTCTGCTGCCTCAGCCCCACGAGTAGCTGGAATTACAAGCATGTGCCACCATGCCCGGCTAACTTTTGTATTTTGAGTAGAGATGGGGTTTCACCATGTTGGCCAGGCTGGTCTTCAACTCCTGACCTCATGATCTACCCGTCTCGGCCTCCCAAAGTGCTGGGATTACAGGTGTGAGCCACCGTGCCCAGCAAAATATGTTATCTTAATGAGCAAACCAAGTTTCACTTAAAACAGTTAGGTATGTTTAACAAAATGCTGTGTACAAGGCACTACAACAAGTGGTCATGTACTTCAGTTTCCCCATCAAAAATCCCTCATGTTTCCTTCATGCTTCCCCTCAAAAATCCTTGCATTCAAAATTTCCATCATTTCTGCCCTGGTCCTTTTTTCAGGATATTCTTTCAGAATAGAATGTTCATCAATATCAGGTAAAATGATTCTTCTAGAACACTACTTGGTGAAATGAAAAAAGAGATTCTAGGGATTTTTGAAGCCCTAAAAGCATCACTCATTTCAGTGAGCTTTTCCTCCTCTTCCTCCCCAAATCCCAAATACTTTTTTTATTGTTGTTGCGATTCAGTAATAAATCACAGAACAATCACAGAACATTCTTCTTTTGAAATGGCGTCTTGCTGTGTTACCCAGGCTGATCTTGAACTCCTGGGCTCAAGGGATCTCCTACCTCAGCCTACTGAGTAGCTGGGATTATAAGCATGTACCCAACAGAACACTTCACAGAAAACATTTCTGAGTTATAAAGTAGTCCATAAAATGGAATAAGAGAAAAGAAACTCTTCCGATTTAACTAGTTAATAATGCATGATTTCTCACATTTCTTTTGGATGAATCACCCATAGAGAAGAAAAACTTATTCCCTCTATCCTCCTAGGTTCTCTGCCTGGGGCCCTGCAAATAAGTCTGAGACAATACAGGTTAGCAAGATAAACATAAACAGAACTTTATTAACACATGTAGTATGCACACACATGGGAGAAACTCAGTAATGACTAACTCAAAGGAGTGGTTAGTACTTGGGGCTGAGGCCAGGCACAGTAGCTCACACCTATAATCCCAGGACTTTGGGACGCCAAGGCAGGCAGATGGCTTGAGCCCAGGAGTTCAAGACCAGCCTGAGCAACATGGCAAAAACCTTGTCTCTATAAATAATTATAATAATAACAACAATAATTAATCATGGTGGCACACACCTGTAGTCTGAGCTAACCAGGAGGCTGAAGTGGGAGGATCACTTGAGCCTGGAAAGCCAAGGCTGCAATGAGCCACTATTGTGCCACTACACTCCAGCCTTGGTGAGAAAGTGAGACCCTGTCTCAGAAAAACAAAAACTTGGGACTTGGGGTTTATTAGCATGTTAATAAGGAACAATACTTCTGTAGAGAAGTGATAAAACAAAGGAAAAGGACTTTGAGCTCCTAGGGTGACAAATTGTAGGAAGGCAAATATATGGGGAAACTTATGACAGATAAAGACTAGTTAATAAGGTTTGTTTGTATAGACTCTTTCTTGGTGCCATCTCCTCTCCATTTATAAGGTTGCTATCCCTTTGCTGGTATGGAAAGTGAGTGGCGAGGCACCTTCACAAGAGGAATTTATGCTTGACTTTCAGGCATACGGGGGATGGCAGAGAGCTTGTCCTATGTCTGCTTTTCCTTAATCGCCTTTACCTCAAAATAATCCTTATGCCACAGTGATATACTGGGGGGGAGGGGTGACATATTCTGAATCCTTTCATACCCAATAAGAGAGAGTAAGAGAAAAAACCAGGCAATGGTCCCAAAGCCATGGTCTAATGACTAGAAGTGTCATTCTCTGGAGTACTGGAAGCAGGTGGTCAGTGCTGCAATCCCAGTTAGAGCCTTGCACTTGAGAATGCTCTTCCTGAACCACTCCACTGTGTCATGGTTATCAGACATATTCAGGACACATATAGATTTCCATTGTAAAATGAAAAGCACATTTGACTTAATTCATGGACCTATAATTAAGAAAACTGAATGTAACAAAACATGCTAGGTAGTTATTTCAGTAGTTACAAAAATGAAAAAGGAAACACCTTCTGACCTGCAGGAGCTTAAAATCAGGGAGGTATCCAAATACAAAGATAAAGTAGGGTGTGATGGACACTATAAAAGGGGTGACACACTGTGTGCTATGAGGTAGGTATGTCTTTGTTGTCCACAGTAGATGCAGACAAAAGTGGGTTTATACTACTGGGATGGGCCTAGACAAAAATCCAAGAGTAATGATAATTAAATATATCTCTAAGACCAAAACAGGGCATTGCTTATTACATCATCTTTTAGTCACATTTACTAGCTGTATGACATGAATAAGTTACTTAGCCCTCTGAGCTTCTGTATGGCAACATCACCTAGCTGGCAAAGCTGCTCTGAAAATTTAATAAATTAATGCATATAAAGGAACCTCTCGTAGAGCCTAGCACATGGTAGGTGCTCAACAACTAGTAGTTTTTTTCATTCTTTCCAGGAAATCACATAGAAGAAAAGAAAATGTGTAAAAATACATTGCGTTTATCTGGGTTAGGGTTTAGAAAGACAAAAAGAACTTTGGATATATTCACAATAGAAAGAGAGTTAGTCAAACACTGAAAAGACATTCCTGTCAGATCACCTGCCTCTTCGGTTCACTAAGACACAGACACATCAATAAGTAGCAAAGGATCCATGCCCTTCTTGACTAGGAGAGCAAAACCTAATTCTCTAGCTATTCTTTGCCTGATTGACAATTTTTAAAAAGATGAACCTTCAATGATTTTGCAAGTTCCTAAGATCCAGCAAACAGGTCAAAATACAGATGACACAGTGAGTAGTGGTGCCATCGTGGTAGTGTAAAATCCTGCACAAATCACACTCTTTCTTTCATTCAAGTCTTGATTCTGGGCCGGGCATGGTGGCTCACACCTGTAATCGCAGCACTTTGGGAGGCCGAGGTGGGCGGATCGCTTGAGGTCAGGAGTTTGAGACCAACCTGGCCAACATATCATAAACCTGTCTCTACTAAAAATACAAAAATTAGCTGGGTGTGGTGGTTGCATACCTGTAATCCCAGCTACTGGAGAGGCTGAAGCAGGAGAATCACTTGAACCTGGGAGGCAGAGGTTGCAGTGAGCCAAGATCATGACACTGCACTCCAGCCTGGGTGACACAGTGAAAATCCATCTCAAAAAAAAAAAAGTCTTGATTTTGCTCAACACTGTACTATATGCTTCTGGATATAGAAAGACAGATCAGATGCTGCTTTCTAACTTTAAGGATTATTCAAGCTACTTAAAAGCTAAAATGAAATGTAATGAGACTGAGCTTACAAGTTGTATCACAGGGAAATGAGTCTCATTATTTTATAGTTGGAACTCAAACATCGAAGAATTAGAGTACAATATAGAAGATACTGTGCAGTTACCTGACATTTTGGTAGGTGGTTGAGGTCACATGTTTATAGCATCTCTGTAAAATATTGTAGACTTACCTAGCTTTTTAGGAATGCTCTAACCTTGTAAAATTTAAGGCATAACTGTTAAAGAAGGTTTTTTGTTTTTAAATAGAAAGGAGAACTTTCCCCTACCAAAAGCAATTTAATAACATTCTGAATAGTCTTGGTAGCATCACTAATACCTATTGCCAATCCTTGTGATCAGATTCTACTGTAATGCCTTTATTAATGTAAGAATGTCTTATGGTCTGTAGAGAGTCATTTTGTTTCTACTTGGTTTTTCTTTATCTTTTTCTTTTTTTCTTTTTTTTTGGAGATGGAGTTTCGCTCTTGTTAACCAGGCTGGAGTGCAGTGGCATAATCTTGGCTCACTGCAACCTCTGCCTCCTGAGTTCAAGTGATTCTCCTGCCTCAGCCTCCCAAGTAGCCGGGATTACAGGTGCTCGCCACCACACCCTGCTAATTTTGTATTTTCAGTAGAGACGGGGTTTCACCATGTTGGTCAGGCTGGTCTCGAACTCCTGACCTCAGATGATCCACCCGCCTTGGCTTCCCAAAGTGCTAGGATTATAGGCGTGAGCCACCGCACTGGCCTGTTTCTACTTCTGTGTCATTATTGACATGTAGCTCAATAGGCTGCTTATCTTATTACTGGACATTTAGGAAAGGGCTATACTGTACATAGTAAGCCAGACATCTGAAACTTCTAGTAACTAGGCTCAGTTATATATAGTTTTAGTTGCTTTATTGAGTATGGCTGACATACAGAAAGTTGTAGATATTTTATATGTATAATTTGATGTACTTTGCCATAAGTATACACTTGTGAAACCATTATCACTATCAGTGCCGTAAACTTATCCATCATCTCTAAAAATTTCCTCCTGTTCCCTTTGTTTTGTTTTTCCTTTTGTGGTTAGAGCACTTCCTATAAGAGTCACCTCAATTAAATATTTTACAGCAACACAGACTAAGTCTACTTCTTTTTTTCCACGTGACGTTAATTAAAATATTCAAAGACAGTCTTAATTTTCTTTTCTCTAAGCTAATCATCCCTGCTGCAAACTGGGTCTCCTATGAGGTGGTTTCTGGACCATTCTAGACTATTCACAATCATGCTTGCTACTTCAAGAACACACTTTGGACAGTATCTCTCATAGGGCTGCCCAAACTGAAACAGATACTCTAGATATAACAGAATAATAAAGTAATGAAACCTTGTTGGACCCTAGAAAACACCAAGGTCTAACATGTTTATCCTGTTGAAAAGACTGAGGCAGTAGATAAGTGACTGCTCATCATCATAAAACTTGTCAGAGGCAGAGTCAGGAAGCCAAGATATTCAGAGCACAGATGCACGGCAGGGAACCTAGCATTTCCTGCACTGTAATCTGGTCTTTCAAGTAATGTATCCCATAAAGAACCTATCTTATTAGAAAGATTATGCTTCACCACTTTATTCCACGTGGAACTGGTCAGGAACCTGAGCCTGCCATCTGGTAAGAAAGAATCTAAGATTCTTAGGTTGAGTTGAGAAGGGGTATCCACAAGTCTGCCCTGAGAACTGTCACTTCTAAACACACAGTTGTTATAATAAAGCACATCTGCCTTCTCAATTTTTAACTGATAAGCACTTTCTTTTCCAGATGAACAGTTCAAGGAGCTACATCCTTGGCAGCTCAGCCACAGCGTCTCTGTAAGAGCTGCTTTCTTGAAGCCATGTTAGTGGCACAGGCTTGAAAATGGAATGCTATCTCAGTTCGTTCATCCCCTTTCCTGGACAGTGTGGATAAAGCTCATATTTATTTTCAAGCTTAAGCAGAAGGTATAAACATATGTTAGCAGAAGCCTGTTTTTAAATTTTGAATTGATCAGATTAAAATTATCGTGTATAGAATCTAGACTATTCCCTGATCCTCTCAAGCTAGACCAGCATTTTTTTATCTTTATGTGTGTGTATTGTCATTGCTGTTAAAAAATAATGAGGTGTTGTACTCATCCTAGTAAGTTGTGAATTGTCTCTACCTTCTTCCTATGGTCCATCTCCAATTCCCTATTAAATTTGCAATCTCTAACATCTTCATCTTCATATTACATAGAATGTTAGGTATATGTTTAACAGCTGTCACTGTAAAAAATAATATTTTCAATGGAGGAGTTATATGGGCCAACCCATGTATTAGCAAGTGAATTTATTTCTACAAAATTAATATGTCAAGATAGGGACATTCATTTTTTTTTCTTTTTTTTTTTTTGAGATGGAGTCTCTCTTCTTCACCCAGGCTGGAGTGCAATGGCACGATCTTGGCTCACTGCAACCTCTGCCTCCTGGGTTCAAGCAATTCTCCTGTCTCAGCCTCCCAAGTAGCTGAGATTACAGGCACGTGCCAGCACGCCAGGCTAATTTTTGTATTTTTAGTAGAGACGGGGTTTCACCATGTTGGCCAGGCTGGTCTCGAACTCCTGACCTCAAGTGATCCACCCACCTCAGCCTCCCAAAGTGCTGGGATTACAGGTGTAAGCCACCACGCTCAGCCTCATTTTTTTTTTCTTGAAATGGACAAGTCCATGTTGTGAAACAAAGGTGGTAATAGATTGCACAGCCTCCTCCCACTCTAGCTCTCCCACCATACATAAACACATACCCCCCGCCCCCTGCCCACACACACACACACACACTCATGGCTTCAAATAGATGCAGCAGAATTTCAGAAGGGCCTCTGCACCGTTTTTGCCGCCAATCTTCATATGGCTAGCTCTACTGCATCATTCAATTCCAATGTCATTTTGCTCACAGAGGCTTTCTCTTTTCTTTTTTTTTTTCACTTTTGTCGCCCAGGCTAGAGTGCAATAGCGCAATCTTGGCTCACTGCAACCTCTGCCTCCTGGGTTCAAGCGATTCTCCTGACTCCGCCTACTGAGTAGCTAGGATTACTGGCATTCAAAAATAGCCAGCCATCATGCCTGGCTAATTTTGTATTTTTAGTAGAGACGGGGTTTCACCATGTTGGTCAGGCTGGTCTCGAACTCCTGACCTCAGGTGATCTACCCACCTTGGCCTCCCAAAGTGCTAGGATTACAGGCATTAGCCACCGTGCCCGGCCCAGAGGCCTTCTCTCTTACTATCTTTATCTAATGAAGGGCAGTAAAAAATTTGTATTATTTCTTTTATGACATTTATCACCACTTGAAATTGTTTTCTTACTTCTTTGTTACGTATTCTCTTTTTTTTTTTTGAGACAAAGTCTTGCTCTGTCTCCCAGACTGGAATGCAGTGGCATGATCTCGGCTCACTGCAACCTCTGCTTCCCAGGTTTCAGTTATCCTCGTGTCTCAGCCTCCTGTGCAGCTGGAACCACAGGTGTGAGCCACCACAGCCAGCTAATTTTTTTGTATTTTTAGTAGAGATGGGGTTTCACTATGTTGGCCAGGCTGGTCTTGAACTCCTGGCCTCCAGTGCTCTGCACACCTCAGCCTCCCAAAGTGCCAAGATTACTGTCATGAGCCACCACACCTGGCCAGTTATGTATTATCTCTGTATCCAATTAGAAAATATCAGGGCAGGCTTACAGTGGAGAAGAGCAAGAGATTCAAAAAATGTTAATTGGCAAGGGTATTGAGAGGAAAACAAACACAAAATAAGATCCTTGTCTCAGCTTCTTCTATTAATTCATTCATTTTCACTTTGAAATATTATAATTTTACAGGGCCTTAGAACCTCTGTTTCCTTTAGCAACCAAGAGTCAACCACAGTGACCCCTTGACACATTTACAGATTTAACATTTATTGTTTCTGTTCTCCCCAGGAGACCCCACAGAGACACAACACAGTAACTTGTGGGTTTGCTGAGCAATGAACTGAGTCACTCCCATGTAGCAGATGCTGAGTAAATTTAGCTTACAGTCTTTGCCCTTCTCAGTTATTATACATTCTTATGACAAGGCAGTTATTTTATATCAATTTCATAAGTAAAGAAACTCTGTAAAAAAAAATCGTAGCAGTATTGAAAAATCAGGGAATGTAAGAGCATCTGAAAATATATTCTTCATGAATGTTGAGTTGTTTTAATCCCCTGAACCCATGTTTTTACATACTAAAAAAACAGACCACGGTCCAACTAAATTGGTCTACCTGGTTAATTGCAGTGATTCCTTAAGAATGCCATGATTAATACATAATATTATGCTTCCAAAAAGGCTATTACTGATCTATAACCATCATAAAGACTAGCCACAGAAAAATGCAGAGACCATTTTAGACATGCAAGTAGCTGAGTCACTGTGGTTTTTGGTAAGAGGAGAAAGGTTTCTATATTTAAAAATAAGGATATCATAATATTGGTATTTAGAGTATCCTGTGAACTTTGGATAATACATGTTATGTAACAGTCAACTACTTCAGGAAAGAGAAGAAACTTAAAAGCATAAAACAGGCTGACTGCAGTGGCTCACACCTGAACCCCCAGCACTTTGGGTGGCTGAAGAGAGAGGATGGCCTGAGCTCAGGAGTTCGAGAACAGCCTAGGCAACATGGTGAAACCCTATCTCTACTAAAAATACAAAAAAATTAGCCAGTTGTGGTGGTGCACGCCTGTGATTCCAGCTACACAGGAGGCTGAGGCACGAGGATCACTGGAACCTGGGAGATGGAGGTTCCAGTAAGCCGAGATCATGCCATTGCACTCCAGCCTGGGCAACAGAACAAGACTTCATCCCAATGTGTCCAATAGGTACATTTGAGGCCAGTAAGTACATCTGAGGCCAAATTATGATGAAAATGGAATTCCAAAAAGATGGGTACTGGACAACAAGTAGGTGAGGAATGCTACGAAGATTACCTTTTAGAAAGATTAATCTAATAGCAGAGGGCAGGACAGCTTAAGAGAGGAAGAGACTGAAGGTAGACAAGTCAGAAAGCTCTTGTAGTCAATCGAATGTGAGAAAATGAGAGCCTGGACTGGTGTGCTACGGAAATAGAGCCAAGCTTGAATATAAGAAGTACCACAAAGAAGAAATACCTCTTCAGTGTTTCTGTGTTAACTTTCTAAAGTACAGGTGGTTTGCTATGACCTCCTTTGTATAACTCACTAATACAAAACTGCCAGAGAGACAATATTCTTTACCAAGTCAGGGAATGGCACACCACAGAGGAAGCAGAATGCCTCCTGATAAATGAACACAGTGGCTCTCTCAAAGTTCCAGGTGCTGAGGCACAAAGTTGATTATAAGATCACTTGAACTGGTTACTTTCGTCGCAAGTCTAATTATTAATGAAGTTCAAACAATAATACATTAAAGCTGTACCATGCAGAAGCTGGTCTGGTATCACTATTCAATTGCTTAGGGACACCCTGGTTATCACTAAATGCCATAAGTGAGAACATGTAAGGTCTAGTAAGCTTCTTTCTCTATAAAGCACACATTTTAGCAGCTCTTTTCCTTAAAATTAAAGAGAGACCAGGACAGGGAAGTTTTTAAAAGGAAGATAAAAGAAAAGTGGAGGATAGTAATGACTCACTATTCGTTGTCTCACATATCCAACTGTACCCAAGTTCCCTACAGTACCTGGGAAATGCTGCTCAGTTTGCCCCTCTACACCCCTATTGTTGCAGCCTTGGTTAAAGAAGCCTTCATTATTTCTCCCCCAGACTATTCTAATAGTATCCTAACTATTCTCCATATGTATTACCAGTACCTTCACATTTCAGTCTTTTCGCCTCCAAATTATCTTCCTAAAACAAAACATTTGATCATGCAATTGTCTGAAAGTATCCATATCCTCTGGTCCACAGGTTCAAAGCACAAGACATCCTTCAGACAAGCTAGATCTATCCTACCTTTCCAATTGCATCTGTCACCTTGACCCCTCATGCCCAATGTCCTCATGAAACTTCTCATTATTTCCCAAATATGCTTTTTAAAAATTATGCTTTTCTTATCTACATATATTGTTCTTGTTGCCTAAAACATCATTCCTTGTTTTGTCTTGCTAATCTTTCAAGAGTCAGATGTCACTTTCTCTTATTTTTTTTTTTTTTTTTTTGACACAGAGTCTTGCTCTGTCACCCAGGCCAGAGTGCAATGGTGCAATGTCAGCTCACTGCAATCTCCACCTCCCAGGTTCAAGCGATTCTCCTGCCTCAGCCTCCCAAGTAGCTGGGATTACAGGCACACACCACCACGCCCGGTTCATTTTTGTTTTTTTAGTAGAGACAGGGTTTCACCATGTTGGCCAGGCTGGTCTGGAACTCCTGACCTCAGGTGATCCACCCACCTCGGCCTCCCAAAGTGCTGGGATTACAGGTGTGAGCCACTATGTCCAGCCTCACTTTCTCTTTCAAGTCATCCCTGTCATTACTTCCCTCCTCTGCCTTTGCATCCTGTCCCATTTATGACCCTACAATAACAACTCTTCTACGACAATTATTTGTAGGCACGTCTGTCTCCCCTACTTCCCAGTGAAACTCTGAGATTAACCACACAACATATTCATTTTCGCACCTCTAGTACCCAACAGTTTTTAGTCACTGTGGTCAGAGATCATTTAAATACATATTGAGTAAATGAACAAATGAATAAATGATGCTCACGTGAAGAAATAAAATTAAAATATCAGCTTAACTTTTTAAAATATATATATTAAACTAGGGGATAATAAGCATATATGTCTCTTTTATTTAATGTCTAAATTAGTAAGAAGAAAGTTCAAAATGAAAGCAAGTGCAATGTTTATGGATTTCTAAAAGAAGGGAGGGATACTGACACATAGTAAAGCAGCATAAAATCCATAAGAAAATAAATAAAGGTCAACGTTATTTAGCAAAGTACTCATTACCATTTGGTGTTCCTTCAAGAACATGTAAATTTGATTTGGGGAATGTGGGGGTTCTCATGATGATGACCTAGTTCTCTGGAAGTGAATCAGTGAACAAACCCATATGCTTTACAGGATGGACACAATTAGAGTTCAGAAGTTATTGGCTTCCGTTTGGATTTTACTGTGTACAATATAATAAGGAGGAGAGTGTCAAATAAAACAATATTTTTCATTTCACAAAGAAACAGAGTATGGGTGTTGATGGAAGTAGTAACATAGTTGGCTATAACTAATAAAGTGTTATAAAATCCAATCATTAAAGTTCCCAAAGCTTTTTAAACAATGTCCACATGAACCTAAACTAATATTAACAAAAAATATCCCCTTTAGAAAATATCTGATTGACAAGTTTATTTGCTCAAAAGGGCAGATACTTAGAATTTACCAGTCACAAGACTGAAATCAAACTCAAGAAAATGACACAGAAATCACTTTGGTAAATGGAAGACTCTTCCACACTCCTCCTCTACAAGTTATTATATTTAGAGAAGATAAAAACTACAAGTAAATGCATAAGGTGTTTGAAATGGAGTTAGCCAGATGGTATACACACATTAGTCAAATAACTGAGTTCAAATTTCCATTTATGTTTACATTTACATATTTACATACTTTTTTTTACTATTTCTTTCCTATCAGTGATACTCCAGGTTATAATGCTCTGATCATGGGATGTTACAACATTTAAATGAAAGTTGAAATATCTAGCCAAAATTCAAGAACTAAAAGTCTAATATATAAGCATTCTACTGTATTTAAGGCAAAGGGGCCTAAAAGCAGCTGTCACCACTGTAGGGCTTATGGTCTGCACATAACGGTGGAGAAGCAGCGTGGGTTATAGACATGAGAGTGAGCAGTTGAATACGCATGCTCAAAAGCTCCTACAGGGCTCGAATGGTCCCGTTCTTAAAAGAAGTTTCACTCCTTTAGCTCTCCAAATACCAGAGTCAGCTTTGCTGTCTTTGCTCTGAAATGAGAACGCATTATTTTCCAACAAGAATGCCTAAGCAGCAAGTGTGCTAAGCAAGAGCTTTTGATTTCTTCTCTTTACTCTAAAATTGCCTAACCATAGCATAATATACCAAGCCAAGATAACTACAATTATCGTTCCTTTACTGGAATTATTTATTTTACTGAAACAGTAGCTGAACGATAAGCTAACCTTAATCTCAGAACAAGACAATTCTCTATTTTAAAATCACTCAGGGTGAGTGCAGTGGCTCACGCCTGTAATCCCAGCACTTTGGGAGGCTGAAATGGGTGGATCATCTGAGGTCAGGAGTTTGAGACCAGCCTGGCCAACACAGTGAAACCCTGTCTCTACTAAAAATACAAAATTAGTTGTGATTGGCGGCGCATGCCTGTAATCCCAGCTACTCAGGAGGCTGAGGCAGGAGAATTGCTTGAACCCGGCAGGCAGAGGTTGCAGTGAGCCGAGATTGCGCCATTGTACTCCAGCCTGGGCAACAAGAGTGAAACTCTGTCTCAAAAATAAAAACAAAAATAAAAAAATAAAATAAAATCACTCATATGGAAATATTGTATTGTGAAATACTGTAGTATATTCTCACCCCCAAAACATACCTTTTCATTTAAATGCTACTGAGAATACAATGGGTCCTATTTAAAATATGCCATCTTTCATTACTTTTTATTTAAGGAGGAGTTGCTTATGATTTAATAATCAAGAAGAAACTGACTGGTGGCTTCTGCTCCAATACTGATTCTTCAAAATGGAGCTTCCTCAACCATGCAAGGGCTTGTAGAACATGTAAAAGCCTAGTACCAGGTAAACACCCACGTTGCTCTCCACACACTACCCTTACCCCCATTTCTAGGCTGCCTTCCTTTACACTCATTTTGATTTTGCTTTTGCTTTCCTGCAGTTTGGTCTATTCTTGGCTTTGAACTCCGATTCCTGACATGCCCCTCAGGCCAGTCTTGCTTGATGGCCCACACTTGTCTCAATTACCTCCTTCAGTTCATCTACTCAACTCAACCTTTACAAAATAAAACATTACCATGTCTGGGTAGAAGATGTTTCCACTACCAGTCCCACGCTTGCTGGGGTAAACCTCTCCCACCTCCCACCACAATATAGGAGGGATTGCACACTGGTCATATAAAAGAAAGAAAAGAAATCTGAGATAAGATAAATATAATAAATTGACAACAGAGCACTAAAGAGAAGGAAGAATAGAGAATAAGTAGGTAAATCTATAGTTATCCAAATAAAAGAAGAAAAACTGAGTCCAGGCGCGGTGGCTCAAGCCTGTAATCCCAGCACTTTCGGGAGCCGAGGTGGGCGGATCACGAGGTCAGAAGATCAAGACCATCCTGGCTAACACGGTGAAACTCCGTCACTACTAAAAATACAAAAAATTGGCCGGGCGTGATGGCGGGTGCCTGTAGTCCCAGCTACTCGGGAGGCTGAGGCGGGAGAATGGCCTGAACCCGGGAGGCGGAGCTTGTAGCGAGCCGAGATCGCACCACTGCACTCCAGCCTGGGTGACAAGCCAGACTCTGTCTCAAAAAAAAAAAAAAAAAAAAAAAAAAAGAAGAAGAAGAAGAAAAACTCACGGCCTGTAATCTCAGCACTCTAGGAGGGCGAGGCGGGAGGATCATGAGGTCATGAGATGGAGACCATCCTGGCCAATATGGTGAAACCCCTTCTCTAGTAAAGATAAAAAAAATTAGCTAGGCATGGTGGCATGCGCCTGTAGTCCCAGCCACTAGGGAGACTGAGGCAGGAGAATCACTTGAACTCGGGAGGTGGAGGTTGCAGTGACCTGGGATCACGCCACTGCACTCCAGCCTGGCGGCAGAGTGAGGCTCCATCTCAAAAAAAAAAAAAAAAAAAAGAAGAAGAAGAAGAAAACATATCAAAGATGCAAAGATGTTCAGTAACCTCTCAATTATCAACAGAGAATGGCAGTACTAATTTCAAATTGAAGATGAATACAGATTTGAGTAAGTTGTCGCAATTCTATTTGAATATCTCTTAGGTATTAGGCATTAACTTGAATAATGAAGTCATTACAAAAAAGAACTAGCTCAGGAAGACCTAGGAATGTATTTAGATTTCTTATCTGGTACTCCCTCATACTGTTACGGGCGGCGGGGGCAGGGTGGGTCTTTGTTCTTAGAGCTCCCAAGATGGTGACGGCTGCTCCCAACATGGTAGGAAGCCTTTTGTTCTCCGGCCTGGGGTTCTTGGCCTCACAGATTCCAAGGAATGGAACCTTGGGCCATGCGGTGTTATAGCTCTATTAGAAGCCGTGAGTCACGGAATAGAACCGTTGAACCCAGCGACTAGTGTTTGGCTAGAATAGGACAAACCTGGGCATTTAGCCACGCAGGAACAATGGCGAGCCTTTAGCCCCATCAGGAGGGGCAATGGGCGCCTCACTAGATCAGGAGTGCAGCGGACACCCTGCAGGATCCAGAGGGCTGGAAGTCAACGGTGGGTCTGCGATGGTAGCATTCAGCAGTGATGAACGGTGAGCAAAAGCTCAGCTCCAGCCAGAACAAACATGGACCAAAAGAGTGTGCAGTTGCAAGATTTAATAGAGTGAAAACAGAGCTCCCATACAATGGGAGGGGACCCAAAGGGGGTTGCCCGATCCCAGCTCCGGAATGCCTGGGGTTTATATCCCAATCATTGTCCCTCACCCTGTGCTCTCAGATGATAGATGATTTGACTACTTCTTTGCCTCCTGTTTTTAGCCTAATTTGCATTTTAGTGAGCCCTCTTTACTACCTGATTGGTCAGGTGTGAGCTGAGTTACAAGCCCCGTGTTTAAAGGTGGGTGTGGTCACCGTCCACAGCTAGGTTTAGGAATTCTTAGTCGGCCTAGGAAATCCAGCTTAGTCCTGTCTCTCAATACCACTAGCTCAATCCACGGTACCCACAAAATGTCCATTCTCTACTGTGATGCAAACTGACATCCCATGCGGAAATGCAGAGCTCCTCCAGAGAAGAGTAACAAATGAAGAAAAATTTCAAAGAGCTTCCACCAAATTCTTTACACAGCATTTAAGTAAAGCAGGTCCCTGTTTGCAGATGACATGACTGTATATCTAGAAAACCCCATCGTCTCAGCCCAAAATCTCCTTAAGCTGATAAGCAACTTCAGCAAAGTCTCAGGATACAAAATCAATGTACAAAAATCACAAGTATTCTTATACACCAATAACAGACAAACAGAGAGCCAAATCATGAGTGAATTCCCATTCACAATTGCTTCAAAGAGAATAAAATACCTAGGAATCCAACTTACAAGGGATGTGAAGGACCTCTTCAAGGAGAACTGCAAACCACTGCTCAATGAAATAAAAGAGGGCACAAACGAATGGAGGAACATTCCATGCTCAGGGATAGGAAGAATCAATATCATGAAAATGGCCATACTGCCCAAGGTAATTTATAGATTCAGTGCCATCCCCATCAAGCTACCAATGACTTTCTTCACAGAATTGGAAAAAACTACTTTAAAGTTCATATGCAACCAAAAAAGAGCCCGCATCGCCAAGTCAATCCTAAGCCAAAAGAACAAAGCTGGAGGCATCACGCTACCTTACTTCAAATTATATTACAAGGCTACAGTAACCAAAACAGCATGGTACTGGTACCAAAACAGAGATACAGACCAATGGAACAGAACAGAGCCCTTAGAAATAAGACCACACATCTACAACCATCTGATCTTTGACAAACCTGAGAAAAACAAGAAATGGGGAAAGGATTCCCATTTAACAAATGGTGCTGGGAAAACTGGCTAGCCATATGTAGAAACCTGAAACTGGATCCCTTCCTTATACCTTATACAAAAATTAATTCAAGATGGATTAAAGACTTAAATATTAGACCTAAAACCATAAAAACCATAGAAGAAAACCTAGCCAATACCATTCAGGACATAAGCATGGGCAAGGACTTCATGTCTAAAACACCAAAAGCAATGGCAACAAAAGCCAAAATTGACAGATGGGATCTAATTAAACTAAAGAGCTTCTGCACAGCAAAAGAAACCACCATCAGAGTGAACAGGCAACCTACAGAATGGGAGAAAATTTTTGCAATCTACTCATCTGACACAGGACTAATATCCAGAATCTACAAAGAACTCAAACAAATTTACAAGAAAAAAACAGCCCCATCAAAAAGTGGGTGAAGGATATGAAGAGACACTTCTCAAAAGAAGACATTTATGTAGCCAACAGACACATGAAAAAATGCTCATCATCACTGGCCATCAGAGAAATACAAATCAAAACCACAATGAGATATCATCTCACACCAGTTAGAATGGCGATCATTAAAAAGTCAGGAAACAACAGGTGCTGGAGAGGATGTGGAGAAATAGGAACATTTTTACAGTGTTGGTGGGACTGTAAACTAGTTCAACCATTGTGGAAGTCAGTGTGGCGATTCCTCAGGGATCTAGAACTAGAAATACCATTTGACCCAGCCATCCCATTACTGGGTATATACCCAAAGGAATATAAATCATGCTGCTATAAGGATACATGCACATGTATGTTTATTGCGGTACTACTCACAATAGCAAAGACTTGGAACCAACCCAAATGTCCAACAATGATAGACTGCATTAAGAAAATGTGGCACATATACACCATGGAATACTATGCAGCCATAAAAAGGATGAGTTCATGTCCTTTGTAGGGACATGGATGAAATTGGAAACCATCATTCTCAGCAAACTGTCGCAAGAACAAAAAACCAAACACCGCATGTTCTCACTCACAGGTGGGAATTGAACAATGAGAACACTTGGACACAAGAAGGGGAACATCACACACCGGGGACTGTTGTGGGGTGGGGGGGTGGGGGGGAGGGATAGCATTAGGAGATATACCTAATGTAAATGACGAGTTAATGGGTGCAGCACACCAACATGGCACATGTATACATATGTAACAAACCTGCACGTTGTGCACATGTACCCTAGAACTTAAAGTATAATAAAAATATATATATATATCAAAAGCATGTACTTTAGCAAGTAAACTATAATACAACAGTATTCCCTGTGAGTTATCTCTATTTAGGATGATAATGTAAAAATAGAGGAAGGTAACTGATGATCAGGGGTTAGATAGGAGCTAGACTTGAAAAACATGAGATTTAGGAAGGCTGGAGGAAGCCTATTCCCAGACAGAAAGCAGGCAAGCGTAAGGTATGTGTGGCTAATCTTGAGTCCACTTCCAGTTTAGGTAGAGCAGAGATCCATGGTGAGGTTGGAATCATCCATCTGAGCAGAGTATGGAGGGAGGATTTCGAGGAATAAACTATGTATTTGAACTCAATTTTCAATATTCAGGAGTCAGTGAGGGCCTATTAAATATGGGAAAAGCAGGATGGAAACAATGTGAGGCCATACCCAACACTGGTAATACTGAGGGAAATTTTAATTAGGGCTTATTTAATTTATTTATTTATTTATTTATTTATTTATTTATTTATTTATTTATTTATTGTAAGATGGAGTTTCACTCTTGTTTCCCAGGCTGGAATGCAGTGGCACTATCTCGGCTCACTGCAATCTCCCCCTCCTGGGCTCAAGCAATTCTCCTGCCTCAGCCTCCCAAGTAGCTGGTTTTACAGGTGCCTCCCACCACACCAAGCTAATTTTTGTATTTTTAGTAGAGATGGAGTTTCACCATGTTGGTCAGGCTGGTCTCAAACTCCTGACCTCAGGTGATCCAGGATATGATTGTTTAAATAAAAACTAAATTTGGGAAATATGGGGCTTTTGTATTCAAAAGAAAGGAGTTCAGTATACATAATCTATGTGAAGAGACCTGTATTTACCATATAAACAATTAACAAATATTAATCAAATGAAGTAAGGGTTAGTATGATTTCTTTCTAATACAAAACTTCAAAACCAAGCAGAAATCAAATCTTTAGGGAAAAGTCCAAACTACTTCAAACCTTGTTTTAGATGGGGTGTAGTTTGCTTAAATAGAACAACTGGAAAAAACATAAGGTTAATAATCCTTTGGCCTTTTGCTACTTTATGCATCAATTCTGGGATTAGGGATGCTTGCTGAACATGCAGAACTTCACTTGCTCTCCTAGGGGATAAACAGCCTCACACTGTCTTTAAAAAATAAACAGTTTAATTGAAGAATTCAAGACAAGACATACACATACAAAACATCTAAATAACAACAAGATGGCATTTTGGTGTCATAATGAATGACACATGGTATAATCACAGTAGATGTTCATTTTGGGCAGAAAGAGTTTAGAATCATCCTTTAAAGAAGGTGGGGTTTAAGCCACAACATAAGGGCTAGGAAGGCTCAGTATTATACAAAGAAAAGGGGAGATGATATATGAGATAAAGATGTTTTTAGGAAACAGTACTCAAGTTCAACTCAAATACTTTTGATGGGAGAGTGAAAAGGTGAATGCAGTGTTATAATCAGAAACATGATGTACAGATGTGCAATCATAGTCTATGGGAATGGTATCCCTGAAGTTGTGCTGTACACAAGTTGCCTGGCCCACTGAAGATTTTATATAGAATCACTACAGTTATTAAATTGGAAGTTGGGTTAGGACAAAAATTAGAAATTACTTTTTTTGAAAAGTGTATTTACGACTTCTCCAAAGGCAATAATGCAATATAAAAATGCAGAAGGTGGCCGGGTGCAGTGGCTCACTCCTGTAATCCCAGCACTTTGGGAGGCTAAGGTGGGTGGATCACAAGGTCAGGAGTTTGAGACAAGCCTGGCCAACATAGTGAAACCCCATCTCTACTAAAAATACAAAAAATTAGCCGGGCATGGTGGCAGGCACCTGTAATTCCAGCTACTCGGGAGGCTGAGGCAGGAGAATCGCTTGAACCCAGGAGGTGGAGATTGCAGTGAGCTGAGATCACGCCATTACACTCCAGCCTCGGTGACAGTGTGAGACTCTGACTTAAAAAAAAAATGCAGAAGGTTCAAGGACTTATTGTTGAAAGCTACAGAGGAAGAGAAACCCACCAAAGTGATAAGCAAAGAAAGGACCTGAAGAATACAGAATTGTACTCTTATTACATTTTTACCCACATAGGTACCATTTGCCACGCTCCCCAATTCTTTTGCATAGAGCAGATTCATATTTCTGTGAAGTATTATTTTGCTTCTTCCTTAGGACTTCCTTTAACATTTTCAGTAATCCAGATCTCCTAGTGATGAATTCTTTTAGCTTTTGTATGTCTATAAAAGCATTTCATCTTAGTTTTTGAGAGACATTTTTGCATTTGTTTTGTTTTGCTTAGTATTTTTAACATGTGGTCCCACTGTCTTATTGCTGGCACTGTTTCTAAGGAGAAATCTGCTGATATACTTTTCTTTGTTTCTTTACACATATTATCTTTTTTCCTTTGGATGCTTTTTAAGATTTTACCTTTATCACTGGTTTTGAGCAATTTCATCATAACACGCCTTGATGTAGTTTTCTTCATATTTCTTTTGCTTGGAATTCACTAAACTTCTTGGGTCTATAATTTTCATCAAATTTGGAAAAATTTTCATCAAATTTGGAAAAATATCAGCCATTATTTCTTCAAGTGCTTTTTGCCCACCATTCACTCCCATCCTTTCCTTCAGGTCCTCCAATTACACATTCATTAGGCCTTTTGAAGGATTTCACAGCTCACTGATGCTCCTTTCTGCCTTTTTTTAAATTTGCTTTTTCTTTGTATTGAATTTTGAATAGTTTCAATTGCTATGTTTTCAAGTTCACTAATCTTTTCTTCTGCAATGTCCCATCTGCCCTTCATCCTATTCAATGTATTTCTTAGTTCTATCAGACATTGTAATTTTTATCTCTTAAAGTTTAATTTGGTTCTTTTTAAATATCTTGCATTTCTTTACTTATTTTTTTGAACATATGGAATAAAGTTACAGTATTAATGTTTTTGTCTGCCAATTATAAAATCTAGAGTGATTTCGAATGATTGATTTTTCTCTTCATTATGGATCAAAATCTGCTTTGATCATGCAGATGACGATGAGATCCTAGGCAACTATAAAGCAATGATGCTCAACCAGGGGTGATTTTGCCCCCAGGGGAACACTGGGCAATGTCTGCAGATGTTGTTTGTCTCAACTGAGCATGTCCTATGGGCATCCTGTAGAGATGAGGGGTACTGTTGAACATCCTGTAATGCACATGACAGCCACCTATAACAAAGAATTAACTGCCCCAAAATGCCAATAGTTCTGAGCATGAGAAATACTGCTGCAGAACAACAGGATGAAAAGAACACAAGTCTGTGAATGATCTCATGGAGCTGAGATGCATAAAGGTCTGGACCATGTGCTATCTCCACATACCATCACATAAAAAGAAAAAAAATTCTTATTTAAGGTATTATATTTTGGGATAGGTAACCAGAATTGATTTACTGCCAAAATAAAAACTTAAAACGTCAAATATGTTTCTTGGCTTTGTGGCTGAGTAAAGATCAAGGTGAAAAAACCAATATTGCAGTCTGGAAAACTAATGATCCTTTTTATGTCATGTCACAATATTTAGTAAAACTACTGCCTTTGATAACTTGGAAGGCAGACTGTGTGCCTATAATACCTGTCACTTCAGAGAACATGGTCTACAATCTAAACTGATTAAGTACAGTAATTTAAGGATACAGGATTAGAAAATCAAACTACTTGTCCCCAAACAGAAGGATTTAAAAGGCTCTACATTTTTCCTAAGTACCTCTCATTAAGACTTCTCAGCCAAAACATACAGCCAGCTAACAGGCAAAGATCAAATTAATGGTATTGCCTTCTGACTCCAGTTTGTGATTTTAGCTAGCCTCAGGGTAACCACCATTAAAATGGAGGGAAAAAGGATGGGCCATTAAATGCAAACAGGTAAACAAATAAATGAGAAGATTTAGGAACTATGTCTAGAAGAAATCTTTAGACCTGTTTACTCAGAAGGAACTGAATGCAAGCAAAAAGACCACAAGTCGACAAAAGTATTCAGAGAATTATTTCCCAAAAGAAATCAAAATTGGCCTAAAAAAGAGTCATTTGTTTGATCACTAACACAACTCTTGGGCTTCCAAATCTCCACAAGTAGCAAGTTTTTGAAAGTGTGCAGCTCCCTAGGAGGATGTACTATTCTCTAATACCAACTTTATTATTATTTTTTTTTTATTTTTTGAGATGAAGTCTCATTGTTTTGTCCAGGCTGGAGTGCAGTGGTGTAATCTCAGCCCACTGCAACCTCCACCCACCGGGGTTCAAGCAATTCTCCTGCCTCAGCCTCCCGAGTAGCTGGGATTACAGGCACCTGCCACCACACCCAGCTAATTTTTTTTTATACTTTTAGTAGAGAAGGGGTTTCACCATGTTGGCCAGGCTGATCTTGAACTCCTGATCTCAAGTTATCTGCCTGCCTTGGCCTCCCAAAGTGCTGGGATTACAGGTGTGAGCCACCACGCCTGGCCTCTAACACCAACTTTAGATATGGCCATGGAGGACAATGGAAAATGGTGTAGTTCTTAGAAATTAGAACCAGGGGACAGCTACACAGGCTAACCAAGAAATCTCCTCTACTGAAATAGCAAGAATCTTGGAAATTCCTACGGACTGACTGTGACATGTTTCCCATTCTTCCATCTTCTGAATGACAGCTTTTATTGCAGTTATATTTTTCCTACCACTTTTGTATACTGGATGTGAGATGAACAGAAAACACATTAGTGAACTGTGAGGGACCATCACAGACCTGAAAATCAGGAATGTGCACCATCCGGGTATTCTTGACTTTGAGCAGATGAACTAATCCAAGGGAGCCTTGGAATGTCTCCCTTGGGAGAGAGGGAGTGTCTATGTGTGAGAATATAGGTAATCACAGACACTGAAAGGTCAGTAGGGTAGACTATATAGACTGCTGATTGTTTTCTTAAAAAGTTTTCTCCCGGCCAGGCACAGTGGCTCACGTCTGTAATCCCAGCACTTTAGGAGGCCAAGGTGGGCGGATCTCCTGAGGTCGGGAGTTCGAGACCAGCCTGACCAACATGGTGAAACCCTGTCTCTACTAAAAACACAAAATTAGCCAGGCGTGGTGGAGTCTGCCTGTAATCCCAGCTACTCGGGAGGCTGAGGCAGGAGAATCTCTTGAACCTGGGAGGTGGAGGTTGTAGTGAACTGAGATCACACCATTGCACTCCAGCCTGGGCAACAAGAACGAAACTCAGTCTCAAAAAAAAAAAAAAAAGTTTTCTCCTGGTTCCATAAATATAATAATTTTAACACGGCACATGGCTGCTGAGTTTCAGACAATTATTTCCTAGTTCCCTTGCAGCTAAGTGTGGCCATGGACAAAATTTTTGTCAATGGAATGTGAATAAAAGTGATGTATGCAACTTCCTCACTATTTGCTTAAAAGGAAATTGCCTTCCCTCCACTTTTGCTTGAAATTTCCCTCTTCCTCCGAATTGAAAGATGTGTCTGACTTTAACCATGTACATGAGGACAACATCCTAAGAGATAATTGAACAAATTCATTATAGAACCTGAGTCCTTGAGTGATCTTATGTAACTGAGCTATCTGCCTTTTGGGGCCAGTCATTTTCTCTCTAGATTAATATCTGTGGGAGAAATACACCATCTTTTTCAAGCCATTATACTTTTTATGGTTTCTTTCTTTTTCTGAGACAGGGTCTTGCTCTGTTGCCCATACTGGAGTGCAGTGCACAATCATGGCTCACTGCAGCCTCAACCCCTCAGGCCCAAGTGATCCTCCCATCTCAGCCTCCCAAATAACTGAGACTACAGGCACGTGCCATCGTGCCTGGCTAATTTTTGTATTTTTTGGAGAGATGAGGTCTCTCTATGTTGCCCAGGCTTCTCTCAAACTCCTAGACTCAAGCGATCCGCTTGCCTTGCCCTGCCAAAGTGCTGAGATTACAGGCATGAGGTACTGTCCCTGCCTATGGTTTCTCTTTTATGCACTCTCTTTCTAAATAGAAAAAAAAAAAATCTTCCTTTGTTTTTTTGAGACAGGATCTCACTCTGTCACCCAGGGCTGGAGTGCAATGGTGTGATCACCGGAGTGCAATGCCAGGCCACTATGCCTTGCTATTTTTTTTATTTTTATTTTTTGTAGAGACAAGATCTCACTATGTTGCCCAGGCTGGTTTTGAACTCCAAGACTCATGTGATCCTCCTGCCTCAGCTTCTCAAAGTGCTGGGATTACAGGCATGAGCCATGGCTCTTGGCCATAAAAACCTTCTTAATCAAGCTTACGTATGACACAAATAAATGACTTTATTCTAAATTCATTTAGCTTTACCAAAACCAAATTCTCTTAGTCAAGGAAAAGCAATAAAAGATAAAAAAGATCAAGGCTATGGGCGTTTTAGTTATTACATTTCTAGCAAAAGGAGCATATTTCAGCCTTTTCTCAACCTGCATAAACAATATATTAAATAAAACTGTATATGCTTCAGTTACATTTCCTCTACTGGTTATATTATTCTGATAAGATCAATTGATTCCCACAGTGAGTTATCAAACTATCAACACTGTAATGGACAAAATTAGTCTATTTCATTCTAAAAAGCAATACCAGCAACTCTTACAGATAAAAAGGGTCATAAAAACATATTGGGCAGTGAATCCTCTGACAAGTCTCTTGATAATAGCTCCTTATGATCAGCTCACATACTCTGATTGGTCAGAGTGAAATGGAGTTTAACCAGAGCATTAAACAGTATTCAGGGATGACTTCATATATCTCAAAGATTATGACAGAATAAGTGGAAAGGCAGAACTCAGGAATCAAATATTATTCCAGCCAGTCAAGAGCAGAGAATATTTTAATTTCATGATGATTTTTGACAGTGAGTTCATTTTCATTAGCCTAAATTCAATTATTTGTTCATATAGCAATGGCTCTTGGTTGCTCTGGCTCTGCTTCTATCCTATTCAACCAAGGACATTTTTAAATTGGGACAACTATCTTTGAACATACAATAGAATATGCTTAATTCAAACAACTTGAATTAAAAAACCTGTTTTCACTCATAGTATGATGTCAACATAGATTTGTGGAATGGAGACTGATTTCACTATAATTTAAGGGTCTCCTGCTGTATAACGTAAAAAGGCATGGAATTTTTAGTGAGAGCCACCTGGCTTTTATTTATTTATTTGTTTATTACTTTTTAGATAACGGGTCTCACTATGTTGTTCAGATTAGTCTTGCACTCATGGGCTCAAGTGATCTTTCCACCTTAGCCTTCCAAGTAGCTAGGATTACAGGCATATGTCGCCATGCCTGGGATTTGAGTATCAAGTAGGATATAATCTCTTGTTCACAGAGCAATTGTAAGGTTTAAAATAAACACACACACACACACACACCCCATAGCTTAGAAGTTAAGAACACTGCCTCTGTAGTAAGACAGGCCTAGTTGTGATTGTGGTATGTCATTTGCCTAACTGAATGACTTTAACCAAGTTTTTTAACTTTTTATAAGTCTTAGTTTCCTAATCTGTAAAATGAGCATATTGATTCATACCAACAAGTCAATACAGTATTAACAGTAATAGAATCACTGATAAAATAGTAATACAATATTAACAGTAATAGAATTATTGTTAAAATTAGGATTTCTTTTAATTAATGTCAGTAAAAAAATTAAGGGTCATACACTATGCTAAGTGAAATATGCCAGAGATAAGACAAATACGATATAATTCCACTTACATGAGGTACCTAGAGTAGCCAAATTCATAGAGACAGAAAGCAGAATGGTGACTGCCAGGGGCTAAGGGGAGAAAGGAATGGGGAGTTACTATTTAACAGGTGCAAGAGTTTCAGTTTTGCAAGATGAAAAAAAGATCTGGAGATGGATGGTGGTGATAGTTGCACAACAATGTCAATTTACCTAATGTCACTGAACTGTGTACTTAGGAATGGTTAAAACTGTACTTTTTTTTTTTTTTTTTTTTTTTTTGAGATGGAGTCTTGCTCTGTTGCCCAGGCTGGAGTGCAGTGGTGCGATCTCAGCTCACCACAAGCTCCGCCTCCCGGGTTCAAGCGATTCTCCCATCTCAGTCTCCTGAGTAGCCAGGCACACGCCACAACACCCGCTAATTTTGTATTTTTAGTAGAAATGGGGTTTCTCCATGTTGGCCAGGGTGATCTCGAACTCCTGACCTCAGGTGATCCACCCACCTTGGCCTCCCAAAGTGCTGGGATTACAGGCCTGAGCCACTGCCCTGACCAAAATTGTACATTTTATGTTACGTATATTATACTACAATAAACAAAATTAAAGGTAGTGAAGATTAGTTATTTTTTTTTGTTTTGTTTTTTGTTTTTTTTTGAGACAGTCTGACTCTGTCGTCCAGGCTGTAGTGCAGTGGCGTGATCTCAGCTCACTGCAACCTCTGCCTCCCGGCTTCAAGCAATTCTTTGCCTCAGCCTCTCGAGTAGCTGGGATTACAGGCACCCACCACCAGGCCCGGCTAATTTTTTGTATTTTTAGTAGAGATGGGGTTTCACCATCTTGGCCAGGCTGGTCTTGAACTTCTGACCTCGTGATCCACCTGCCTCGGCCTTCCAAAGTGCTGGGATTATAGGCGTGGGCCAATGTGCCCGGCCGTGAAGATTAGTTTTAAAGTGCTTAGCACAGCATCAGATACATTTTAAGTGCTCAATAAATGATAGGTGTCTTACTATTAATTTTATTTATTAAACATTTAAAAAATGCATTTGAGAGCTCATTACAAACTGTTTAAATGCTACACAATTATATTGTTATTGATGGTAGCTGTCAGATTTTTTTTACATAGATCCAACACATTGCTTGGATATCTAGAAATACCTGATAGAATGATCACAGTGCAGAGGTGTGAGTGCTAGAAAATACACACACTAACATTTCACTAATGTAGAACAAATGGGTTGTTTATATTCAAGTATGGTTATAAAGAGATTTTTAAGTTGAAATGAAAACATTTTGGTGGTATTCATCTTGAAGTATAACAAATAAAATATTCCTTTGCTCCTAATTTTATTATATTGTTCTGTAAACACTTTTTTTTTTGTAAAAGAGGCAAAGATAAATTTAGCCAAGCACTTAAACAACAAACATGCAAATTATACAAAGATTCTTATCTACTCATTAAAGGACTGAAATGGTTATATAAGACATACAAACATACACACATATACACACACCTATAGCACAGATTGACACAGCTGGCATGACATAAATTTAGAGCATGCTTCCCTGTCTCTTTATTTTATAAGTTAGGAAATTAAGTGTTAAAAGGTTAGATGATTTGATTAAAATTCCACAATAAATTGATGGCAGAAATGTAATTAAAGCCCCTCAGAATCGTATCCTGCGCATCCCCCTCAAATGTGCCATGGCAAAGGACTTGCCTCAGCCATTCTTCCTCATTCCTCTTCTACATGCTGTTCACTCTCACCCTCATGTCCTATTCTCAGGTTAGATGCCACCTTTGGAAAATGTTTACTAGTTTCCCAGAATGAATTTGGCATTCTGCCTTTAGGCTCCCAAAGATCCCTTTTAAACCCCAGGATCAAACACACTGAATTCTTATGTCTGTGTGCCTCCCCTATTAGATGTGACAACTTCAGGACACAGAATGTCATCTCTGTATCCCCTGACATCTAACCCAGGGACTGTCAATAGTGAATATCTGTTGAATAAGTGAACTAACTAACCATCACAGGCTTCTCCAAAGAGAGACAGGAAAGATGGGATCAAGGACATAGTGAGGAAGTTAGCCTTGGAATGGGGGCAGAACAGACCTTCATTAAAGACAAGAGCAAAGCAGAAGAGGATGAAGACAGAGAGGGATTTTTAAGTAAAAGGGATGGAAGCTTAAATGAGTACTTATTTTGCTCACAAAAATAGAACAAGGAGGAAACTGGATTTTTTTGTTCTGTTTGTTCTCTGTCAAGGGAGCTTGTATTTCTTAGGGTACATTAAGTTCAATTTAATCACTGACTACTTGGAAATGGTGTGTTTATTCAACTGTCTTCCCTTCTTGATATTTTGGATTGTTTCATGAGAAATAAGTAATGAGAAATTGCTTCAACAAATTTAAGGTATTATATAATATGTGCATGGTACTGTGATGATATACATTTTTTCCTGATACAGATCCCTGTTTCATAAAATGTATTATTTCTGAAACTTTAAAACTTTAAAATTCCTTGAGTATCCTAATTAGAAGCCCAGTATTTGTGTTTGTTGGTTTGTTTTAGCATTTACTAGATAGCATCTTGAAACTAACCTATCATCAAACTGAAGATGCACTAGAGAAAGTTAAAAACAAACAAATGAAATATTCAAGTAACAAATGATCCAGGAGTGGTGTTTTACTGCCACCAACAGGACAATAGGCATTCCTTCATGAAAGTTACAAAACTAATGGAATGTACAAAATCATTGCAAATCCAAAAAAAAAGTTTATGAGTTGTTTCATTCTTTTTTTCAGGTGTTTAGACTTCTATTTTTGTAACATGAATATTAACTACAGAAACTACATTCCCAACTTCAGTTCTTCCTTAAGTCACTATCTTCAAACACAGAAACAAGAACTTTTAACCCAAGTTGGTACATCAAAGACTAGGGAGAACTGAAATCCATTTTCCAGTTTCAAGGTCTTTTGCTTTTCTTTCTTTTTTTTTTGAGACGGAGTCTTGCTCTGTCGCCCAGGCTGGAGTGCAGTGGCGTGATCTCGGCTCACTGCAAGCTCTGCCTCCTGGGTTCACACCATTCTCCTGGCTCAGCCTCTGGAGTCGCTGGGACTACAGGCGCCCACCACCATGCCCGGCTAACTTCTTGATCTCATCTAGCCAACTCCCCTCCTGGCTTTAGCCTTCAAGCTGCCATTCATTATTCCTGGGCTTAAGCCAAGCTAACTTTGGGAAACATTTAGTTTATAGTTTAAATGATAATAGCCTTTCCCCAAAACTCAACCGACCTTGTAAAGCTAATGAGAGACCACCAGGCTAGGGGGATAGAGGAGCTTGAATTCTTCTATGGTGTGGACGTGATTGTCAGCCATTATTCTGGAGGTCACAAGATATGCAACTTTCCCAATTACTCCTGTAGATAACATCACTATTATAGAACCTAAGAATGGCCTTTTGGGATATCTTTTCAGGTTTTTTGCATGACACCAATGGCTCCACCTGGACCCACCAACTGCTCCTGTGGCCCCACCCAGAAGCAACTCAGCGCACAAGATGACCGTTTTCCACACCCCTATGATTGTGCCCCCAACCAATCAGCAGCAAGTATCCATTGTCTAGCCACCTCCACCCCTTCTTCCAAACTACCTTGGGAAAATCCCTAACCTTCAATGAGACTGATTTGAGTAATAATTCCATCACCTGCAAAGTGTGGCTGTCTTCATATCAATTAACCTCTTTCTTTACTGCAATGCTCCATGAATTGATTTTGTTTGTGCAGTGGGCAGGAAGCACCTGTCAGGTGGTTACAGTGACAATGGTGGTGACAGTAGTAATCCAGAAATGAAGTTCTAAGGAAAAAAAAAACTTTTCTGATAGAGGGTAAAAGAGATCAGGAACAAGACAAAGATAATTACTCTTGCCACTTCCATTCAACATTGTACTGTTAGCAGTGAATCTGTACAGGTCTGCAGCAACTCGAGATTCTTGCCTCCTCAATAAAAAGAATTTGTCCAAGAGGGCATAAGGCAGAGTGAGAGATTAAGGCAAGTTTTTGAGCAGGAGTGAGAATTTATTAAAAACTTTTAGAGCAGGAATGAAAGGAAGTAAAGTATTCTTGGAAGTGAGCCAAGCAGGCAACTTGAGAGATTCAAGTATACTGTCTGACCCTTGACTTAGGGTTTTATACATTGGCATGATTCCAGGGTTTGTGTTTCTTCTCCCCTGATTCTTCCCTTGGGGTGGGCTGTCCACATGCACAGTGGCCTGCTAGCCCTGGGGTGGGGCCGCATGTACAGTGTGTTTACTGAAGTTGTGTGCATGTTCATTTGAGGTATTTTTCCCTTACCAGTTGACTAGTGTTCCCAGAGGAGGGTCATATACCTGTTAAACTCCACCAGTTTGCCTCCTGGTGGGCATGCTTGAGCCTACTCGCAAAATCCTGAGATCTTATTAAGAAGCTGCTGATCACCAGCTTCAGGTGGTTTCTATCTATTGGGAGACAGCCTTTCCCTGGCGCAAGCTACAACCATTATGTTAGATAGTTTAACAACTGCATGACCATTACCTGATGGTCACCTGACATTCCTGGGGAGGAGGGCCCTCTCCTGTCCTGTTCATGTCTGCCTAGTTACCTATTCTGCCAGTACTGGAGGTTTTAGTCAGAGGAATTAGGCAAGAAAAAGAAAGAAAATGCATCCAAATCAGAAAGGAAGAAGTAAAAATATGTCTACAAGATGACTGATACAATTTGGCTTTGTGTCCCCACCCAAATCTCATCTTGAATTGTACTCGCATAATTCCCATGTGTTGTGGGAGGGACCAGGTGGAGATAACCGAATCATGGGGGTGGTTTCCTCCATACTGTTCTTGTGGTAGTGAATAAGTCTCACGAAATCTGATGTTTTAATAAGGGGAAACTTGTTTCACTTTGCTCTCATTCTCTCTCTTGCCACAGCCGCGTGAGATGTGCCTTTCACCTTCAGGCATGATTGTGAGGCCTCCCCAGCCACATGGAACTGTAAGTCCAATAAACCCCTTTTTTTTGTAAATTGCCCAGTCTCGGGTATGTCTTTATCAGCTGCATGAAAACATACTAATACAATGACATCTTGTATTTCAAAAATCTTGGGAAACACACAATACACATACATGAATATTAAAGCTGAAAATGAGTTCAACAAGGTTGCAGGTTATAAGATCAATATAGATAAGTTGGTTCTATTTAACCTGGGAGGCGGAGCTTGCAGTGAGCCGAGATTGCGCCACTGCACTACAGCCTGGGTGACAGGGTGAGACTCCGTCTCAAAAAAAAAAAAAAGGAAAGTCAGTTGTATTTTTGGATACCAGTAATGAGGACGCAGTGAAAATGAAATTAACAAACAATTCAATTCACAATAGCATCAAGCAGAATAAAAGTTAGAATTAAATTTTTTCAAGTGCTTTAAGACTTTTGTATGCTAAAAACCACAAAGTATCATCAAAAAAAATTAAATAAGACCTAAATAAATGTGAAAAAACCTCATGTTCATGGATCAAAAGTCTCAATATTGTTAATGTCGATGAAGAGTCAAGCTCTGTAAAATATTTGAAGAGGTTTATGCTGAGCCAAATATAAATGACCAATGGCCCATGACACAGCCCTCAGATCATGAAAACATGTGCCCAAGGTGGTCGGAGAACAGCTTAGTTTTATACATTTTAGGAAGACATGAGACATCAATCAAATCCATGGAAGATGTACATTGGTTTGGTCCAGAAAGGTGAAACAACGGGGAAGTGGGAGCTTCCGGGTCACAGGTAGATTCAAAGATTTTCTTATTGGCAATTGGTTGAAAAAGTTAAGTTGTTGTCTAAACACTTAGGAATGTCTGGGTTAAGATAAGGGGTTGTGGATACCATGGTTTTATCATGCAGGTGAAGCCTCCAGATAGCAGGCTTGGAGAGAATAGATTGTAAATGTTTAACAGACTTAACAAGTCTGTTCTATTGGTGATTCCAAAAGGGAAGATGGCATAATGAGGCATGTCAGACTCCCACCTTCCCCCATCATGGGCTGAATTTGTTTTTTCAGGTTACCTCTGAGATGCCCTTGTCAAGGGACTGAGGTAAAAGAATGGTCAGGGGGCTTAGGATTTCATTTTTGGTTTACATTCAGATGGCATTACTCCTCAATGGATACAGAGATTCAAAGCAATCCCTATTAAAATCCTATTGCCTTTTTGGCAGAAACTGACAAACTGATCCTAAAATTCATATGAAAATGCAAGGGACCTGGAATAGCCAAAACAATCTTGAAAGAGAAGAACAAAACTGGAGAATGCACACTTCCTTATCTCAAAACTTATTACAAAGCTAGAGTAATCAAGACTGTGGTACTGGTGTAAGAACAGACACACAGATAAGGGAATAGAGACTCCAGAAATAAAACTGTCCATGGTCAACTGATTTTTGACAAGGATGCCAAGACCATCCAAAGGAGAAAGAAGAGTCTTTTCAACAAATGGTATGGGGACAAGTAGATAGCCATGTGCTAAAGGATGAAGGTGTACCCCTAGTGTATGGTATGCTAGGGCTGTCATAAAAAGGAATCAGACTGGGTGGCTTAACAACAGTGATTTATTTTCTCACAGTTCTGGAGGCTAGAAGTCTAAGATCAAGGTGTCAGCAGGGTTTGTTTCTTCTCACACTTTGGCTTGTAGATGGCTGTCTTCTCCCTGTGACTTTGCATGATCTTCTCTCCATACATGTCTGTGTCCCAATGTCCTCTTAAGGATACTAGTTATATTGGACTAGGGCCCACCCTAATGAGCTCATTTTAACTTAATTACCTCTTTAAAGATTCTATTTCCAAATACTGTCACAGTCTGAGTAACTAGGGGTTACGACTTCAACATATGAATTTTGGGGGTAGGGGGGAAACACGATTCAGCCATAATGCCCTGCCTTACATCATATACAAAAATTAACTCAAAATGCATCAAAGTCCTAAATGTAAAAGCTACAATTATAAAACCCTTAGAAGAAGAAATTTTCGTGACCTTAGATATGACACCAAATGCACAAACAACTAAAGAAAAAATAAATTGGACTTCCTTAAAATTAAAAATGTTTGTGTTTCAAAGGACATTATCTAGAAAATGAAAAGACAGTCCACAGAATGGGAGGCAATACCCAGCACATATAAAGAACTGTTATAGCTCAGCCTGGGCAACATAGTAAGACCCTGTCTCTAAAAAAAAAAAAAAATTTGCTGGACATGGTGGCACACACGTAGTCACAGCTACTTGGGAGTCTGATGTAGGAGGATCCTTTGAGCCCAGGAGTCTGAAACTGCAGTGAGCCATGATTATGCCACTGCATTCCAGCCTGGGCAACAGAATGAGACCCTGACTCAAAAAATATATATCTGTTACAACTCAACAATAAAAGTGCAGGAAACCCAATTAGAAAGTGGGCAAAGGATCTGAACAGCCATTTCTCCAAAAAAGATATACAAACGGCCAATAAGCACATGAAAATATGTTCAGATGAGATCGGGCGCATTCAGGGTGGTATGGCTGTAGACTAGAAAAGATGTCCCACATCAGGAGAATGCAAATCAAAACATAACAAGATGTCACTTCATGTCCACTAAGGTGGCTATAATAAAAAATAAAGTAGACAATAACAAGTGTTAGCAAGGATGTAGAAGAATCAAACCCTCATTGTTTCGATTGTCTCCTATTCACCCTGCTAATACGGGAGGAATTCCTGCCCTACGGTTGCAGCCATGGTCAAACACGGACAGATGAGATTGACACGGACAGATGAGATTGACAGTAGTTTACCTGACACGGACAGATGAGATTGACAGTAGTTTATTAGTAACAGGTATTCACATCCCCAAGGGAGGAAAACATCATGGAAGGGCTGGATTAAAACACAGTGAACAATCAGGGGCTGTGGGAGGCAGCTTTATGGTATCAAGAGAGTGGGGTGCCCCCTAGCTCCCCTGGGATGATGTGATTGGCTTGTCTGAATAATGACACAGGCTGGCAAGGAACTGAAGTTTGCTACTCTAAGAAAGAACAATGCCACTGGGTATAGTGGCTCACGCCTACAGTCTCAGCTACTTTGGAGGCTGAGGCAGAAGGATTGAGTCTAGGAATTGGAGGTTGCAATGAGCTATGATTGTGCCACTGCACTCCAACCTGGGCAACAGAGTGAGACCCCAGCCCTAAAAAAACAAAATCAAAGAAAAGAACAGCGCCTCACCCTTTGGCTAAGGAGGGTTGTTTGGCTAGGAAACCTTATCCACAGGAGCAAAATAAGGAGGAGACCTTGCACTTAGGTGACTGGAGGCCTTCCTGATTTCTGCCAGATGTTGAGGCAGCACATCATATTGGGCTTTAATTTTAGGCCTTACAACATACTTATACGTTGCCACGGGGGATGTAATGGTGCAGCTGCTTTGGAAAACTGTTTGGCAGCTCCTTAAAAAGTTAAACACATAATTACCATATGATCCAAGAATTCTGTTCCTAGGCATATAACCAAGAGAACTGAAAGCATATGTTCACAAAACCTTGTACACAAATGTTCACAGTAGTATTATTCATAACAATCAAAATGGAAACAACTGAAATGTTTATTAACTGATTAATGGATAAATAAAATGTGGTACATTTGAACAATGGAATATTATCTAGCAATAAAAAGGAATTAAGAACTGATATATGCTACGACATGGATAAACGTTGAAAACATTATGCTAAGGAAAAAAAGCCAGTCACAAAAGACCACTTATCATATGATCCCATTTATATGAAATGTTCAGAATAGGTAAATCTACAGAGATAGAAAACAGATTAGAAGTTGTCAGGTGGTGATAGGATGGGGAAATGGGAAGTGGCTACTATGCTTATGGGGTGATAAGAATGTTCTAGAATTAGATAAAGGTGATGGGTGCACAAGTTTGTGACAACCCTACAAACCACTAATTGTACTTTTTTTTTTTTTTTTTTTTTTTGAGACGGAGTCTTGCTCTGTTGCCCAGGCTGGAGTGCAGTGGCACGATCTCGGCTCACTGCAAGCTCCGCCTCCCGGGTTCACGCCATTCTCTTGCCTCAGCCTCCTGCATAGCTGGGACTACAGGCACCTGCCACCACGCCTGGCTAATTTTTTTTTTTTTTTTTTTTTTTTTTTTTTTTTTTTTTGAGACGGAGTCTCGCTCTGTCGCCCAGGCTGGAGTGCAGTGGCGCGATCTTGGCTCACTGCAAGCTCCGCCTCCCAGGTTCACGCCATTCTCCTGCCTCAGCCTCCCGAGTAGCTGGGACTACAGGCGCCCGCTACCACGCCCGGCTAATTTTTTTGTATTTTTAGTAGAGACGGGGTTTCACCGTGTTAGCCAGGATGGTCTCGATCTCCTGACCTCGTGATCCGCCCGCCTCGGCCTCCCAAAGTGCTGGGATTACAGGCGTGAGCCACCGCGCCCGGCCAATTTTTTGTTTTTTAGTAGAGACGGGGTTTCACCGTGTTAGCCAGGATGGTCTCGATCTCCTGACCTCTGATCCACCCACCTCAGCCTCCCAAAGTGCTGGGATTACAGGCATGAGCCACCACACCCAGCCACTAATTGTACATTTTTAAAGGGAATTTTATGACACATAAATTATATCTCAATAATGAAAATGAGAGAAGCTAAATACTGGGGACAAGAGCAATTAATTTCAAGGTTTTTAAAAGCAAAGGAGGCCAGGCACGGTGGCTCATGCCTGTAATCCTAGCGCTTTGGGAGGCCAAGGCGGGTGGATCACTTTAGGCCAGGAGTTTGAGACCAGCCTGGCCCACATGGTGAAAGCCTGCCTCTACCAAAAATACAAAAATTAGCCAGGTGTGGCGGCGCATGCCTGTAGTCCCAGCTATTCCAGAGGCTGAGGCACGAGAACCTCTTAAACCTGGGAGGTGGAGGTTCCAGTGAGCTGAGATAGAGCCACTGCACTCCAGCCTGAGCAACAGAGCTAGAATCTATCTTAAAAAAAAAAAAAAAAAAAAAAAAAGCAAAGGAGACCTGGGTTGAAAAAGCTGCTATCCTGGCAGAATTCTTATTCATATACACATAGGAGGAAGTGAGGGAAAAGAAAACCTATGCTTTCTCAATTTGACTCTAAGTCAGTAGTCAATAAATATTTAAGTGCCTACTATGTGCCAGCAACTCCAATACAAAGGCAAACTAGTGGGCAGACCCCACATAGAGATTAACTACAATGAGGAAGACAACAACCAACCAACCATTTAATCAGGTATCAGTCCCAAGTATGCAAAGGACTGTCAAATAGATGTCCTAGAAGACAAAGGGAACCTGTGTTTTCACTGTCTAACCTAAGTTTGCAGAAGGCACAGAAAGTTCCTAACGTAGTAAAGCTAAATGGAAATTAGCTTATTGAAGAGAGGGAGACAGAGCATTCCTGGCAGAGGAAACCAGTATATGTGATGACTCTTAAGTGAAAGACAGATTGGTCTATTGGGAAAACCTGAAAGAAGTTCATTATGGCTTGATTGAGACAGTGCAAATGAGAGGGAGGGAAGGGGCAGTTGAGGATGGAGAGGTAAGTTGTGCCAGATCATAAAAACTATGTGGACTGTGTCAAAATTGTGAACTTTATCCTAAGAGCAATGGAGGCCTTTAAAGGACTTTAAGCAAGAAAAAATTTACTTCTCTGACCTCATCTCCTACCGCCCTTCCCTCACTCTCTTGTTGCAGTCTCGCTGGCTTCCATCTGTCCCTCAACACTCAGTCACACTCCCAGCACAGAGCATCCCCTCACTACCTGCAGTCTTTGTCCAAATCTCACCCTCTAGTTGGGGCCTATCCTGACTACCCTATTTAACATTGCAACCTACCCATAACTCCCATCACCCTGCGGTACTTTTCCTTTTCCCCATAATACTATAACTTCTAATATACTATATTTATATATTTATTATGTTTATTGTTGATATGGTTTGGCTGTGTCCCCACCCAAACCTCATCTTGAATTCTAACTCCCACAATTCCCATGTGTTGTGGGAGGAACTTGGTGGAATGTAATTGAATCATGGTGGTGGGTCTTTCCCATGCTGTTCTCCTGGTAGTGAATAGTCTCATGAGATCTGATGTTTTAAAAACGGGAGTTTCCACCGTCTGGGAAGTGAGGAATGCCTCTGTTCGGCCCTTGTCCGGCCCCCACACTGTCTCCGTCTGGGAAGTGAGGAGTGCCTCTGCCTGGCGGCCGCACCGTCTGAAAAATGAGGAGCGCCTCTGCTAGGCGGCCCCACCATCTGGGAAGTGAGGAGAGCCTCTGCTGGGAAGTGAGCAGCGCCTCTCCCCGGCCCCTGCATTGTCTGGGAAGTGAGGAGCACCTCTGCCTGGCGGCTGCACCGTCTGAAAACTGAGGAGCGCCTCTGCCTGGCCGTGCCACCCTCTGGGAAGTGAGGAGTGCCTCTCCCTGGCCCCCGCACTGTCTGGCAAGTGAGGAGCGCCTCTGCCGGACTGCTGTGCAACCATCCAAGTGTGAAGTGGCAGTCTTGTGTGTGATCTTTCTGGCCTCCTCAAGTTTGCATTTTTGACATTAAAGTTTACTTTTAAATTAAAAAATAAATAAATAAATAAAAACAAGAGTTTCCCTACACAAGCCCTCTCTCTTTGTCTGCTGCCATCCATGTTGGATGTGACTTGCTCCTCCTTGCCGTCCTTCATGATTGTGAGGCCTGGCCCAGCCACGTGGAACTGTAAGTCCATTAAACCTCTTTCTTTTATAAATTGCCCAGTCTTGTGTATGTCTTTATCAGCAGTGTGAAAATGAACTAATACAATTATCAACTGTCTCTTGCTAGAAAATAATTTCCACAGAGGCAAGTAGCTTTGTTACTTTAGTTCACTCATTTCTATTCAAGCACATAGAACAGTATCTGTCTCTAAATAGGTGTTTACTAAATATTGTTGAATAATGACTAAAATCTGCTTTAATAGTATTAAAAAGCCAAAAAACAACAGATGCTGGGTGAGGGTGAAGAGTAAAGAGAATGCTTATACACTGTTGGTGGGAATACAAATTAGTTCAGCCACCATGGAAAGCAGTTTGGCAATTTCTCAAAGAACTTACAACAGAATTACCATTTGATCCAGCCATCCCATTACTTTGTATATGCCCAAAGGAATATAAACTGTTCTACCATAAAGACACATGCACATGCATGTTCATCGCAGCACTATTCACAATAGCAAAGACATGGAATCAACCTAGATGCCCATCAACAGTACCCTGGTTAAATAAAATGTGGTAAACACTATAGAATACTATGCATCCATAAGGAGAATGAGATCATGTCCTTTGCAGCAGCATGGATGCAGCTGGAGGCCATCATCCGAAGCAAACTAACACAGAACAGAAAACCAAATACCACGTGCTCTCACTTGTAAGTGGGAGCTAAACATTGAGTACACGTGGACACAAAGAAGGGAACAATAGACATGGGGCCTACTTGAGGGTGGAGGAGGGTGAGGATCCAAAAACCACCTATTGGGTACTATGCTTATCACCTGGGTGAAGAAATAATCTGTATACCAAACCCCCATGACACACAATTTATCTATATAACAGACCTACACAAGTACCCCTGAAATTCAAAGTAAAAAAAAAAAAATCTGCTTTAAAAAGACTACTGGCAGTGTGGCAACGGACTCAACAATGGTCAAGAGTATATGGGGAAAGTGCAGTCACCCACTTCTGTCAGTTCCACTGCTAACACTCAAATCCAAGCCACCATCTTCTCAAACCTACCTCTTTCATAAACCTCAGCATGATCTAAACTAATCATATTGATATGGTTTGGATGTTTGTCCCCTCCAAATCTCATGTTGAAGTGTAGTCCCCTCCAAATCTCATGTTGAAGTGTAATCCCCAATGTTGAAGGTAGGGCCGAGTGGGAGGTGTTTGGGTCATGGGAGTGTAGATCCCTCATGAATGGCTTATTGCCATCCCCTTGCTAATGAGCTAGTTCTCACTCAGTGAGTTCACGTGAGATCTGGCTGTTGTAAAAGAGTCTGGGACCTCCCCCTTCTGTATCTTGCTTCTCCTCTTGTCATGTGATATACAGCTCCCCTTGCTTTCTGCCATGATTGTAAGCTTCCTGAGGCCCTCACCAGAAGCAGATATCAGTACTATGTTTCGTATATAACCTGTTGAACTGTAAGCCAAAATAAAACCATTTTTTTTCTTTTTTTTTTTTTGGAGACAGAGTCTCACTCTGTTGCCCAGGCTGGAGTGCAGTGGTGCAATTTTGGCTCACTGCAACCTCTGCCTCCCAGGTTCAAGAGATTCTCCTGCCTCAGCCTCCCAAGTAGCTGGGACTACAGGCACACGCCACCATGCCTGGCTAATTTTTATATTTTTAGTAGAGACAGGGTTTCACTATGTTGGCCAGGCTGGTCTCTAACTCCTGACCTCCAGTGATCCGCCCACCTTGGCCTCCCAAAGTGCTGGGATTACAGGCATGAGCCAATGTACCTGGCTGAAACTTCTTTTTTTTTTTTTTTTTTTTTAAATAAATTACCCAGCCTCGAATGTTTCTTTATAGCAATGCAAGAATGAACTAACATATATATTCATTTATTTGTTTAATTACTATCTTTCTCTCATTGGAATGCAAGTTCCATGAAAGCAGGGTCTTTCCTGGTTACTACTTTATCTCCAATGTCTAGAACAGTACCTGGCACTTCATAGGTATCCAATATTTATTATTACAGGAGGTCCTGCAATAATCCAGGAGGGCATCATCTTCCTGGAAAATTTGGTGGCCTAAAAGCTACCTAAGTAAGAATAGGAGAAAAGTGGGAAGATTCTAAAAATTTTCAAGAAGTAGAATCCACAGGACTTGGTGACTGAACTGATATGGGATATTGAGAAGAGAGTTAAGGATAACTTCTAGGTTTCTGGTTTGAGCAGCTGGGTAGAGTCCTTACTGAAGTGGAGGTTACTAGATGAAAAGTACATTTGGGAGGGCACATTATTTCAGTTTTGACTTTTGATGTGCCTGTGAAACATCCAAGCCGACATGTTCAGTCCACAGCCAAATATGTGGGTTTGGATTAAATATAAATGAGAGTAAACATCAACCTAAGTGCCCATCACCTGAGGAGTAGATGAGAAAATGTGATATATTAATATATACACCATGGAATACTACTCAGCCATAAAAAAGAATGAAATAATGTCTTTTGTAGAAACTTGAAAGAGGAGGCCATTATCCTAAGTGAAGTAACTCAGGAATGGAAAACCAAATACCAAATGTTCTCACTAAGTGAGAGCTAAGCTATGGGTATGCAAAAGCATACAAAGTAGAAAATGGACATTGGAGACTCAGAAGGGGAAAGGGTGGGAGGGCGGTGAGGGATTAAAAAAAATAAAAATAAATGAGAGTAAACATTTATAGATGAAACCAGGGGAATGAATAAGATCAACAAGGGAGAAGCAATAAGCAAATTCCTAGAGGCTGGAGATCTGTAGAACTCCAAGCTAATGGCTAGGGGGAAAAAGGAGTGAGGAAAAAAAAAGACAGAAGTAGCAGAGGGGGAGATAAAAGAAAGGACAGAAACCAAGGGAAGATGTTTCCAAAACATAAAAAAAGAAGGGGAAAAAAAAGGAAGCGTTGTGTATGTCATTATGCTGTTTTGACAACTGTTGAAGGATCAAGTAAGATACTAAAAAAGCTTCAATGGAATGGTAAGGAAAAACCATACTGGAAAGGGCTGAAAAGCCAAAAACATCAAAGATACACTTCAGAACTCTTTTTTTTTTTTTTTTGAGATGGAGTCTCGCTCTGTCACTCAGGCTGGAGTGCAATGGTGCAATCTTGGCTCACTGCAAACTCTGCCTCCCGGGTTCAAGCGATTCTTGTGCCTCAGCCTCCCAAGTAGCTGGGATTACAGGTGCCCACCACCACGCCTGGCGTTTTTTGTATTTTTAGTAGAGACGGGGTTTCGTCATGTTGGCCAGGCTGGTCTCGAACCCTTGACCTAATTCACCCACCTTGGCCCCCTAAAGTGTCAGAACTTTTATATAAGCCCCTCCAAACTAAGAGAAGGTCCAGTCTTCTAGAATTTAGCCATGATCCACTGCTTCCCTAAAGAAACTGGATATTCTCCCCAAAAAAGAAAATACTGGAGTCTTCAAAGCTGGCTGAAGAGCTTTATTTATATGATTTAGTAATAAAAAATTACTAAATCATTACTTTTAAATTGCTTTGTTTTACATTTATATTTATTATATTTATGTATAAATAAATTTATATATTTATATATTATATTTATATTTATAACTTGCTTTTGATTTCCATAAAGGTGCTTAATGTTTAGAAATTTTTGAAGAGTATGGGAAAATGTACTCTCACATTGCTAGCAGAGAAGAATTTTGTAATATGTATCCAAAATTAAAATTTGGTTACAGTTTGACCTAGCAATTCCATCTCTAGAAATTTACCCCAGAGATATCAGATAAGTATGCAAAGATGCAAGTTTAAGGATATTTGTTACGGTTTTATTTAACAGGAAATTCTGGAAACAAATGTCCATAAAAACTAAATATAAAATTGGTTAAATAAATTGTGGTACAGGGGAAAGTTCTAGTGGCTTGAGGTATAGGCAGGAGCAGCCAGGTGGCAGGAGGAACCATTATGGGAACTGAAGCTGACAATTAAACCTGAACAAGATTACAACCTCCCAAAAGCACCGAGACTTTGTGGCAGAGTCCGTGGGGGAAAAGCCAGTAGGGAGCCTGGCCGGGATTGGTGAAGTTATGGACAAGAAGCTGGAGGAAGGGTGCTTTGACAAGGCCTATGTTGTCCTTGGCCAGTTTCTGGTGCTAAAGAAAGATGAAGACCTCTTCTGAGAATGGCTGAGGGACACTGGTGGTGCCAATGCCAAGCAGTCCCAGGACTGCTTCAGATGCCTTCGAGAGTGGTGTGACACCTTCTTGTGATGCTTTCTGGGAAGCCCTCAATCCCCAGCCCTCATCCGGAGTTTGCAACCGAGTAGGGACTCCTCCCCTGTCCTCAACAAAGGAAAAGACTGCTATTGTCCTACTCACCTCCAATGTACTCCAGGGTCTTTTGGGAGTTTTCTCTCCTAATCATTTTAACTTTTTTGGATTCTCACTCTTGCATGCCTCCGCCTTCCTTTTTCCCCTGCTACTTCCCTGGGGACAGTCACCAGCTTTCCTGAATGGATTCCTGGCCCCATCCCTCACCCCCACCCTCAATTTCAGTCCGTTTGATACCATTTGGCTCCTTTTTTGGCAGAAAAGTCACTGTCCTTGTAAAGTTTTTTAGATCAATAAAGTCAGTGGCTTTCAAAAAAAAATATATATATATATGGTACAGGGCAGGGTGCGGTGGCTCATGCCTGTAATCCCAACACTTTGGGAGGCTGAGGCAGGTGGATCACCTGAGGTTAGGAGTTCGAGACCAGCCTGGCCAACATGGTGAAACCCCGTCTCTACTAAAAATACAAAATTTAGCAGGGCTTGGTGGCTTGCACTTGTAATCCCAGCCACTCAGGAGGCTGAGGCAGGAGAATCACTTGCACCCCAGGAGGCGGAGGTTGCAGTGAGCCAAGATTGTGCCACCGCTCTGCAGCCTGGGCAACAGAACCAGACTCTGCCTCAAAATAAATTATGGCACATACAGTAGGATAAAAACCAGTCAAAAGAGAAATTCTGTCTCTAACAATAGCACCTCAGTACACTGTAGTACTGAGTTCTAGGCATCAATCATATATTAACTCATTAAACTCTGACAACAATCTTATGAGACTGGTATTACTAATATTCCCCCATTTAAAAAATGGAGAAATTGTAATTTACCTAAGACCATTGGATAAATTGTTTTGAATGAATCTGAATTTAAGTAGTCTGACTCCAATGTCCACATGCTTTTAACCCTTACATGTGTTTAGTGACATGGAAAGATATTCACGATATACTGAATGAAAAAGAGTATTGTTCAACAGCATTTTTTGAAAGAAAATAAATTTATGTGCATCCTTTCACACTGTTCTTCTGGATTTCCTCCCACTTTCCCATCTTATCTCAAACTCAGATTAAAAATATACATACATACATATATACATATGTGTATAGGTAGGTAATGCATACTTATATAACCATAGGCCAAAGCATGGGATAAAGGTTTTATACCAAGTTTTTATTATGGTCATCCCTGGGAACAGGATTATGATTGGGCTTTCTTTATCTCTGTAGTGTCTGCATACACATGTAGGACACGAAATAAGCATATAATACTTTGGGAAGGCCAGAGAAAAACACTCTGTCATTTGCTTTTAACCACGGACAGCAAACAAAAAACCTATTCTGACTGAAAAATTTCTGTGCCCAACATGAAGTGCTAAGAACAATTCTGACTGATCATCTCCAGTCTATTAAATCTATTGAATGTATTCTATGACTACCTAATGTTTCATATAAGTAAATAAATTACATTTGGAGGAATATATCTGACCTACCTACTGGACACAAAATGATTTCATGATGCTGCCTAGTATTGTGAATCATTCTTTTAGGTCCATAGCTTTTTAGCTACCTGATAGGCTATTACTAACCAAAAAGAAGTTGGTCCCGTTCAGAAAGTAGGTGTCTTTAAAACCTAACTGAGCAACACAGAATTCATCCTATATCTATCCCATTCAAAAAAATTATAAATCCAACTTTCCCACTACTGAGACAAAAGTCTTAAGGTGATCTTGAGCTTTGATCTCTCAATTATCAACTAGGGGCTGGGGGAAGAATTAGATGTTTTCTCTGGCTAATACCATTACTATTCTACAAATAAATCCTAGACATTTAATGTATGTTAATGAGATAATCTGTTAGTACTTAACACAGAGTATAAATGTTCAAGAAATGTTAGTTCTGTCCCCTCATCACAAGAAATGCTTATAATACAGAGAAATCTGAAGTCTCTCTGTAGCTATACTGAAAATTCCTTAGGCTCAATTCATAAGCACTTTGAAGGCCAGGCTCATTGGCTCACACCTATAATCCCAGTGCTTTGGGAGGCCAAGGCAGGAGGACTGCTTGAGTCCAGGAGTTTGAGACCAGCCTGAGCAACATAGTGAGACCCCTGTCTCTACAATATTTTTAAAATTAGCTGGGCATGGTGGCATCTACCTGTAATTCTAGCTCCTCAAGAGGCTGAGGAGGGAGGATCACTTGAGCCCAGGAATTTGAGGCTGCAGTAAGCTATCACCACGCCACTATACTCCAGCCTAGGCAACAGAGTGAGCAGAATAAGACCCTGTCTCAAAAAGCAAAAAACAAAACAAAACAAAAGAAAAAAAAACCCAGCAATTTGAACTTCTCCAAAGTTTTTAATTTTGATATAAACAAATACATATTATTTTATCTGGTATACTACACTAGAAGCTGAAAGTCAGTGACTGTCATATATGTTTGCGTATTCTTTTTTTCCAAGTGGTGGCAATAGATCATTAAAGTACACTTCAGTTTAGTCCCATATATACTCTGTCTATTGGGGGGGTCAGCTTCAGGATTCATATAAGGAAGTTACATAAATATAGGGCACTAGTGGTGAGAAGGCTCTTTTTATCTTCTCTAACTAGTAAAATTCTCTAAGATGATGCTACAAGAGTGCCCATGTATTGCTAAAGAAGACAGACAAAGCCTTCCTGCCCAGTGGCCAGAGTATGTCCTCTGTAGAGGCCTTGTCTGTGTTAACATGGACAAAATAAATGAAAATAATATGAACAAGTCAACATGTCAATCAAGAAGATAATTTACTAATGTATATAGTATTAAGTTGACACAGGGTATAGGTCTGATATCCAGAGAGGTAGTCCTGGGTTACTCAAAAGACAGATTAAGCATTCAGTGAAAGCACTAGTAAAGATAAGTCACCAAAAAAATGAGGAAAGGCATTTTAGGAAAGACATAATATCTGAGAGTTTAAAACATTAGATATAATATGAGAAATCAGAACTTTCTTGGACCTCCTTATACTTACTTTATGTTTTAATATTTTTTTAGTCTGTATTACATATACTTTCAATGCTTAGGCATTCTAAAAGTCTTATTCCAGCCCTGTTGAGAGGACATGTTGGAAAGTTTCAGCTTGGATTTGTTTTAATGAAAGAAAAAAATTAGAGGTCAAAACCCATGACTTCATTAAGGGACACAGCAAATATGTTTGTGTTATTTTATTTAAAATATTTTTCTATTTTCTAAATAGCTTTGGCATAAAAAATATATAAACACAATCGATTTAATTTTAAAAAGTGTATCTTATGAACTTCACAAAGAGCAAATGTGTAAAGGAATAAGAGATGAGGAATAGAAATCCACTTACTGAGTTGCAGAGGGCCTGTACTATTTCATGCCTTTGTTTAGAATCAAGGTTATGTTAATGGTTAGGTATGGTTAAGGCTCTCCTAACGTATCAAGAGGTCCTCCTATGATACCACATCATTATCTTTTGAGAGATTCAGAAGAATGATAAGGGATCTAAGAACACATTCTGAGTCACCTTGTAAAGAACAATAATAATGACAGCTAACTTTACTAGGCAGTAAAATGTTCTAGATACTATACTAAGGACTTCTTTGATCATCTCAATTCTTTTAACAATCCCATAAATTAATTCCTATTATTATCTCAAAACCCAGACTTTGAGCACTTAGAAAAATTTGCCTAAGGTCATATGGTAGGGCTGAAATTAGAAGCAAATCTGTCTGAGTCCAGGTCTGCCATTTTAACCACCATGTTATACTGAGGAAAGGGTAAGCCTGTGCCTTTGAGGCAATTATTGCCTTTAATATCAGAATGTCTTCTCTGACTGAAGGACAAAAACCAGCTGGGTTATCTTCATCAACTCTGCAGCAAATGCCTTGCAGTTACCACATTATTAAAGCTGTATGATATGTTGACATAAAATCCAACAAGGTAATTACAATAGAATTCTAAAGTGTTTTATAAATTTCTAACTATCATGGAAAGAACTGCAAATTGAAATGTAGCAGTTTCTTTTTTAGTCAGTATATTATAAAAACTTTTTAATAATTCAATTATATGTTTAGGTACCTCCAGAGATGTTATAGTAAAAAGTGTTTTAAGAAAAAAGCAGGCATCATTTTGACAGAAAACAATTTTTAACCTTTTCTCTTATATCATCCAATTCATATGATAAAAAGATATTTTATGTTACTGGAAAGAGCTCTATGATAGTACCATTAAATAAATGGATTATAAGAAAAAAAAGACTCCAAATAAACAACAACAGAAAAAGATGAGAGGAGGGAAGAGGATCAGAGTTTCTCAGAGAAGTCATCTATTTTTGTGTGTCTGAGAAACTGAAATGAGTCAAAGACTGTAAATTGAATTATTCCAGTTCCAAGGGCAAAGAGGTAAGAGAATGTGGTAACTTAAGATTAAAAAAAAGACTTACCTTTAGGAGAGCCAAAGCTACATGAAAGATTATGTTCAAACCCTGAAATAGAAAAAGAAAGTGAAGATTAGTACTGCCACATGTATCACTATTTTATTATTTCCCCAAGACTTCCACATATATTTAATAAAATTCCTAATTGCTTTCATCTTCACAAACAATAATTAAACCATGAGTTTTTTTTTAAAGGTATTTTCTTTCCCTGAGTGGCTTGTTATAAATTTTAGGTGCTATTTAATCAATGTTCACATAAAATTGTTTTTACAATAAGTTATTTCCCTTCAGTCAATTTCTGGATTATTTGCATGTGCCTAAGTCTTGTGAAAGTCAAGTTCCTTGCTCAAGCTGGCATAATGATGCAGAAGTCTAAAATTATTAATTGAAATTCCTAACCCTAATCTGGACATCTCGGTGTTACAGTTAAACTGCAAGTGGCAGACAGAATAAAATAAAAAAAAACAAGGCAGTGTTGCTGATAAGTGGGACAGATTGTGTACTGGAGGCTTTAAGTATCACACTGCATTTCCACTACAGTTCTTATTGTTTTCTTATTTGTTTTAGCAATTGCTTTCAAGTATTATTTGTATAACTAGAGGTGGTCATTAGGGGCTATCTGCCAGACTTCCTTTCCTTTTCTGAAAACCATAGCAATATTTCTTTAGAAATAAACAAATTAAATTGTTCCTTAAGAAGCTATTCTAGAACTGAATTTTGAACTCTGGGTTCTGCCCAATTGCTCTGAAGAGACATTGAGTTATTAAATTCAAAAGATAGAGAATCTTATATGATAAAGGTAACAATCAGAAATGTTTGCTACAAAATGTGCTGTTTCCTTGCCATGCAAGTCATCATACATAAGAAAAAAGATATTTCAAGTATGAGTTGGCATAAGTCCCATAAGTCCAGGGTCTATTTGATGTGCCCTCTTCATCTTGGTCACTGATACATTCTGGCTGGCTTTTGGATATGGAGCTATACCAAATGTGCTATCCAAAAAACTTATAATAAACCATGCTTCTTCTGTCTCTGAAATAACTCCAGAAGCAAGGATTAGGCCCAGATATTTAGAGTGTATTCCTGTTATGATTTGCTAACATAAACTTTCACATTCAGGTACCAGAAATATAACATAATGATGGAAGGAATGAATGATAAACACAAATATTCAGTTGGTTAAAATATAAACCAAATATTTTTGGTTTGGGGTTTACTCAGCTGATTATTTAAGAAACCAAAAGCAATAGGAAATAAGTATAATCAGGCCAGGAGATAAAAACAAATGAACACAGTTCATTACCATACTAAGCAATTATCCTGGACTGGTTTTGACCACAATTTACCAATTAGAAAAAAAAGACTATTACAGATTTTAAAATGTGGGTTACAATTAAGCAAAATTTGCTTTCTGAATCAAAATTTGACTTCTCACCCACTAGCTGCTGCCCACCTGCCAAAACTTAAAGGCCAATATAAAAAAGACCTACTGCCCTGTTCTCCAACTCTGTCCACCACCACATCACAACCACTAGGCAACAGTGAATTCTCACAACCTGAGTGTTTATCAGCTTGCCATCAGAACCTGATCCACTATTTCTCTGGTTCTTGTTTTTCCAGTCACTGCTCAAAATGCAAATCCCTCTCATGTCTAGTTTTCTCATCTTCATAATGCTCTGGTCCTTTATCCTAAGCTAGTTTGCTACTCCTCCTTTCCTTTCCAAATCCTTTCATGGTAGCCTTTGGAAACTCCACTCCATGTTCAGCTACCTTGGCTGTATTCTTAACCTCCCTGTCAAACATTCCCCCCAAATTCCTTACATTCACAGGAATTGTGAAATTTCATTGATTGTTATAACAACCTATACAATGATTCTCATTTCTTAGAGTATGAATGTGACTAGCCCAATATTATACCTGTGAAAACCAAAAAGACAATTCTAAGCCCTCCAACTGACTAAGCTGGGACCAAAGGGACCCAGCTAAACCTGAAAAAAATAGTTCAGATCACGACAGGAAGGGGCAATCAGGCATGCCTCATTATACTCTCCTCCCTTTGGAGTTCAGGCACACAACTGACCAGCATTAACATTAAAAGAGAGATCCTAAGACAGACAGCAAACACCCTGTAGCAATAAGATACCAAATTCCAACGTGATTCTAAGTATAGCATCACATAGCAGATAGCAGGGCCCTGAAAGAAACCAAACTATTTTATCCCAAAAGCACTTTGGGAGACCGAGGCAGGCGGATCACGAGGTCAGGAGATCGAGACCATCCTGGCTAACATGGTGAAACCCAGTCTCTACTAAAAATACAAAAAATTAGCCGGGCGTGGTGGCAGGCGCCTGTAGTCCCAGCTACTTGGGAGGCCGAAGCAGGAGAATGGTGTGAACCCAGGAGGCGGAGCTTGCAATGAGCCGAGATCGCACTCCAGCCTGGGTGACAGAGCGAGACTCCATCTCAAAAAAAATAAAATAAAATAAAGATTCCTTGAACATATTTTGAAATGGTCCTACAAAGTTGTCTCTTGTGGGGAAAATTTACTTTCTATAGAGGATTCCCTTCTCTTTCCAGGTCACTTTCTGATCCTGAAGAGATTGGCTGAGAGTCTAGAACCTTTTTAGGATGTCTAAAGGAAACATTTGCCATTTATTGCCTCTGGGAGTGGTTACCCATAAGACTTCATATACATAATAAGAACTCTAGTCTTTACAAGCCCTTATCTTAACCCAGACACTCCTTTCTGTTGATTCCAGGTTTTTAGATAATAACAACTCTTTCAACCAATTGCCAATCAGGAAATCTTTGCCAACCTGGGCAACAAAGTGAGACCCCATCTCTACAAGAAAGTAAAAAAAAAATTAGCCAGGTGTGGTGGTACACACCTGTGGTCCCAGCTTCATGGGAGGCTGAGGCAGGAGGAGTGCTTGAACTGAGGAGGTTGAGCTGCAGTAAGCCAAGATCACACCATTGCACTCCAGCCTAGATGACACAGCGAGACCCTGTCTCAAAAAACAAACAAAAAGAAAGAAAGAAAAGAACAGAAAAAAAAAAAGATAACATTTTTGAATCCACCTATGACCTGGAAGCCCCATCTCTGAATTATTGCTGCACTGAATGAATGTATGCTTCACATCACATGTATTGACTGATGTCTTTTCTTTTTTCTTTTTTTTTTTTTTGAGACAGAGTCTTGCTCTGTCGCCCAGGCTAGAGTGCAGTGGTGCAATCTTGGCTCACTGCAACCTCCACTTCCTGGGTTCAGGCGATTCTTGTGCCTCAGCCTCCCATGTAGCTGGGGCTACAGGCTCTGCCACCACACCTGGCTAACTTTTGTATTTTTAGTAGAGGCGGGGTTTCACCATTTTGGCCAGGCTAGTCTCAAACTTTTGACCTCAAGTGATCTGCCCGTCTTGGCCTCCCAAAGTGCCGGGATTACATGTGTGAGCCAGCGCACCCGGACTGATGTCTTTTTTTTTTTTAAGAACAGAGTCTCGTTCTGTCACCCAGACTGGAGTGCAGTGGCACCATCAGAGCTCACTGCAGCCTTGACCTTTTGAACTCAAGCAATCTTTCCACATCAGCCTCCCAAGTAGCTGGAACTACAGGCATATGCCACCACGCCCAGATAATTTTTTTTTCTTTTTTTTTGGTAGAGAGGGTTTCACTATATTGCCCAAGCTATTCTTGAACTCCTGGCCTCAAGCAACCCTCCTGCCTCAGCCTCCCAAAGTGCTAAGATTAAGGGCATGAGCCACTGTGCTCGGCCATGGATTAATGTCTTATGTTTCCCTAAAACATATAAAACCAATCTGAAACCCAATCACCTTGGGCACATGTTCTCAGGACCTCCTGAGGCTGTGTCATGGATCATGGTCTGTAACTTGGCAAAATAAACCTCTAAATTGATTGAAACCCATCTCAGATGTTTTTGGTTTACATATGTGTTTAGTAACAGGCTAGAATCACCCCCTCAAGCCTCCTGTGTGAGATATTCTCACACAGTGCTGGTATAATGTGCATAGTAAATGCTTATTTGAAGACTGAATGATTAAACTACACTAGCTTTCCCAAATTTTCGGGGGTTGATTATTTCCCTGTGGACCCAACTAGACCAATTTACAGAATTATCATCAAATTACAGTAAGAACCCCTTTCTTCAATTATCTCAAAATCAAACAATTAGACAACCAAGCTGTCCAAGACACAAAGAACTTACAAGTAAAAATTAAGTAAATAAAGATCTCTAAATAGCCAAAATAGCTCTCACAAACACCAAGAGGAAACTTTGCTAAACTTTTTATTCTATACATACTTCCAGTTAGTTTGGTGATATGATTTTGAAGCTTATAGATATTACAAGTAGCAAACTACAAGATAAAGTATGTGCCAGATGGGGTCAGGGATAGATAGCTTATAGAGACAGTTGTCAGAATTAAAATATTAGATCTCACAGAAATGAAGACATATATTAAAAAAAAAAAAAGATAAAATGCATAGCTCTCTGGGTCCACTTGGGGGAGCCAATAATCTTCAATAGTTAATTATTAACTACTGTTAATTGTCATTATTAATAATGATAATCCAGCAGGATTGATGAATGCTTATATCATGTTATAATACTGTGCTTAAGAAGGGAGGTGAGTGTGTGTTTTAAATAAAAAGTAGATAATGATGTTTTGAAGTTTGGGAAGCTAAAGAGGAAACTTTCAGTTACCAGAAAAATTTATGTATGTAAATTCTTTAAACAAGTTCAGAAAAATAAGGTATTACTATATCTGCTTATATGAAGCTCTAGACATTACCCATAAAAATAAAGACTTCATAAGCCTTGAACTAAAGTAGAACAGAGTGGCTAGACGATGCAAACAAATACACTTTAAGACATTTGAGTTGATGGAATTCAGAAAAGAACTTGTTATTCTATCAGGTTTTTTTTTTTTTTTTTTTTTTTTAGAGATAGAATTTCACTCTGTCACACAAGCTGGAGTGCAGTGGTGTGATCACCACTCACTGCAGCCTCAACCTCCCAGGCTCAAGCAATCCTCTCAACTCAGCTTCCAAGTAGCTGGGACTACATGTGTGTGCCACCATATCTGGCTAATTTTTAATTTTTTCGTAGAGATGAGGTATCCCTATGTTGCCCAAGCTGGTCTCCAATTCCTGGGCTCAAGTGATCCTTCTGCCTTGGCCTCACAACATGCTGGGATTACAGGCATGAGACAATACACTCAGCCTTGAAATGTATTTTTAAAAGCAAAATATCTCATACATTTTCAAGATGCCTCCCATTTTTAGGAATATGTAATCCCCAGCAATTTGTTTGTTCTTAAGGGGAAAACATGTACGTAGTAGGAGTCAAAGGTTTGGAGAATTATTAAGAGTAAAAAATAAGTAAACATATTATGGCCACTTATCATTTATAGTACAAGGTCTAACTCCAAATGCAAAATAATAACCAACATCTACTGAGTATTTTGTATGTGCCAAGATATGAATTAATTACATTAAAGGCATGTCCCTATTTCATCCCACAACCACCTAAAATTCCATTTTATACACAAGGAAATCAAGATTTAGAGAAATCAAAGTAACTTTCCTAAGTCCAATAGCTAATAAGTGCAGATCTAGGATTTTAACCTAATTCCAAAAGTGATACTCTAAACAATTAAGTTAGAGAAGATGATTCAATGAATATGTGAATGAATGAATAAATCTCTTATTTGGATATTATTTAATGTGTCCTCTACTTCCTAAAGGATTAAAGTGATTCTTTCCATTTAAAGGCAAGTAAATTTTGAGAGCAGAGAGTAAAAAGATAACAAATAAGTGACTTCTACCAGAACTAAATTCTATTATTTGTTTCCATATTGAAAACACTCAAAAAAAGTAGCTGACTGCTTGCAGTATATGAGGCAACAAAAACCCAACTTGCTGTGGGAAGAAAGGGTCACCACCTTCCTCTAATGACAACAGATTGAGATCAGCCTTGCATGCATGACGAAGTAGCTTTTTAACTGATTTGGATACTGCTATTTCAAAATTCAATTACATTCTGGCATCATCTTTGCTTTAAAGAACACCTACAAGTAATTGCCCCAAATTGAATAATTGCTCCAAAGTGCAGATCATGATGTTCTTGGGTAGGCCAAGGATTAAGCACCCACAATCTTGCATAAAATAACAGCTGACAGTAGAGCACTCACTGAAACAAAGACACTGAACATTCTGGCTCTGATAAGCAGGCAATCGTGGGTTCAGAGAGAGCTGACAGATTGTGTGAGAAGCTGTCAAAAACTTAAGCTGACAGCACTGAGAACAAATGCTGAAAAGGTAGTGTCAAAAAGTACCAAGTGTGCATCAGCACCTGGGTTCTTAGGAATCAAAATAAAAGGGAAATAATGGAAATCCTAACAACAAGTCAATAAACCAAATTACCAAATTATCAAACCAAAAATGGCCAAAGTAAATGGAGCAGGTTCACAGACAAAGCTAGAGGAAATGGGGTTCTGTCCTTTCTGACCCATACAAAAGAAAACATACCACCCTAGGAAGAGATAATGACTAAATGAGATAGCATACATCAAGTGAACTGAGTATTTGGTAAATATTCGATAAACACTAGCAATTATTATTATTAGGTTCATGTATTTATTGCCCATTATATCCAGTATTTTATATTTTTCACTTAATCCTCTCAACAGCTCTATGGCATATGTATTATTGCCACCATTTTAGAGATGGCTAAACTGAAGCTCAGAGACAGAACACTGTTAGTAAATGGTAAAGCCAGGCTATAACTCAGGTCTATCAGACTAAAGCAAATCCAGGCTTTTTTCCACTAATTCCATCTTGAGTGCCAACTCAGTGAGACTTTTGTTAGATATCTGTGATGGATTAAAGAGTCACAATTATTTGATGCTTCTCCATTGAGAGTTAAGGTCTCTGTTCTCTCATTTCAACCTGGGCAGACTATGGTACTGCTTTTACCAGTAGAATATGGTGGAAGTGATGCCATGCTAGTTTATGTGCCCAGGCCTTCAGATATTGACAGCTTTCATGTTCAGTCCCTTGGAGCACTCACTTTTCGAAGCCAGCTACCATATAAGAAGTGCAATTATACTTATACTCCCATGCTCTCTAAGGAACCAAGCAATCAAAAGAAGGCCTGGAGAACCAGATTTCATCAGTAAAGAAGAAAGACCAAGAATCACCAAAGTGGTAGATATGTGAGTAAAGAAGTCATCTGGAAGTGAATCAGGTGGTCCAGCTGATGCCAAGTGGATCAGAGATGAACCACACAGTTGAATTCCAAAATTTCTGACTCATGAGATTGTAAGAAAATAAATGATTGGTTTTAATTACTTTTTTTCACTTGGAAATAATTTCGGATTTAGAAAAACTTTGCAAAAACAGTACCAAGAAGTCCTACATATCCTTCACTCAGTTTTACCCAAACATTAACATCTTACATAACCATAGTATAATGATCAAAACCAAGAAACTATTATTTTTATCAAATGCTCCACTAATGCCCTTTTTCTGGTCCAGGATGCAATTCTGGATTATATATTGAATTTGGTTGTCATGTCTCCTTAGTCTCCTTTCATATGGGACCGTTTTCAGTGTTTATTTTTCATGACCTTGATGCTTTGGAAGAGTATTGGCCAGTTATTTTATAAAATGTCCCTCAACTCGATATGTCTACTGGTTCCTTATGATTAAATTCAGAATATGTATTTTGGGCACAAATACCACAGAAGTGATGCTGTGCCCTTCTCAGTGCATTCTATCAGGAGGTTACATAACATCACTATATGTCTCACTATAAAAATCATTGTCCTTTTAAAGCCACTCAGTTTTCGTATAGCTTGTTATATATTACAGGTAATCAAAAGAAAATCCATTTGGCTTCTCTGATAAATTTCTTGCTGCTATGATCTATAAAGCAATGCATTGTTTCAAAGAAAGTAGTGAAAGTGACAGATAATTAACACGCAAAAAGAAATAAGTTAATACTAGCTGCTCTTAAATACAGGTTCTACAGCAAGAATATTTAGAATATTAGCCAAAAATTCTTTTACTTTATTCTGCTTCTCATGTTTTAATCTCTTTGAAAGTTTAATATTTTAGGTTGGCTAATGGTGCTTGATGGAGTAACTAAATAAAAGAATGTGATGTTTGGGTTTTGTTCTGAATGTCCACTAGAGGTCAGGATTGCAGCACTGAAAATCAATCGCTTTTTTTTTTTTTTTTTTTTTTTTTTTACGTATTTCACAGACCAACATAGTAGCCTTGTATACAAATTGAGACATGCTGTTTTAAAACCCTTATGGCTAAGTCCTCCCTTATTTTTACTATTAATTTACTAACATATACCAAAAAAAAAGGATGACTCCCACCCTTCCTTTCCTCTAGCTTAATTATATATTTTCCATTTTATTATAGTTATTTGTTATACAGTTTTTTCATAAATGACTAGTGAATGAGAAAGAGTTCAAGAATGGGTAGGGATGAGAGATAAGTTTAACATGAATGCATCTGTTTAGTCATGAGTAATTTTAAAATATTTTCTTGGTTTACACTTGTTTGTACAGATTAAGTAGTAAAATATCTACAAAATCTAGAAGTCTTTATCATAGGTGACTCTGAGAAGAATTTTTTTTAAAAAAACATAGTTTTGCTATTATTTATTTATTTATTCATTTATTTTAAACTTTTATTTTAGGTTCAAAGGTATATGTTCAGGTTTGTTATGCAGGTAAACTTGTGACATAGGGGGTTTGTTGAACAAGGAAAGAAATTTTTAGAGGTTTGTGACATCTGAATTAGATAAAACTTTCAGAAACAAGGCAGGCAAAATGAGATAAGGAAATCAAATTAGAGGTTTTAACATGTGTTTCAAACTGACCCAATAGTTCAATAGATAGTTTTTTGGATAAACATAGAAATTGACGTTTTTGGTCTTGAAGCTTGAACCTTAACATTTGTTTTATCGGATTCCTTACTCAACAAAGGACCTTCAGGTCTCTCAAAAAAAAGTATGGAAGAACTGGAACTCACCAGATCACCATATCCAGATAATGAGATGAGGGCCCCTCATTCACCATAATTGCTTCCTTACCCCTCTCTAGTTCCTGTTTCTTACATATTGCTATATCTCTTCCCTGCTATATAAGTCCCTAGTTTCAGTTTGTCAGGGAGATGGATTTGAGACTGAGCTCCCATCTCATCTCGTCTGCTGCAGCCCCCAATTAAAGCCTTCTTCCTTGGCAATAATCATCATCTTAGTCATTGGCTTTCTGTGCTGTGAGCAGCAGGACCTAGACTGAACCCCTGGTGTTGTGGTAACATATTCATCATATGTCAAGCATTTTGAGGACATTTACAAAGATGGATAAGTCATCCCTACACTCAGAGGACTCCCAGATTAGGATAGCAGATAAAAATATAAACAGATAACACACCACCTAGGGAATGATAGGGAGGTATGACCTGAACATTAGAGCACTGAAGTATTGCTATAAAGTCCCTAAACACATGTTCCATTGGCCATTGAATACTGGCATTCACCTTTCTGTTCTTCTCAAATTCTCTTAAGTCATGATACACATCGGATTATATTGTTTTACAGTTATAGTTATCAGTCAACCATCCCAGGCTGCAGGGGTGCTTTTGATACTCTTCATAATGATACAGGACTTCTTATCAGCTACTATTAGCTGATCTTGACCTTCTCCTTCCTCCAGGCTTCTGCCAGTTTTCCATTAACCCAATCCATCCAGAAATCTTTTGTTAGAGTTCTTGTGCTCATACCACTTTTCTTTCTTCCTTTTTCTTTGAAATGAAGTCTTGCTCTGTCGCTTAGGCTGGAGTGCAGTGGCGCGATCTCAGCTCACTGCAACCTCCGCCTCCTGGGCTTAAGCAAATCTCCTGCCTCAGCCTCCCGAGTAGCTGGGATTACAGGTGTGCGCCACTACACTCAACTAATTTTTGTATTTTTAGTAGAGATGGGTTTCACCACATTAGTTAGGCTGGTCTCGAACTCCTGACCTCAAGTGATCCACCTGCCTTGGCCTCCTAAAGTGCTGGGATTACAAGCTGAGCCACCGCATCTGGCCCCCTTTTCTTTCTTCTTCTTCTTTCCTCCTCCTCCCCCTCCCCCTCCTCCTCTTCTTCTTCTTTCCTCCTCCTCCCCCTCCCTCTCCTCTTCCTCTTCTTCTTTCTTCCTCCTCCCCCTCCCCCTCCTCCTCTTCTTCTTCTTTCCTCCTCCTCCCCCCTCCCCCTCCTCTTCCTCTTCTTCTTCTTCTTTTTTTTTTGAGACAGGGTCTTGCTCTGTCACCCAGGCTGGAGCATAGTAGTGCTATCATGGCTCACCACAGCCTCAACCTTCCAGGCTCAAGCAATCCTCCCACCTCAGCCTCCCAAGTAGCTGGGTCTATAGGCGCATGCCACCATGCCTGGCTAATTTTTCTACTTTTTTTTTTTTTTTTTTTTTTTTTGTAGAAATAGGCTTTTGCCATGTTGCCCAGGCTGGTCTCAAACTCCCCACTTAAAAAAAAAATCCTTAAAAATGCCACAACATGGTATAAAAGTAGCCACATAGACCAGTAGAACAAAACAGAGAACTCAGAAATAAAGACACATAGTTACAGCCAACTGATCTTCAACAAAGCCAACAAGAATTTATACTGGGGGCCGGGTACAGTGGCTCACACCTGTAATCCCAACACTTTGGAAGGCTGAGGCAGGAGGATTGCTTGAACCCAGGAGTTCAAAACCAGCCTAGGCAACAGAGTGAGACCCCATCTCTACAAAAAATAAAACACCAGTCAGGTGTGGCAGCAAATGCCTGTAGTCTGAGCTACTTGGGAGGGTGAGGCAGGGGGATCATCTGGGCCCATGAGGTTGAGGCCACAGTGAGCAGTGATCATGCCACTGCACTCCAGCCTGGGTGACAAGGCAAGACTCTGTCTCAAAAAAACACAAAAACAAACAACAAAAACTTACACTGGGGAAAGGACAATCTCTTCAATAAACGGTGCTGGGAAAATTGTATAGCCATGCAGAAGAATGTAACTGGACCATTATCTCACCATATACAAAAATGAACTCAAAGTAGATTAAAGACTTAAAAGTAAAACCTGATACTATAGAAATATTAGAAGAAAAAATCTAGGGAACCCTCTCCTGGTTGTTGGTTTAGGCAAAGAATTTGTTACAAAGGCCTCAAAAGATCAGGCAACAAAACCAAAAATAAGTGATTGGGAATTAATTAAACTAAAAAGCTCCCACACACAAAAAAAAAAAAACAAAACAAAAAAATCAACAGAGTGAAGAGACAACCTGCAGAATGGGATAAAATATTTGCAAATTATTTATCCAACAGGAACTAATATATAGAACAGATAAGGAACTCAACTCAACAGGAAAAAAACAAATAATCCCATTCATACTTGGGCAAAGTATATGAATAGCCATTTCTCAAAAAAATAAATACAAACAGCCAACAGGTATATGAAAAAATGTTCAACCTCATGAATCATCAGAGAAATGCAAATCAAAACCACAATGAGATAGCATACCTCAGCCAGAATCCCTATTATTAAAAAAGACAGATGTTGACAAGAAAGTGGAGAAAAGGGAACTCATATACACTGTTGGTGGGAATGTAAACTAGTACAGCCACTATGGAAAACAGTATGGAGATTTCTCAAAAAAATAAAAATATAATTACCATTTGATCCAGCAATGCCACTACTGGGAATCGACTCAAAGAAAAAGAAGTCAATATATCAAAGAACTCACATATATACAGTTAGGAGGCTTTAAAACACTCAAGAAGTGGTATGTAATTTTGCCTGGAAACAGCTGATGAATTGAGCAAGAGGCTGTACCGAGACTGACACACCAGGAAATGCTATGCATAGTAAACTTTCATCCCTCCAAGGGGTGAAGTCCTAGGTTTATATCATGTTGGGAAACCAGTAATGAGTGTATTCATCTTTGGGGACCCTTTCTCTTCTGTCCTCATCCATTTATATATAGGTAAATGTTAGTGAAGCTTAAACACTAGGGAAAGCAGAGACAGAAGTGATTTAAGAGAATAACATTGAAAAAGAGTACACAAGAGAGGGTTTGTAAAGTTATATAAACGACTCCACTGCTACCAACCATGTCTCTATGAAGATGTAAGAAGGATGTTACTAATTATAGGAACTCACAATTTTAAAAAATCACCAGCAGGAGCAACTCCACCCTTTCCTCTACCTTTTCCCCCTATCACCTAGAGACACTAGCAGCCTGGTACACATAAAAATACAGAGTGAACTTTAAGAATCATAATAATATACCCTGAGGATCGCTAAGGAGCCTAAGTTTCTTTCTGCCACAGGGGATCTAGCATCTTTCTGCCAAGAAGTACAAAAGACTAAACATACCACTTCACAGTAGTATATTGCGTAGTAAATCTTAATTGCTATGCCACCATCTGTATAACACTTTACTGCAAAGCACTTTTGAGTATATAGTTTCATTCAACTGTAAAAATATTAATCCGGCATATAGGCCATTATTAATTACCTCCATTTTACAATGCAAGCTTAAATATGTTAGATGATTTACCTGAGTTCACAGAATTAAGACTGGAATGACAAGTTTCCTGATTATAATTCAGTTCTCTTTCCATTAGACCATTGGCTCTCAACCATGGCTGCTTATTAAAATCACCTGGGGAGCTTTCATAACACACAGAGGCAGGAGATCCATCTTAGGTCAAATAAATAGAAATTTCTCAGGAGTAGAATGTGGTCACTTGTATTTTTAAGAACTTCCAGGAGTTTCTAGTATGAAACCAGACTGAGAACTGAGCATTACCAAGTTTTCAAGCAATCATGATAATTTAAGAGCATAGTTTTCCTATTTGCACTTATCCATCTATACATCAGGGATATGTAAAATCTACAACTTCTAACCAGTGAATCATAATTATCAACTTTTTTAGAAAGCACAAATAAGCTTCTAGTATATTTTCAGTTAAGTAATTTATCTAGCAAACCATTTTCTATTAGTAATTAGCTTTTATGGAACAAAATATCCACAACTTTGGGTACTAAAAGTATATCTAGTCATATTTAACTGTAAAATTTATTTAAACCGTAAAATGGATGAGAGTGCTTGTTCCTTTATTAGGAGCCAAGCAAGAGAAAGGTACCTATCTAATGGAGGCAGATAATTAAATCACTCATGCTGAAAGTTCTTTCCCAAGTAACCCTGTCCTCACATCAAGCAGTTATACTAGAAATCACAGATCTTCCTGCCATAGTGAGGAGGAGATGTCTCCATTTAAAAAAAGATGGAAGAATTAGTTTAGTTAATTGCTCTGAGATCTACTAAATGACAAAACAAAAACAATTTAAAAGTGAGAGCTACAAGGCAAAGAGACCTAATTAGCAAAGAAAATTGTAGCAACAGTAATATAGCGGTTGCTGCAAAAATTTTACAATTATGGGGAAAGGCTCTATAAGCCCTGTGAAATTCATTCCCATTTAAACATAGTATATTGAACCTAATATTAAACGGTCTGCAAGTTCACAATAGAAGTTCATTAATACTATACTATAAATCAAAAGCTTTAGAGCAGGAGTTAGAAGATCCATATCACAGTTTCATTTCTGCCACCAACTAGCTTAGTTAAGTGTCTCAACCTCCCCCATGTGTAAGATTCCTAAACAGTAAATTGAGGAGTACCAGTTAAGAATAACAAAAGAGATTTGTTAAAAGTTCAGATTCCTGGATCCCACCCTGGATAATTCTGATTCATTAAGTCTAAGACGGGTATTAACATCTACTGTATTTTAGTGCCACCCACCCCACTCTGCAGACCCTAGAAACCACTGATTTCTATATATTTTACAAGGTAAGAGAAGTCAAATAAGAAAAATGTAGAAATACTGGTATAGGTCAACTGAGGAGGGCCTTATACAAGTAGGCCTGAATTCCAATTCCTTATTCCACCATTCCTGCTTCTACCCCTGAAATTCATCGCAGCAAAACTGCTGGGGGGAAATAACCAGTGAAGTGTCTTTCTGATTACTTCCTGAGTGTCTTCCTATTTCTCTAACTGGGATTTAATTTCCCAGGCGCCTTGTGGCAGGGACCCCATTTCTTTCTCTCAGATGGCCAACTGACCAGGACAGCTCAGTTCAAGGTAATCTCCTCCTTGAAACATCTCCTAACTTCCAATCCCATTAAAGAGATGTATTAATGTCAGCCCATGATGCCACCAAACATGGTGGGGATTTCTGTCCCTTCCAAATCTTATGTCAAAATGTTATCCCCAACATTGAAGGGGGGACCTGGTGGGAGGTGTCTGGATCATGGAGGTGGTTCCCTCATGAATGCCTTAGCACCTTCCCCTTGGTGATGAGTGAATTCTGGCTCTGGTAGTTCACACAAGATCTGGTTGTTTAAAAGTGTGTGGCACATCCCCCATCTCTCTCTTGGTCCCGCTCTTTCCATGTGATATGCTGGTTCTCCTTCACCTTCTGCCATGATTGTAAGCTTCCTGAGGTTCTCACCAGGAGTTGAACAGATGTTGGTGCCATGCCTGTACAGCTTGCAGAAACATGGGCCAAATTAAACCCCTTTCTTTGAAAATTACACAAAGTCTCAGGTGTTTCTTTACAGATGTGCAAAAATGGTGTAACATAAAAATTGGTACCAAGGAGTGAGGGGTTGCTATTAATACCTGAAGATGTGGGAAGCAGCTTTGGAATTGGGTAACAGGTAGAGGTTGGAAGAGTTTGGAGGGCTCAGAGAAAGAAAGGAAGATGTGGGAAAGTTTGGAACTTCTTAGAGACTTGTTAGGTGATTGTGGCCACAATGCTGATAGAAATATGGACAGTGAAGGCCAGGCTGAGGATGTCTCAGATGAAAATGAGGAATTTATTAGGAACTGGAGCAAAGGTCACCCTTGTTATTCCCTACCAAATAACTTGGCTGCATCGTGTCTGAGTCCTAGGGATTTGTGGAAGTTTGAACTTAATGATAACAGGGTATCTGGTGGAAAAATTTTCTAAGCAGCAAAGTGTTCTAGAGGTAGTATGGCTGCTTCTAACAACCTACAATCAAATATGGGAGTAAGGAAATGACTTAAAACTGGAACCTATATTTAAAAGGGAAGCAGAACAAAGAAGTTTGGAAAGTTTGCAGTCTAATCATGTGGCAGAGCATGAAAAAGCATTTACAGGAGAGGAATTCAAGCAGGCTATGGAGCAACTACTTGCTAAAGAGAGTAGCATAACTAAAAGGGAGCCAAGTGCTAATATCCACGACAATGGGCAAAAGGCCTTGAAGGTATTTCAGAGATCTTGGAGACAGCCCCTCCCATCATAGGAAGAGAGGCCTAGGAAGAAAGAATGGCTTCAGGGGCCAGGCCCGGGGCCCCATTGTCCTGGTCAGTCTCAGAACATTGCTTCCCACATCCCAGCTGTTCTGGCTCCAGTCATGGCTCAAAGTGCCCAGGTACAGTTCAGGCTGCTGCTCCAGAGGGTGCAAGCCATAAGCCTTGGCAGCTTCCATGTCATGTTAAGTCTGCAGGTACACAGAATGCAAGCATGAAGGATGCTTGGCAGATTTCCCCTAGATTTCAGGACATGTATGAAAAAGCCTCAGTGCCCAGGCAGAAGACTGCCACAGGGGCAGCGCCTGCACAGAGAACCTCTACTAGGGCAGTGTGGAGGAAAAATGTGGGGCTGGAGCCCCCACACAGAGTCCTCCACCAGGGCACTGCCTAGTGAAGCTGCAGGAAAGAGGCTGTTTCCCTTCAGACCACAGTATGGTAGCGCCATGGGCAGCTTGAATCCTCAGCCTGGAAAAGCCACAGGCATTCCATCTAGTGAGAGCAGTCATGTGGGCTGTACCCTGCAAAGCCACAGGGGCAGAGCTGCCCAAGGCCTTGGGAGCCTACCACTTGCACCAGTGTGCCCAGGGTGTGGGACATGGAAACAAGGATTATTTAGGAGCTTTAAGGTTTAATGTCTGCCCTGCTGGGTTTCAGAACTGCATGGGGCCTGTTACCCTTTTCTTTTGGCCAATTTCTTCCTTTTGGAATGGGAATGTTTACCCAGTGCCTGTACCACCATTGTAACTGGGAATGGTTAACTTGTATTTAACCTCATAGACTTACAGGTAGAAGGATCTCATCTCCAGATGAGGCTTTGGACTTGGGACTTTTGAGTTAATGTTGGAATAAGACTTGAGGCAACTATTGAGAAGGGCCGGTTGGATTTTACAGTGTGAGAAGGACATGAGATTTGAGGGTTTGAGAGGCCAGGGGTAGAATGACATGGGCTGGATATTCATCCTCGCCAAATCTCATGTTGAAGTGTAATCCCCAATGTTGGAGGTGAAGCCTGGTGGAAGGTGTTTGGATCATGGAGGTGTATCCCTCATGAATGGGCTTAGCTCCATCCCCTTGGTGATGAGTGAATTCTGGCTCTGGTGGTTCACATGAGATCTTGTTGCTTAAAAGAGTGTGGTATCTCCCCATTCCCTTGCCATATAATATGCTGCTCCTCTTCACCTTCCACTATGATTGAAACTTTCCTGTGGCCCTCACCAGAAGCAGATGCTGGAGTCATGCTTGTACAGCCTGTAGAATCACAAGCCAATCAAAACTCTTTTCTTTATAAATTATCCAGTCTCAGGTATTTCTTTTTTTTTTTTTTTTTTTTTTTTTTTTTGAGATGGAGTTTTGCTCTTGTTGCCCAGGCCGGAGTGCAATGGCGTGATCTCAGCTCACTGCAACCTCTGCCTCCCAGGTTCAAGTGATTCTCCTGCCTTGGGCTCCAAAAGTGCTGGGATTACAGGTGTGAGCCACCACGCCCAGCCCCGGTCTCAGGTATTTCTTTACAGCAATGCAAAGACCACGATTTCCTGTTTATACATCTTTAAGAATTAATTTAATTGAGTTGACCCTATTATCTAGGTGACTGGAAACTGGGAAGCTTTCTATTCAAGGGAGAAGCTTCCAGCCTTTCAGTTTCTTAAGGAATGAGAAGGATTATAAAAAAATAAGATGGCTGGGCATGGTGGCTCACGCCTGTAATCCCAGCACTTTGGGAGGCTGAGGCAGAAGGACTGATTGAACTCAGATTTCGAGACCAGTCTGGGCAAGATGGCAAGACCCTGTCTCTACCAAAAAACAAACAAACATGTTTTTAAAATTAGTTTGGTGTGGTGGTGCATGCCTATAGTCCTAGCTACTTGAGAGGCTGAGGCAGGAGGATTGCTGGAGCCCAGGAATTTGAGGCGGCAGTAAGCTATGATTGTGCCACTGTACTCCAGCCTGGGCAACAAAGTGAGACCCCATATCTTAAAAAAAAAAAAAAAAAAAAAAAAGAGAGAGATCCTAATTTCCCAAATTAAATGAGCATACTTCCCACTTAAAAAAAAGACTAAATAAGCATAAGTGTGACTCAATGCAATCTGAAGAATTAGTAGGAAAGGTGCAAGAATTTTAGGCATATAAATAAGCAAAAATTATTTGTATTTTAAATAATTCTATTTCTATTGGACATGATGAACGAAGGTCAACCCATGATATGCCTCCAGCTCTGGTTGACTCATGGCATAAAGAATGATCTGGCACATGGTCCCAGTGGAAAAGTAAAGAGTTCTACAATCCAACATTCAAGGTGCTGAACATCAATATATGTTTGATTAGATCCTATCTCTGATCTTGTGCCTCATTTATAATAAATGGCATCTGACTTTCTCCTAAGACCAAGTTTCTGTCTCCTAATTGAGTTCTGGTTCTGGATTCTTACCTTCTTCTAGTTGCTGTCCTGAGAACTTGCTCAAATCTCCAGGCCTGTTTAGAACAGGCATCTCATTTCACTCTTTTCAGTTCCTTTTTATTTTTATTTTTTTAATGAGGTCCTGACTCTAAATTCTATCCCTTTGGCTGGGGCTTTGAAAGCTTTACTGAACTACCTTTTGCTCTGAATACTACCATCTCCCGAGTTCCCTATGGTCATACCTGGTCGTCAGCTAGCTTTCTAGGTGACCCCATCAAGTCTTGTGGCTTTAAATACATAGCATACACTAATAACTCCCAAATCAACGTTTTAGCCTCACTATCTCCTCTGAACTCCAGAATCATATATTCAACTATCTTAAGATCTCTACTTGGATGTCCTAATAGGAATCAAAAACATGTAAAAATCTGAATTCCTTATTTTCCCCATAAACCTGTTCTTCCTCCAATCTCTTCTTCAATGGTAAGTGCATTCCTCTAGTTGCATAAGCAAAAAATCATAGAATTATCCTTTCTTTCTCTCACAACGAACAGTTAAACCATCAGCAAATCTTTTTGGATCTACTTGGTAAACATATCCCAAATTCAACTACTTCCTACCATTCCCACTGCTCCCACCCTTACCTAAGCCATCATCACCTCCTGATCTGGATTAACACAACAGTTTCCTGGTCTCCTCACTCCTGCTCTTGACCCCCCACAGCCTATTCTCCAGAGTGACTCCTTTTCTCTAGAGTGACAGTAGCCGGAGTGATCCCTTTAAGGGAGACATCAAATCCTATCATTTCTCTTCCAAATCTTGCTTTTCTTCCCCACTTAGATATTATGTTTTATTAGGTCAGAAATTTGGACTGACTGATTTCCTCAGTGTCCAGAATAGTGCTTGGCACATAGTAATGCTAAATAAATAGTTGTCAAATGAGTGATGAAAGTACAAAAAAAGGAGGGATATTTAGGGGACAGGGGGAGCCCAAAGGTAGAAAGATCAGTACTTCTTGGGTAAACTTGGAAATGTTTCACAATGCAGTAGATGCTTACAAAGCAGTTTTGCCTGAAAGAGGTAGAGAAATAAATACAAATTGGTCAAGTTAAAGTATTGGGAGGAAAGCAGTGCAAACCAAAAGCATAGCATCTGTAAAGGCAGAGAGAAACGAAGCAGGCAGAACTGCCTGTGATCTGGGAGGGATGGGACCACGAAAGTGCATGTGAGGGATGAAGCTGGAGAGGGAGGCAGATGTTTCACTGCTTGCTGGCTCTCCTTGACCCCTGCAGCCTGCCATATCTTGGTCCCAGCTGTTATCGGATCTAGAGATATCTAGGTAAAATAAAAGAAATTTTATTTCCCTTGAAGTCTGACCGCTTCCTCCTTTTATTCTTTTTTGGAGAGGCAATAAAGCATGGTGGTTATGAGACAGACTCGGAGCCAGCCTTCCTAGGTCTGAATCAACTTTGCATCTCCTCCTAACTATATGACTTAGAGTTATTTTAACTCTCTCTACCTCGATTTCCTTATAGATACCTCAGAGGGTTTTTTTTTCAGAATTAAATGAGTTACTATATAAAAAAACACTTAGAAAAGTGTCTGACACACAGTTAAGCACTATATGCCCTGACAATTATCATGTTAAAGTCCCCCAAACAGTTTATTAAATAGACCATGAAATATCACTAAACAGGACAGAGTCTTGGGAAGTGCATCCATTCGTGCCTTTGGATGCTAAATCCCAACCACAGTAAACAGATATTGATAATAAGCAGAGAATTTGAGGAAAATAACCAGGAAGGCAAATATCCCTCCTGTTCTAGTGTTCACCAGCTTCATTGTGTGGATTTGCCTCACACCTAACTGCTGCTGTTCTTTTTACTATATTATGCCTTTACTTCCTTTGTACTATCCTAAAAAAAAATAGAGTAGAGAACACTTGGTTGAATTTTTCATGTTACTGAAGATGCCTTTGAAGGTATCCTTTTTAAGGAAATATTCTTAATTCCTTTGATGTGTTCTCATGCGTACTAATTTTAAATTCGTTTGTTCACCTATAAACTATCTTCAAGACTCTTATAAATCATCTAAAAAATAAAACTAGACAGAATTCTGTAGCATAGGTCCAAATACCACAGTCTACTATTAAAGAATTACCTAATCTACTTAGAGTATTAACTTTAAGCCCTAATGCTAAGCTAAACTATCTGCTCCGGCTTTAAGCTTGAGATCAGTCATGGTTCTTACAACTTTTACTGTCATACTTAAGTTCTCTTCTTTTAAATAAGGGGTATTGGCTTAAACTACCTGTAGAGTTACTTTCAAGTCTAACAATCCATGTTTTTTTTTTTTGGGGGGGATGGGGTCTCACTCTGTCGCCAGGCTGGAATGCAGTGGCGCAATCTCGGCTCACTGCAACCTCCACCTTCCAGGTCCAAGTGATTCTCCTGCCTCAGCCTCCCAAGCTGGGACTACAGGCACGCGCCACAACACCCAGCTAATTTTTTGTACTTTTAATAGACACAGGGTTTCACCATGTTGGCCAGGATGGTCTCAATCTCTTGACCTTGTGATCCATCTGCCTTGGCCTCCCAAAGTGCTGGGATTACAGGTGTGAACCACCACGCCCAGCCCATAATTCTTTATGATTTGAATATAGTAGAAACATAGTCCCTTGTTTTTTCTGATTTTAAAATAAGAACAGATTGAATAAGTGTACAGAGACATGGAAGTCCTTAAGTTCTAGTTCTCAGAAGATGTAGCAAGGAAGGCAACAGCATTACCATGACACAGTCTGAAAACCAAGAAGCATTTACAGAATATGCCTATAGAATCTAGCCTTTTAGGACTGGAATAATTGCCAGAGATCTTGCAAAGTTAAAGAGAGGGTGAGTCTACGAATGACTGTGAAGATGGAAGCCAGGAATGGCAAGGAAAAGAAAATTCTCAAGTTGGAGTTCCAGGGTATAACAGGGTTTTTTTGTTTGTTTCTTTTGTTGGTTGATTTTGCATTCAGATTATCCACTAGAAAAAAAATACCTCAAAAGTATTATAATGATCTATTTTTCACAGATGTAAAAGCAAAAGAATTAAAAATCAAGAAAAAGTTATCAAAGTACACTGGGTAAGTTCCTTTTCTAGAAATCTTAAACATGACAAGTATCCAGACAGGATGATAGTGCAACCTGTCCATACAAATCCTAGTAGCTTTCATGACATTTGTGTAGTCTTACAGCAATGCTTGTGAATGCACTGGGCTACACCAGATAAAATCAAGATACTGGCTGGGTGCGGTGGCTCACGCTTGTATTCCCAGCACTTTGGGAGGCCGAGGCGGGTAGATCTCTTGAGGTCAGAGTTCGAGACCAGCCTGGCCAACATGGTGAAACCCCTTCTCTAATAAAAATACAAAACAGGTGGGCATGCTGGTGTGTACCTGTAATACCAGCTACTGGGGAAGCTGAGGCAGGAGAATAGCTTGAACCCAGGAGGCAGAGGTTGCAGTGAGCAGAGATCACACCACTGTACTCCAGCCTGGGCAACAGAGCGAGATGCTCTTTCAAAAAATAAAAATAAAATAGCAAGATACTCCTTACCATCACTTCAGGGGAGGTAGGAAGAAAGGGTAGTATTGTCCTTATACATAAGATTTCATTTGGAAAAAACTTTCTACTCATTAAGTTTTTTTTCTAGGCCACAATTTTTACTTTTTAGTCAATCTATACATTTCTGAGAAGTCATTTTATGCCTCTTTTAATTTCCTTTAGGACCTTGAACTTGTGTAACTAAGCTGGATGATTCCTCAGGTGTGAACAACTCTATGACTCTCTGGCTAAAACTAAAGGATTCCTTCTCAGAGAATACTGTGGATAGACACTTTATCCTGTTGAACCCACACTGGGGCACTGGACTTAAGGGTATTCAGTTTTAAACATAATTAACCAGTTTCGGGGAAAATCCAAACATCAAGAGAATAGCATTGTATATCCAACTCACCAAAAAAAGGTCTTATTGGAGTCAAGTAATTACTCTAGAATTTACAGAGAGTTATTGGGGCTAATTTGTTTGGGGTTTTTTCCGACTTTTATTTTAGATTCAGGGGATACATATGCAGGTCGGTTACATGGCTATATTGCATAATGCTGAAGTTTGGGGTATGAATGATCCCATCACCCAGGTACTGAGCATAGTATCCAACAGTTAGCTTGTCAACCCTTGTTCCCACCCTTTTCCTCCCCTCCTCTATTAGTCTAGAGTTGTTCCAGTGTCTATTGTTGCTATCTTTATGTCCCTGAGTAGTCAATGTTTAGCACCCACTTACAAGTGCAAATATGAGGCATTGGGCTTTCTGTTCTCGTATTAATTCACTTAGGATAATGGCCTCCAGCTGCATCCATGTTGCTTTAAGCGACATGATTTTGTTCTTTTTTGTGGCTGCAAAGTATCCTGTGGTATATGTGTACCATATTTTCTTTATCCAATTCACCACTGATAGGCACCTGGATTGATTCCATGTTTTTGCAAATAGTGCTGCAATTAACATGTAAGTGTATGTCTTTTTATTTGTTTTCTTTTAAATATACATCCAGTAATGGGATTGCTGGGTCAAATGGTAGTTCTGTTTTAAGTTCTTTGAGAAATCGCCAAGCTCTTTCCATAGTGGCTGAACTGAATTTACATTCCCACCAACAGTGTATAAGTGTTTCCTTTTCTCCACAGCATCACCAGCATCTGTTATTTATTTTTACTTTTTAATAATAGCCATGTTGATGGGTGTGAGATGGTCTCATTGTGGTTTTGATTTGAATTTCTCTGATGATTAGTGATATGGAGCATTTTTTCATGTCTTTTGGCTGCTTGTATGTCTTCTTTTGAGAAGTGTCTGTTCGTGTCCTTTGTCCATTTTTTAAATGGGGTTATTTGTTTTTTGCTTGTTCAACTGTTTAAGTTCCTTATAGATTCTATGTATTAGACTTTTGTCAGATGCATGCTTTGCAAATATCATCTCCCATTCTGTAGGTTGTCTGCTCTGTTGATAATTTCTTTTGCTGTGCAGAGGCTCTTTAATTAGGTTCCACTTGTCAATTTTTTGTTTTTGTTGCAATTGCTTTTGAGGACTTAGTCATAAATTCTTTCCCAAGGCTGATGTCCAGAATGGTGTTTCCTAGATTTTCTTCTAGGATTCTTATAGTTTGTGATGTCACATTTAAATCTTTAATCCTTCTTGAGTTAATTTTTGTATATGGTGACAGGTAGGGGTCCAGTTTCATTCTTTTGCATATGGCTCGCCAACTATCCCAGCATCATTTATTGAATAGGGAGTCCTTTCTCCATTGCTGAATTTTGTCGACTTTGTCAAAGATCAGATAGTTGTAAGTGTGCATCTTTATTTCTGGGTTCTCTATTCTGTTCCTTTGGTCTATGTGTCTATTTTTGTACCAGTACCACGTTGTTTTGATTACTATATAGCCTTACAGTATATTTGAAGACAGGTAATGTGACGCCTCCAGCTTTGTTCTTTTTGCTTTGGATTGCTTTGGCTATTTGGGCTCTTTTGGGTCCATACGAATTTTTTGAATAGTTTTATTTAGTTCTGTCAAAAATGACACTGGTGGCCAGGCACGGTGGCTCACTCCTGTAATCCCAGTATTTTGGGAGGCTGAGGAGGGTGGATCACCTGAGGTCAGGAGCTCGAGACCAACCTGGCCAATGTGGTGAAACCCTGTCTCTACTAAAAATAAAAAATCAACTGGGCATGGTGGCTTGCGCCTGTAGTCCCAGCTACTCAGGAAGCTGAGTCAGGAGAATCTCTTGAACCTGGGAGGCAGAGGTTGCAGTGAGCCGAGATCGTACCACTGCACTCCAGCCTGGGAGGGTGCAGTAAGCTGAGATCACACCACCGCACTCCAGCCTGGGCAACACAGTGAGACTCCATCTCAAAAAAAAAAAAAAAAAAAAAGACACTGGTAGTTTGATAGGAATAGCATTGTATCTGTAGGTTACTTTGCACAGTATGGCCATATTAATGATACCGATTCTTCCAATCCATGAACAAGAAATGTTTTTTCATTTGTTTGTGTCATCTGTGATTTCTTTTAGCAGCATTTTGTGGTTCTCCTTGTAGAGATCTTTCACTTCCTTGGTTAGATGTATTCCTAGGCATTTTGTGTGTGTGGCTATTGTAAAGGGGACTGCATTCTTTATTTGGCTCCGAGCTTGAACATTACTGGTGTATACAAATGTTACTGATTATTGTACATTGATTTTGTAACCTGAAACGTTACTGAAGTTGCTAATTTGTTTAGCTTTTCATTTTTTAATGCTGTAAAAATTTAAAGCAATTTAAAGAGTAAAGAACAAGGCAACAAGTTACAAATAGAAATAAAAGTTGTAGTTGAATTTTAAATGGATACCAATTAAATATTTGTAGGTCATAATGCTTGGACAATAAATAACTGGGTTTTGAATATAATTCTCTTTAATAATTTCTCTCAGCAATGTTACTGCTGTATAACATTGGTAGAAATGACAAAATGTAACTGCTGACTAATAAAATTTAGTGCTGAGAGTAAAGAATAAGAAATTAGTCTGGAATGTCTTCTGGAGACAGACTCTGGATTCCTTTCCTCTTCTACAAAGAAATACAGTTCTGATGACTGGCACATGAGATTACCCAAAAAAGAAAATCAGATTTTGGTGGATTATTTTTCTTTTGTTTTTTAAAAAAATTTATTTTAAGTAACACATAATAATTGTGCATATTATTGCTTACAATGTGATGTTTCAAAACATATACATTGTGTAATGTTAAAATCAGGCTAATCAGCATATCCATCACCTGAAACATTTGTCATTTTTTTGTGGTGTGAAGACACAGAACCTTTTATTCTTGTCATTTTAAGATATACAATAACTTATTGTTGACTATAGTCACCCTACCATGCAATAGAATACCAGAACTTGTTCTTTCTTTCTAATTGTAATTTTATACCTTTCAGTCATCCTCTTCCCATCCATCTCCATCTTTACTAGTTGTTTTTCTGTTTGTTGTTTTCCAAAGCTTTGCTACAGAAAAGGCATTCTGTGGGGGCAGTATCAGCAATGCTTAAGTAAAAGTTAGATGTGCAGACTATGAGGTTCCATATCCTATAACCACCAATAAAATCCGAATCAGCATTTAAATAGGATCACCATATGATTCAAATGCATGCTAACATTTTGAGGCCCACTTACTGAAGTTCCTTCTGGCTCAAAGAGTTTATGATCCTATAGCAATGAAATCTGATTCTTAACAAAGGTGTCTTTGAAATAAGGTAAAAGGGAAACTCACTGAACCTGGAAACAACATTTTAGCGAAAGGAAAGGATTGTGCTATGCATATGACAAGTGTTATCTCATTTAATCCTCAGAAAAACCTTAAGAAATTGATATTATTATCTTCTTCTTATGGAGAAGGAAACAGAGGTGCTAAGGGCTGAAATTATTTGCCTAAGGTTGCATAGACTGTAAGCAGAAGCTTACAAGAAAGGTGCCTGAGGAGTCACAAAAAACAAACCAAATGAGTCAACTAACAAATGTTTACCGATTACTTCTATTCTGAGCAAAAACAAAATTAAGACAGAACACGATGAGTACCAAAATCTTGTGATTCATGTAAGTACTAAAAATAATCAGATATAAAAATAATTTTTACATAAAAAGAAACAAGCCACAGGCCACAAAGTTTCAAACGGGCCACACTACTGCTTTTTTCATTTCATGTATTTTGACATTTTTCTTTTAGACACTGTATTTCTATTATGTGTAGTGCTTCAAAATATAAAATACTTCCCACAAACAGCAGATGGCACCATACATAAGAGAAGGAATGACAAAAAGTCAGAAAAATCAAGCTAACAAAATTTCTATCTCTTAGAAAATGACTTAAATTTTCTAACTAGCCTTATAATAGTAATAGATAAATTAAAAGACCTCATTTTGATAATTCAGTAATGATGAAGTTATTTTTTTCCCTCTCTTTATCCTAGCAATTAGACCACCAGGAAAGGAAGTTACTTTTGATTCAACCTTGCTGATAACAAAAACAAAATTATGTGAAAAATAAAAAAAAAAGATGTACCCTAATTTATAAAAAGTCTTCCAAGGCTGGGCATGGTGGCATACACCTGTAATCCCAGTGAGTCACTTGGGAGGCTGTGGAGAGAGGATTGCATAAACCCAGGACTTTGAGACTGGACTGGGCAATATAGAAAAAAAAAATCTGCTGAAAATTAACTAATAAGAAGAGCTAGAGAGATGTTAGCCCAAAAGTCACAATATGAAAACTCCAACCCCGCAAAGATTTCTGGAAGAATAAAAATTCAAAGAGAAAATTCAAAGTGCTAAATTATTAAGCAAACACAAATCTAATACAAAAGGACCATAAAATAATTACTATACCCTCAGAATTTATTTCACTCAATAAAGATAATTCATGGTATTGAATTATCATGGGAATTTTATTTTTGTGTCACTCAAACTCACTGCAATTCTTTTGTTTGTTTGTTTTAAATATATTTATTTTTAATTTTATTATTATTATACTTTAAGTTTCAGGGTACATGCGCACAATGTGCAGGTTTGTTACATATGTATACATGTGCCATGTTGGTGTGTTGCACCCATTAACTCGTCATTTAGCATTAGGTATATCTCCCAGTGCTATCCCTCCCCCATCCCCCCAACTCATTGCAATTCTTTTCTTTAACTTCCAATGTCATAAACACTGTCCCAGAACACAATAAAAACCTCAGAGGCATGCTAAATAAAAACACTGTTACAGTATAAACGAGCCCTTCCTTTTCTTTGACCCAGCAAGCCAGCAAGCTAGCAAGCAAACAGATAGTACTTCAGAGGCTATTTCATTCTTGGACACATAAGGCACCTGCACTCTTTTTTTCAAAGACAAGAAAGTTATAGAAGGAAAAAAATGAAAGATTAAAAATGAAAATAAAAAGTAAAGTGAGGCAAAAGTTATACATGAATTCTTTCAGTTTATAATTCCACTAAATCTCTTTTCCCAAATAGAAAACTTATGGGGGAGAAAAATGGAAACCATATTTTGGAAGTAAACAACAACAACAAATAAACCTCACCAAAAGTTTCCCTGCAATATATTCCTCTTTCTCAACCTTCACACTACGTATTTAGTCTTTTGGGGATGATGTTTCCTATTTTCTTAGACAGGTATTTTTCTTGGGAGACACACCACCAATAATATTCTTAAGAGTTTAATTTAAAGTTAGCTTTGACCTTCAATTGCAAGTTCATTGCTGATACATTCAACTAACCACCATCAACTCTTACCCGAGCAGTAGCTCCTAACTGGTTTCCCTGGTCTCCTTATCCCCTTCAATGCATTCACAACAGCCATAGTCATCTCTGAAACACTTAAGTCACTCCATCCAATTCCATGCTTAAAGATCTTCAATGGCTTTTTCCTGCAGTTAGAATGAAATCCCATGTCCTCCTCAATATGGCCACCAAGCTCTGGTATAATTTGGGTCCTACCTACCTCTTGGCCAACTGCTCTTGTGTTCTAGAAAGTCTGGCTTTCTTTTAGAACCTGCCACCCAAGAGCCTCAAGCATGCACTTCCCCTACTCATCACCGTGATTTCTCCTACTCGTCTCTTAGATCTCAGCTTTAAATGTCACTTACTCAGAGAGACCATTCTTGAAACCCTAATCTAAAATAGATTTCCTTGTTACCAAATCTTGAAGTAACTTGTAGTTTCCCTTCATAACATTTATTATAATATATAGTCATATATATTTTTTGTATTTATTATCTGCCCATTAGTGTATTAGCACTATAGATGCAAAGACAACGTCTGTTCTATTAACCATATGTTATGTTAGGACTATTTCAGTGTCAGCACATTAAAGTGTTCAATATTTAATAAATGAATGAATAATTGAATGAATAAAAAGCATTCCTTTCAGTGAATATCTCTGGTCCTCTAGATGTTAAGTTGATGAGATATTATCTATTTTTCTAGAGAAAAGACAAAGCCTCACTTCAAAACAATTTGGAAGCATATGCTGCTCCCTTTTTGGCTTCTCTGGCATCCTCCAAACTGCTATAAGTACTAGTCTGTCTCATATTCATGTCTGGAATTAGATAGTCACCCACTTTTTCACTCCTTTCAATGCCTTTAAAAGTAATTACTCATGAGTCTTTTTAGATTTCCATATAAGCCTTTAATAACTTAACCTTTAGAAATCTAGTTATCTGCTGACATCATGTAACACATTAATGTATTCTATGAATTCTTTTGTCCTCCAAATATAAAAAGCCACATCATGTAAATGGCTATAAAAGAAAATCTAATATAAAATTTTAACTATATATGATCCCTCCCCCAAGATTCCACAAAAATGTAGCACTGTTAGACAATTTGGTGGTATACCATTTACTCTTAAAATGCATACTTAATACAAAAGATAAAAAGCACAAGTGCTAGAGGACAAACTTATGAAAGCAACAAATAATCCACAATGTCAGCATTTATTCTTAATGTTCAATTTTTAATGCACATATGCCAGTTGCTATCACAACACAACTATTTTGACTCTCTCAGAATTACTTTTCTCAAACATCAATTTCACCATGGCATTACCTTGATTTAAACTTTCAGTGGCCTCCTATTTATATAACAATGCATCCCAAATTATGGTATGACAAACCCCTGAGGTACAAAGAGCTGTGTGTAAGAAAAGGGAAAAACAAGGCAAATATGCTATATCTCTTTGGACAAGTTTTACTTAAACATGTGAAAAAAATATTTGTACTAAGACAACTATGGCTCTATTGTGCAGCAAACTGCAAATTTTACATGTATTTTAAATATATGATATGCAACTTCAAAGAAGCTTTGAGATTGGGAGACTACTAGATACATAATACACACTGAATACATGTGTCGAAAAGACATCACAGAAGACTTCACTCATTTATTATATAAACAGTGACTACTATGGCCCAATAGTGGGATTGAACAGTAGTTATTCTCCCAGTTTAGATTAGGTATTACCTGTTCTTACGACCTTATCTCCAACATATCACTACTCTCAGTATAATATTAGGATGCACCACAGGAAACTGCCAATATTCAAAAAATTTTGACTTACAAAAATTTTGGACGGGCACAGTGGCTCATGCCTGTAATCCCAGCACTTTGGGAGGCTGAGGTGGGTGGATCACCTGAAGTCAGGAGTTCGAGACCAGCCTGGCCAACATGGTGAAACCCTGTTTCTACTAAAAATACAAAAATGAGCCAGGCGTGGTGGTGGACACCTGTAATCCCAGCTACTTGGGAGGCTGAGGCAGGAGAATCACTGGAACCCAGGAGGTGGAGATTGCAGTGGGCTGAGATTGCACCATTGCACTCCAGCCTGGGCAACAAGAGCGAAAACTCCTTCTCAAAAACAAACAAAAAAACCCAGCAAATTCCTATGGGTCAACATAATGCAAGAGTCTGTCTATCTTATTTGTATTGAATCACTCCAGCATGCCTCCTTTTGAAAATGTTCATCAGTTCTGTGTCTCCATCATGTACTGTGACTTGCCTAATATAGAGCACAACATATTGGCTGAGGCCAAAATAGAGCCAAAATATTGGCTGAGGGTGCAGCCTCGGGCAAATACCTGAAGTTCTATATTTTGGAAGAAAGAAGATTGGTAATGGAACCCATCTCCTTCAGGCTAAGGCATAGAAGATTCTTGCTAGCCATTTATCACTACTGGTAGAAGCTTGAGATAAAGGCCAGGTGCAGTGGCTCACACCTGTAATCCCAGTACTTTGGGAGGCTGAGGCAGGTAGATCACCTGAGGTCAGGAGCTCACGACCAGCCTGGACAACATGATGAAACCCCATCTCTACTAAAAATATAAAAAATTAGCCAGACGTGGTGGTGGGCGCCTGTAATCCCAGCCACTTGGGAGGCTGAGGCAGGGGAATCGCTTGAACCCAGGAGACAGAGGTTGCAGTGAGCCGAGATTGCACCACTGCACTCCAGCCTGGGCAACAAGAGTGAAACTCCGTCTCAAAAAAAAAAAGAAGCTTGCGATAAAAAAGGAAAAATGGGAAAAGCTAGTCATATTCATGTTCCGAGACCCTAATTAAACAAAGTACTTTTCGTACATCTTACATATAACAAAACAATATAATATACCATTCGTGTAAGTGTAGAATCTTTTAAGCTTCATCATCTATTTTTATCGTTAAAGAAACAGGATTAGCCAAAGTAAGTGTGACTGGCATCAACCATAAAAAAATTGAGTATCGGCCAGGCGCGGTGGCTCACACCTATAATCACAGCACTTTGTGGGTGGGGCGGGTGGATCATAAGGTCAGGAGATGGGGACCATCCTGGCCAACATGGTGAAACCCCATCTCTACTAAAAATACAAAAATTAGCTGGGCATGGTGGCGCATGCCTGTAATCCCAACTACTAGGGAGGCTGTGGCAGAAGAATCGCTTGAACCAGGGATTCAGAGGGTGCAGTGGGCTGAGATGGCGCCATTGCACTCCAGCCTGGACACAGAGCAAGACTCCGTCTCAACAACAACAAAAAAATTGAGTATCAAATCCTACTTTCTCTTTAAATAAAAAAGGTATTTGTGAATTTGATGTTTTAAAACCTTTGATAATTTAGAAAAAGGAGTAATTTTAGATTTTCAAAAGAGACTTACAGTTTAATATTTATAGGATACTACTGATGATCATATACCATTTATCAACTCAGTGCAAGTAAAACTCTGAATAAGCCCCCAAATACTTTGTACTGGGAAATTGCAGATCTACCTTCATTCCCCTATTTGGTAACTGCTAACTCTAAAAAGTTCCATCTTGTTCTTCCCCTAAATCTTCATGAAATAAAATACCTGCCTATTTTTAATTATAATTTATCCTGCTGCAACACTGCTGTGAAACCAATCTGATCCAGATACTATTGCTGAGGAAGTTTAGTTATTAAAATATGCATCTGTTCTCTGTCAACTTGGCTTTGTTGAAAGGCCCACAGTAACACATGACCAAGAAAGCCTTGAGAAAAATCAACACACCAAGGTTTTCATCCCCAAAATAAACACTAAAAACAAAGCAACCACAGAAATATTGCTGGATATTTCCCTTAAGTTTTGTGCTTCTCTGAATTCATTACGTTGAATTATTATCTTTCTTCCCAGAATTTGCCAAAGTAACAAATTCAAAGAAATGAAAAAGTACACCATTTCATGCTTCTATGTATGGCCGTCTTCTTGTTCCTCCAGAGAAAGCATCACACCTTTATCATCTGATAACTCTCATATGGGACAGAAAGTAATACCACATAACTCTTTGCTGCTGATGATTAAAATGATCAAAAAGCACATGTCCTTTAGCCTAAACACATTTCAATGTACAAGTATACACAACTGTTAAATCAGTATTTCCTAGTCATTAGGAAATAAACCTGAGTATATTTGTTAAACTTGTAGATTTCTAGAGCCATATTCTCAAAGAAGCTTGAGTCTAAGATGACCTCTAGAATTTTTATCTTTAATGAGCAATCTCTCCTGCTTCAAGTTATTTTGTTACATTGAGATGTAATTCAAACACCATAAAATTTGTTCTTCAAAAATGTACAGTTCAGTTGGTTTTTAGTATATTTGCAAGGCTGTACAACCATCATCACTACCTAATTCCTGAACATTGCATCATCTCCAAAAGAAAACTTTTTCCTGTAAGCACTCACTCGTCAATCCCTCCTCTCTTCAACTCTAGGAAACTAATCTACTTTCTATCTCTATGGATTTGCCATAGAGGTAGGGGTACAACTTCATTCTTTTATATGGAGAGAGGGGTGTGAAGTAGGGGTGCAACTTCATTCTTTTATAAGTCAATATCCAGTTACCAGCCGGGACCGGTGGCTCAAGCCTGTAATCCTAGTACTCTGGGAGGCTGAGGTGGGCGGATTACTTGAGCTCAGGAGTTTGAGACCAGCCTGGGCAACATGGCAAAACCCTGTCTCTACAAAAAATTAAAAAATTAGCCAGGCCCATAGTGGCATGCACCTGTAGTCCCAGCCACTCAGGAAGCTGAGGTGGGAGGAGTGCTTGAGCTCTGGAGGCAGAGGTAGGCAGAGGTTGCAGTGAGCTGAGATCGTGCCACTGCACTCCAGCCTGGGCAACAGAGCCAGACCCTGTCTCAAAAAAAAAAAAACCAACTATCTGTCTGTCTATCTATCTATCTATCTATCTATCTATCTATCTATCTATCTACATCTAGCTAGCTAGCTATCTCCAGTTACCTCAGCAACATTTGTTGAAAAGGCCATTCATTCCTTACTAAATTGTCTTGGCATCCTTGTTGAAAATCAAATGCCCACAAATACGTGAGTGTATTTCCATTCTGTTAATCTATAGATTTACACCTATGCCATTACCATGCAGTTTTGATTACTATAGCTTTGTAGTAAGTTTTGAAATAGTCCCTCTCCCACCCCTCCCAAATTATTCTAGTGAAAGTTGCTATGAACTACACTTTGAGAAATACTGTCTTATGCTTCTAGGCATAATTATACTTACTCTTTTATCAATATATATTATAGCCATCATAAATACAAGTCTTGCAATATGGGCTTCTAAAGTACATATATATTAATTTATTATGATTTGGAGTCACTCCTACCACCTCCAAAAATCCCAACCAAATAATATTTCATCTTGCTATCTAAATCAGAGGTCACAAACTGCAGCCTTTGGCTGAATTTGGACTGATGATACACTCTATTTGGCCTCAGCTTTTTATAAAAATTGAATTTGAGTTCCTTTACGTGAATATGTACTCTGCAGTTCATCCCAGTCCTCAATACTCCATCTTGTCTTATACCTAGCACATTTCACTCATTTTTGTGCATTTGAGTTGGCCATATCTGACCTAAATAAATCTTTAAGTAGCCCCATTAAGGAAAAGTAGAAAAAGTGTAACCAACAACCAATTTTTTCAAGGGTTTTATCCAAATGCTAGATTAAATTAAAGGATCTTTTCTTGAACTTAGAGAGATTTAATAGATGCTTGTTGACTGATTGGTTCTACACTTGAAAGGTTGTGAAACTCTACTGGGTTCAAAGTACTATTTGATATCGAGTCTATTATAGATTTGAAGGTTGAAGATAGGAAGACAGTTAATATATTACGTAACATGTAATTCAGGTTTATCAGTACTTTTCAAATAAAATCCAATTTTATCTTTAATTATTAAAGATATCTTTTAAAGTGGCTAATAATTCTTGGAGAAAAATAGATAAAAAATCTTAATTCTGGCACAATTTTAAAAATTCATTTTTAATACTGGTATAAAGAAGGCCTCAGAAAACCTACCATACTATAGGCCGGGTGCGGTGGCTCACGCCTGTAATCCCAGCACTTTGGGAAGCTGAGGCGGGAGGATAACCTGAGGTTAGAAGTTTGAGACCAGCCTGACCAACATGGAGAAACCCCATCTCTACTAAAAATACAGAAATATCCAGGCATAGTAGCACATGCCTGTAATCCCAGCTACTCGGGAGGCTGAGGAAGGAGAATAGCTTGAAGCTGGGAAGCAGAGGTTGTGGTGAGCCGAGATGGCACCATTGCACTCCAGCCTGGGCAACAAGAGCGAAACTCTGTCTCAAAAAAAAAAAAAAAAAAAGGAAAAGAAAAGAAAACCTACCACACTATAAAGGAGTTCCCCCATCTGAGGGAACACTGGTACTTCAGTCCACCATTCTGGCTGTGGCTGTAGTTTCATCCTGAATTTCTCTCCTCTCCTTCCCATGGAGGGTTTCATGTAAACTGCTTTGGGTCTCCACCATCCTTACACTCAGCCTGATACAGCTGGAGGAACGTTTTATTGCCATTAAAATAGTACACGATGACAAATGATGCCAAGGGCCTCAAAAATAAATGGGCTTATTAAACATTAAGAATTGGGTAATATCCAACTGAGACATCAGACGAGCCAGGACAGGATTTTTCTTCCTCTATCATCCTTTCTTGGGGCACAGCACATCCCTTCTTTTCCTTTTGAGCTTGTGCACTTATTGACCCAGGATAATAGAAGGGGGTCTTTTATAATACAACTCTAAGCAGAGAAGTGAGGTAGAGATTCTTAGGAACAAAGTTATGCCAACAGATGAGCATTCTGGCAGAGGAGAATGTCTGTTTGGCTTATATACGGTAGATCCTGAGGGACTAGTGCTAAGTGGTTTTCTTTCCCTTTCTTCTTCAACCTGATTGGATCTCAAAAATTTTCCCAGGTGAAATTAGGTGAGATTGAATAACCAAAACTCAAACCAAAAACCTAAAAGGAAGGAAGACCACAGGGCAAAAGAATAAAATAAGAAGACAACAGAAGAATGAAAGAAGAAGACAACAGAGTCTGGAGGAATAAGTAAGGAGAAAGAAAGCTTCACAGAGGTTTCCTGAGGTACTGAGAAAGGTGGCTAAGAAGACTCAGGTGTTACTGTTGAGGAGCAACTGGGACAGGAAGCAGCAGACAGAGGAAGCCCACCCCATCTGCCTCCCTACCCAAGATTAGTTCCGTGTGAACTATAACAGTTTGAAGTTTGGAGAAAAGAATTACTTGATATGTTCTTCAAGATTCACTGGTATAATCAACTAACGTACTTCCTTTTTCTTTTAGTATTGGACTGTTACCATGCTCTTCTGATAGTAAGAAAAAGACTCTCATAGAACCAGCAGTACTTGTAAAGTTATCATGCGGTTCACCACCAGACAAACAGAAAGCAACTATACTGATTTTGGAAAAAAATGTAAGGTCTAAGACAAGAATTAGATAATACATCTAGATTGGTGAATAGGCAAAGTAATACCTGGCATCTAAAGGTGACCTGTTTTTTGTAAAAATTTTGCATGTTTTAAGGTTGACTCATATTAGCTTCAACCTTAGTCACTTATTTTAAGCTGTTTTTCAGGCTGAAAGCTTATACATTATTAGATAAAATGTGCTTTGATTCTATTTAACGGGAACAAAAAAGGGCACTTAAACGAGAGGTTTAATCAGTACTATTGGATATTTATCTTTCATTCTTTTACAGTCATACATTTGTTTGTTTTTGAGACAGGAATCTCGTTCTGTTGCCCAGGCTGGAGTACAGTGGCGCTATCATAGCTCACTGTAGCCTCAAACTCCTGGGCTCAAGCGATCCTCTGCCTCAGCCTCCTGAGTAACTGGGAGTACAGTTGTGCCCAGCATGCCTACCTAAATTTTTTAACTTTTGATAGACACAGGGTCTCGCCACGTTGATCAGGCTGGTCTCAGCCTCCTGATTTCAAATGATCATCCCACCTCAGCCTCCCAAAATGCTGGAATTACAGGCCTGAGCCACTGCACCTGGCCTAAAATTCATATGTTAATATTAACGAGGGATCTTTTATGTATATTTGCAAGGTAACAGAGATGATAAACACTAAGAATGCACTAATTCTTCTCTGTATTAAGGATTCTTATGGATAAAATGGATTCTTGCCTGCCAATGAGCATAACCAAGAATCTTTAGAGTCTACAAAGTAGGGTGTACCTACTTCATTGGGATGTTAGGAGAACAACTACACGAAGTAAGTAAGTAAACAAACTACCAGGTGCTTTAAGTGCCTTAAGAAATAATTACCAGACATGATGTGGTCCAAGCTGAAATCCAATAGGTCAATGAGCCAGAGGACCAGCAGGAAATTGTTTTATTCAATTATGAAAAATTTTCTGGCATATTCCTAAGAAGAGCAAAATGGGCTATACTACTAGGATGAGGACAAGAAGCAAAATGTCAAGTGGACTTCTAAAAAATAACAGCTTTCATACCAAAGGTATCGAAAGAAAAAAATAAAAAATAAGAGCCTCTGAAAGTCCCGGTGAGACAACCCAAAAAGTAGGAGACCAGAAGGTCCTATTATGCCTCTTTTTTAACAAATGCAAACAACAGTTCTAGTACTGGTAGCTAAATATTGTATGTTTAGATATGGTTAAGAAGCCCTGGATAAATAAGAAAAAGGTTAAACTACTCTTTGGTTAAAAATGCCAAACAGCTGGGTACAGTGGCGCATACCTGCAGTCCCAGCTACTTGGGAGACTGAGGTAGGAGGCTCACCTGAGCCCAGGATTTCAAGGCTGTAGTGCGCCACTATGATGATAATGTCTGTGAATAGCCACTGCACTCTACTCTCGGCAACACAACAAGACCCTGTCTCTAAAAATACTACTACTACTAAATGCCAAACAATGGATGCAGATAATTAAGTTCAGTTGCCCTCCCTATCGGTGGATTCTGCATATGTGGATTCAAACAACAGATGGAAAACTGCAGATGGAAAAATCTTTAAAATAAAAATAATAACAATAAAAATAACGTAAACTTAAAAACAAATAACAACTATTCACATACCATTTACAATGTATTATGTATTATAAGTTATCTAGAGATGATGTAAAGCATATGGAAGGATGTGTTAGGTTATATGCAAATATTATGCCATTTTATACAGGGAACTTGAGCATCCTCAGATTTTGGTATCTGTGGGGGATGAGGGGAACTTTAAACCCTGTGGATACCAATGGAAAACTGTGCCTGAAAAGTGCAGCTGGAAAAGAATACCAGGAGCATCAGGTGAAGGAATTTAACATGGAGAAGTCTTGCCAGACCATAGGAGGACCTGGGATATGAGATCAACAGAGTCAAGTCTTGGACTGAAAGACCCAAAATGATATTGGGAATTGATTACTATTTCTGTCTTAAAATGAGAGTAGGTAATGAGGATTTCTTAAAAGAGACAAAGACCATCTGTTATTTACTAAGGGACATGAAGGACAAGGATAATCACAGCGTCTGCCCATGTGAATTGAAAAAAGTTGAAAAACCTATTTCTAAATTGGGCAACTGTATGAGGGGTGTGAAGGGCTGCAGTCTGTTTGGAGAAGGTAAGAATAGTGTGACAAGGTATGTAAATCTTTTAGTACAGTGTGTGGCCCAGAAATACTCTCCAGTAAAGCCTGCCAGTATTCTGTCCTCAAATATTTGAGACTTAAACAGTAAGTCTGAAAGTTTATCAGCTAAAATTGGATATTTATGAAACAAGGTGGTAAAGGGAAATAACTACTCTTCAATGAAAGGTCTCATTTTTAATCCACTTCCACTGATACTGCATGAGTTCCTTCTCTTTTGTACAATATAGATAATTTATAAATTGAAAGAATGTTGTTACTAATAATTACAATGGAGGTCTTTCAACACTTATTACTTAGAAGATGCTTTCCCAATACAGTTTCTAGACAATGGGAAGCATTCAAATATTTCATATACTTTTGCCAATAATCATTAAAATTATTTATATGGGTCAAAATTGCACACTGCTTTTACTTATAACCTCACCTGCAAATGTATACTATGAAAATGATTTGGATCCAGCTACCACTTCAACCCTGAGGACCAAATTATAATTTTAAAGATTACGCCCTATATTAAAACTATGCTATGCTCCACTCTAATTAAATTCCTATGCCAAGCTAATATATAGCTTGTCTTGAGATGCATCAGAATTTTACTTAATATTACATTTATCAAATGTCTACTTTCAATGCAGTCAACATTAAGAATTTTAGTCTTAAATTACACACACACTAGAAATACTTAGAGATCTTTTAGGCCCTGTAAAAAAAACAAAGCTACAAAGAGGTAGGTCAGGAAAGAGGGGAGAAAATCTGATTCATAGAGATTGATAGAGAATAATACAGACGAGTGTCTAGGTTAACTTTGGTGCCTGTCCTTCCTGAAGTCTACTTGCTCAACTTCTCCTGGATTTCCTCTATCTTTACAATAAACCCCCACTGTACTGGAGCTACTATGTCTAGGTTTCTGTTTCTTAAAATATCTAAACTAAAACAACTTATTTTTTCCTCTTAAAACTCAAGAGCAAAGTTATTTTTCAGCCTGTAGAATTTAAATGAAGATGATAAAAATAATTATGTCCGTTACTTCTTCATTCCTATTTTCCTTCAACAGATACTTTGAGTATGTCTACCATATGTAAAGTTAGATACTAGGTATTCAGCTGCACACAAAAAAGACATAGCTCTTCCTTTCAGAAATTTATAATCTGGTGGGGGAAATAGGCATTTTAAAAGCAATACAAAGTAAGTCAATAAATAAAACACCAACCACAGGGTGCTAAGAGAGAAAGGAAAAGGATGTATCCATTTAAGAATGGGTGATCAGGGAAAATTTCTTAGAGGAAGTAGCTAGCAAGGTAGAGTGAGTAGTTCATTCCAAGCACAAAGAGGAAAAAATGTTTTTCTTTTTTTTTTTAAATTAACATCCCTGCTGTCCTAAAAAATATACAAATGTTTTCAATGTTCCAGAAACTAAAAGAAGACCAGTGTTCCACTACAAAGAGCAGGAAAAAGGCTGACCTTTGGATACCACTGGGGAGGAAGGAAGGGAATAACTGCAGGCCAAATGAAACAATGTGAGTTTTATTTAGTGGGAAACCACAGAAGGGTTTTCAGTAGAGGAGTGTAATCGGTTATGTGTTTTACAAAATCCTCTCTGGATGCTATGGAGAATAATGGGAAAAAAATGACAGGAAGACAAGTGGGAAGAACAGATAGGAAGTTACTGAATAGGAGATAATGCTGACTTGGAGAAAGAATAAAGGTTCAAGACCTATTTTGGAGGTAGACTTGATAAACTAGTGAGTGTGTGTTAGTCTGGTTCATGCTTTGCTATAAAGGAACACCTGAAGCTGGGTAATTTATAAACAAAAGAGGTTTTATTTTGGCTTACAGTTCTTCAGGCTGTACACAAAGCATAGTGCCAGCATCTGCTGCTGGTGAGGGCCTCAGGAAGCTTACTATCACAGTGGAAGGACAAGGGCGAGCCAGCACATCATACAGTGAGAGAGTAAACGAGAGCAGGGTTTGAGGGAAAGGTGCCACAGTCTTCTAAACAACCATATCTCCCATGAACTCAGAATAAGAACTCACTCATTGCCAAGGGGATGGTGCTAAACCATTCATGAAAGATCTGCCCCCATCATCCAATACCTCCCACAAGGCCTCACCTCCAGCAATGGAGATTACACTTCAACATGAGATCTGGAAGGGACAAATATCAAAACCATATCAGACTGCAATAATATTTTTCAAATATTCTCAATTATAAATTGTCCAGAGATACATACATATGTAGTAAAAAAAACAGACATGCATGGGAATGATTAACACTAAATTCTTCATAATGGTTCTCCTGAGGAAGACCAAAGAAGATGTAGTCAGGAAGAGGTATATATAAAGCTTCTAATCTCATTGACATTGTTTTACTTCTAGAAGTGAGATACATAGCACTTCAATGTATGTCTTAATGATATAGTATGGGGGCAAGGAAGTGCTGGGAGCAGAAGGGTGGGGCTCCTGGTGAGGGCTCCACCTCTGGGCCTGTGCCATTGGACCTAAATCAGGAGAGGCATTTCTGTTTTCGTCCCCAAATATTGCATTTCCCAAGACCACCCTGGTCCGCCATGCCCCCATCTTGTGTCTATAAAATCCCCAAGACCCTGGGGGCACAGACACAAGCGGCTGGACGTTGGGAGGAACACACACCAGCAGAAGAGCACACCAGCAAGCACTGGCAGACACCAGCAGGCCACTGACTGATGGAATGACGCAAAGTTTGGCTGGGGAGGTTGGAGGAGTAAGTAAGTAAGTCAATAAATAAACACCAACCACGGGGTGCTAAGAGAGAAAGGAAAAGGATATATCCATTTAAGAACGGGTGATCAGGGAAAACTTCTTAGAGAAAGTAGCTACTGCTGGGCAGCCTGACTGCAGGGGAAAACCACTGTGTCCGGAATTGGTGGGTTCTTGGTCTCGCTGACTTCAAGAATGAAGCCGCAGACTCTCACAGTGAGTGTTACAGTTCTTAAAGATGGTGTGTCCACAGTTTGCTCCTTCAGATGTTCAGATGTGTCTGGAGTTTCTTCCTTATGGTGGGTTCGTGGTCTCGCTGGCTTCAGAAGTGAAGCTGCAGACCTTCGCGGTGAGTGTTACAGTTCTTAAAGGTGGCGCGTCTGGAGTTGTTCGTCCCTCCCAGTGGGTTCGTGGTCTCACTAGCTTCAGGAGTGAAGCTGCAGACCTTCGCAGTGAGTCTTACAGCTCATAAAGGCAGTGCGGACCCAAAGACTGAGCAGCAACAAAATTTACTGCAAAGAGCAAAAGAACAAAGCTTCCACAGTCCGGAAGGTGACTGCTCGGGCAGCCTGCTTTTATTCTCTTATCTGGCCCCACCCACATCCTGCTGATTGGTCTGTTTTACAGAGAGCTGATTGGTCCGTTTTACAGACAGCTGATTGGTCCATTTTACAGAGAGCCGATTGGTCCGTTTTGACAGGGTGCTGACTGGCGTGTTTACAAACCTTGAGCTAGACACAAAGTGCTGACTGGTGCATATACAATCCTTTAGCTAGACACAAAAGTTCTCCAAGTCCCCACTAGATTATCTAGACACAGAGCACTGATTGGTGTGTTTACAAACCTTGAGCTAGACACAGTGCTGACTGGTGCATTTACAATCCTCTAGCTAAACATAAAAGTTCTCCAAGTTCCCACCCGACTCAGAAGCTCAGCTGGCTTCGCCTAGTGGATCCTGTGCCAGGGCCATGGGTGGAGGTACCCACCAGTCCCATGCCATGTGCCCACACTCCTCAGCCCTTGGGCGGTTGGTGTGACCAGGCCCCCGGAGTAGGGGGCAGTGCCAGTCAGGGAGGCTCGGGCGTGCGGGAGCCCGTGGAGGGCAGGAGTGCCAGGGGGCACTCGGGCACGGCAGGCTGCAGGTCCCGAACCCTGCCCTATGGGGAGGCAGCTAAGGCCTGGCGAGAATTCGAGCGTGGTGCGGGTGGGCCAGCAGTGCTGGGGGACTGGTGCACCCTCCACAGCTGCTGGCCCGGGTGCGAAGCACCTCACTGCCCAGGGCCAGCAGCGCAGGCCAGCCGCTCCGAGTGCGGGGTCCGCCAAGCCCGCGCCCACCTGGAACTCGTTCTGGCCCGCAAGCACTGTGCGCAGCCTCGGTTCCCACCCACGCCTCTCCCTCTGAGAGGTGACAGCGTGCCGGCAGCCCTCACTCACTCTCAGTGCCTCCTCTGCCTGGGCTCCCACTTTGGCGGCACTTGAGGAGCCCTTCAGCCCACCGCTGCACTGTGGGAGCCCCTTCCTGGGCTGGCCAAGGCTGGAGCTGGCTCCCTCAGCTTGCAGGGAGGTGTGGAGGGAGAGGCGCAGGTGGGAACCGGGGCTGTACATGGCACTTGCGGGCCAGCGTGAGTTCCGGGTGGGCGTGGGCTCGGCAGGCCCCGCACTCACAGCGGCCAGCTGGCCCTGCCGGCCCCAGACAGTGAGGGGCTTAGCACTGCTAAGCTGTGTTTGGGCCAGCAGCTGCTGTGCTCGACTTCTCGCCGGGCTTTAGCTGCCTCCCTGTGGGGCAGGGCTTGGGACCTGCAGCCCGCCATGCCTGAGCCTCCCCGCCACCGTGGGCTCCTGCGCAGCCTGAGCCTCCCCGATGAGCACCGCCCCCTGCTCCACAGCACACCAATGGGTCTTGACTCTTTATCCAATTTGCCAGTCTGTCTTTTAATTGGGGTATTTAGCCTATTTACATTTAAGGTTAATTTTGTTATGTGTGAATTTGATACTGTCATATGATGCTAGCTGGTTATTTTGTCCATTAGTTGATGCAGTATCTTCATAGTGTTGATGGTCTTTACAATTTGTTTTGTTTTTGCAGTGGCTGGTACTGGTCTTTCCATATTTAGTGCTTCCTTCAAGAGCTCTTGTAAGGCAGGCCTGGTGGTGACAAAATCCCTCAGCATTTGCTTGTCTGTAAAGGATTTTATTTCTCCTTCACTTATGAAGCTTAGTTTGGCTGGATATGAAATTCTGGTTGAAAATTATTTTCTTTAAGAATGTTAAAAATTGGCCCCCACTCTCTTCTAGCTTGCAGGGTTTCTGCAGAGAGATCCACTGTTAGTCTGATGGGCTTCCCTTTGTGAGTAACCCGACCTTTCTCTCTGGCTTCCCTTAACATTTTTTCCTTCATTTCAACATTGGTGAATCTGATGATTATCTGTCTTGTGGTTGTTCTTTGTGGGGTTCCACAAAGGAATAGTATCTCTGTGGTGTTCTCTGTATTTCCTGAATTTGAATATTGGCCTGTCTTGCTAGGTTGGAGAAGTTCTCCTGGATAATATCCTGAAGTGTGTTTTCCAACTTGGTTCCATTCTCCCCATCACTTTCAGGTACACCAGTCAAACGTAGGTTTGGTCTTTTCCCAGTCCCATATTTCTTGGAGGCTTTGTTTCTTCCTTTTCATTCTTTGTTCTCTAATCTTGTCTTCCTGTTTTATTTCATTAAGTTGATCTTCAATCGCTGATATCCTTTCTTCCACTTGATCAATTTGGCTATTGATACTTGTGTATGCTTCACGAAGTTCTCGTGCTGTGTTTTTCAGCTCCATCAGGTCATTTATGTTCTTCTCTAAACTAGTTATTCTAGTTAGCAGTTTCTGTAACCTTTTATCAAGGTTTTTGGCTCCCTTGCACTGTGTCTTTAGCTCAGAGGAGTTTGTTATTACCAATCTTCTGAAGCCTACTTATGTCAATTCGACAAACTCATTCTCCATCCAGTTCTATTCTCTTGCTGGCAAGGAGCTGTGATCCTTTGGAGAAGAGGCATTCTGGTTTTTGGAATTTTCAGCCTTTTTGCGCTGGCTTTTCCTCATCTTCATGGATTTATCTATCTTTGGTCTTTGATGTTGGTGACCTTCAGATGGGATTTTTGCATGGGTGTCCTTTTTGTTGATGTTGATACTATTGCTTTCTGTTTGCTAGTTTTCCTTCTAATAGTCAGGGCCCTTTTTGCAGGTCTGCTGGAGTTTGCTGGAGGTCCACTGCAGAACCTGTTTGCCTGGGTATATCACCAGCAGAGGCTTCAAAACAGCAAAGATCGCTGTCTGTTCCTTCCTCTGGAAGCTTCATCAGAGAGGGGCACCTGCCAGATGCCAGCCAGAGCTCTTCTGTATGAGTTATCTGTCAACCCCTCTTCAGAGGTGTCTCCCAGTCAGGTGGCATAGGTATCAGGGATCCACTTGAGGAGGCTGTCTGTCCCTTAGCAGAGCTCGAGCACTGTACTGGGAGATCCACTGTTCTCTTCAGAGCTGGCAGGCTGGAATGTTTAAGTCTGCTGAAGCTGCGCCCACAGCCACCCCTTCCCCCAGGTGCTCTGTCCCAGGGAGATGGGAGTTTTATCTATAAGCCTCTGACTGGGGCTGCTGCCTTTCTTTCAGAGATGCCCTGCCCAGAGAGCATGAATCTAGAGAGGTGCTATGGCTACAGCAGCTTTGCTGCACTGCGGTGGGTTCCACAACTAGTTCGAATTTCCTGGAGGCTTTGTTTACACTGTGAGGGGAAAACTGCGTACTCAAGCCTCAGTAATGGCAGCACCTCTCCCCACACCAAGCTCAAGCATCCCAGCTTGACTTCAGAATGCTGTGCTGGCAGTGAGAATTTCAAGCCAGTGAATCTTAGCTTGTTGGATGCCATGGGGGTAGGTTCTGCTGAGACAGACCACTCAACTCCCTGGCTTCAGCCCCCTTTCCAGGGGAGTGAACAGTTCTGTCTCACTGGCATTCCAGGCACCACTGGGGTAAAAACAAAACAAAACAAAACAAAACAAACAAACAAAAACTCCTGCAGCTAGCTTGGTGTCTGCCCAAACGACTGCCCAGTTTTATGCTTGAAACTCAGGGCCCTGGTGGTGCAGGCACCCGAGGGAATCTCCTGGTCTGTAGGTTGCGAAGACCATGGGAAAAGTGTAGTATCTGGGCTGGATAGCACTGTCCCTCATGGCAGAGTACTTTACAGCTTCCCTCAGCTAGGGGAGGGAGTTCCTTGACCCCTTGTGCTTCCCAGGTGAGGTGATGCCCCACCCTGCTTCTGTTAATCCTTCATGGGCTGCACCCACTGTCTAACCAGTCCCAGTGAGATGAACCGGGTACCTCAGTTGAAAATGCAGAAATCACCCACCCTCTGCATTGGTCTCATTGGGAGCTGCAGACCAGAGCTCTTCCTATTTGGCCATCTTGCCAGCTCCCCTATGTCAGAGTCTTAATCTTGCTTGTATTAAGCTCATTCTGATGAGTTTTTTGTGGGGGAGAATGGGGATAAGGAGGGAGAATATTGTGTAATAAATAATGAATCTACTCTTCAGATAACAACTTCTGAAAACTGCTTTGAGAGAATTATACCTGGTGATATTTAATCAAATAATGTAGTACTGTCATTTTTTCAACATCCTGAGAAGAGAAGAGAAGCAGAAGATACATTCTAATTTGAAGGGTCAACGATTTCCTTAAATTTCATGAAAATACCAAGTTACTATATAAAGCTGAACATATTTGGTACTCTAAAAATTGAACTATCTGGGAAGAGTCAACTTCAAACACCGGCTGTCAGTTATTCTGTGAAGACTAAAAGAAATACCAGTATTTTCCTTATGTCTTCTGAAAGAATGTGGAGGAGAAGCAAAAAACACTTTTAGAGCAGTATTTGAATCACTACTGAAAAAGGAAATAGAATTAAGCTTCCATTAAGGTCACTCACTTAAAATTTTGCTTTTACCAAAGAAGCATCTCAACCACTGGGTGATGGAGGGGAAGGTGATTAGAAACCTAGATAATTGAAGAAATTAAGAAGCAACTAAATGGGCTATACAGATGGATGGAGCAGACTGCAGGGCAATGTTATTATTAATTGAATACTGTATAGTAGGCAGAGTACTTAAGTACTTGATATCATAATCTCATCTAATTCTTACACTAAACCTGAGAGACAGGTATTGTTAGTCTCATTACACAAACAAAGAAAATGAGATTTACATAGGTCAAGTAACTTGAACAAGGCTGTCTAGGAAAGGTTGACTAAAAAGTCCAATATCCTAACTCAAATGTCATACCGTCTCTACATTGCTCTTTGTAAGACTGAAAATACTTTGCTGGATTTTCCCCATCATAGTAACTTCTCTCATAAAAGCACTAAAGGGACTCTGCTTTTAGGTCCAGTTCTTAGCTTTCAATCTGCCTGTATGCAACTTCAGAGATCAGGTCAATCATTCCAATCACCAAATGAGTTTCATTTTGTTGCGTATTCATGGACTCTTATCTGACCCATTATCTGCGACCTAAAAACAAAACAAAACAAAACAAAACAAAACAAAACAGAACAAAACCTTGCCCTTGATCACAAGAAAGATCTTTATTGAATAAAAACAACTCAAAGTTAATGCTCATGCTACCTTGGAAGGCTGTTTGGCAGTATCCATTAAAGCTGAATGTATGTGCATCCTAACACAACAATTCTACTCCTTGATGTGTACTCACAGAAGTGCATAGGTACGTTAACTAAAAGACAAGTTCAAGAAAGTTCAAAAGATTCACACGGAGCACTATTCATAATGGCCTTCTGGAAACTAGAAACAACTCAAATAACCGTCAACAATAGAATGGGAGAATGGAAAACTAAACTATGCCTAAATGCAATGATACGGATGAATCTCACAAACATAATGATGACTAAAAAAAGTTAGACAGAAAAGAGTTCGTATTGTATGATTCCACATACATAAAGTTCCAAAACAAGCAAAGCTAAACTATGGCATTAAAAGTCAGGAAAGTGATTACTTTTCAGAGTGTAGTTACTGGAAAAGGGCAGTGAAGGGGAAGAGGGTTTCTGAAATGCAGATAATGTTCCTTTTTGTTCTTTTTTAAATCTGGGTGCTGGTTACTTCGTTATGTCCATTTTTTGAAAAATCATTAAGTTCTACATTAATATTTGCAAATTTTCTTTTATCTGTTATTATACTTCAATAAAAAGTTATTTTAAAGACTGCAATGTTTTATTATCGATAGGTTAATAGCATAATATTTACACTATAAATGTTAATACATTTAGACTTGCTAAACAGATAAAGGCAGATAATAAGATATAGGTTTGTTTTTTTAAAAATGATTTTCATTTCAGTTACTGACTAAAAGACAATCAAAACAGATTTTCACTCATCTTAACATAAGAAAATGTATTTTTAAACTCCAGTTTCAAATCCCATTGCTATCCATCATTCTGGAATTAACTAACCCATGTTATCATATATTCAGATTTAAGCAAATACTTTAAATAAAACTATTAATAATTAGCAGTTGTTCAGTCAGGCTGCATTGTCAAGGTCTATAAAATTCTTCTCTTTTCTGCTAAATTAACTTTATTGGCTTAACCTCAGAATGAATGAAGAAATCTTTAAAATAATATAGCTTAGGAAAGCATGTCATGATACGTCTTCTAAGCATAAAGTTTCAAACTCAGTGTCTTTCTTTTTCACTTTGCAATGGGATCTTTGAGTAAACATGTTGCACATGTTAAAAATCAGAATGTAAAACTTTGAAAAGTCAATACTTTTCTACCTGAGAGCTTCCTATCCTTCCATTTTTAAGTAAACATTGAGTCGTAACCTCAAAATTTAAATTGTTTTCTTAAAAACAGAGAATATGACAAAAACAAATACCTATGGATAATCTATTTAAGACTGTGTTTACCAATTCTTAGAATATGTCATCACATATGAAATAATAGCTTTTGATATAAATATTTTATTAACTACAAGAAGGAAAGGGGCAAAAAGAAAACACAGACATGCAGGAAGTAAAAGTTTATTCAAAAATTTCCTTTGTAAAATAATTCTTGACAAAGATGAGTTAGTGGAAAGAATAAATATCCTGAGGCACACTACAATATTGTTTCCAATAGATTATTCTGAAAAGCAATTTTAATGGTAAAGGATGTTACCATTTACTTCCCCGAACATCATGATGCTATGATTACAATCTATGTTTTGAAAAGTTTTCCAACTTCCTTAAACAGCTATAGAGTACAGGTTTAAGGGGAGGAAAGGTAATATCTATGATGTTCTTATTAATATTAATGAACATTATGACCTTTCAAACACTGATTGTAAGTCACAGTTGACAAGTGACGGGAAGGCTAATAAATTTATTTATCTTTTCTGTAGCACAAATGTTGCTAGTTTTCTTAACTGACATTAGAAATTCATGTATCTTCAAGATAAAATTTGAATCTAGGTTCCAGAAAACCCATGGACAATGTTCCGATGCCACGGGTGCCAACATTCGGGCAGACACTTTAGAAAGTCACCATCCCAGTGAACTGAAGGGCAGAGATACCACTCTAGGAAAAGTGATTGAGAAATCACATTTAGTTGGTTATGATTAAGCACATTAATTTTATTCCCTTTTCTACAATGAACACTATAGAACCAATCTAGTATGAAATTAATCTCTTTCTGCAAAAATTGTGAAGCAATAACAAATATTTGCAAGCTCATACTATATATAACTCAAAAACTGTTAAAATGTCATACCCCCACTTTCCTATTTTTATGAAATACCATGAAATACTAAACTCAGCTCAGTATATAAAAGTCTATGAATATTTATCAAAACTTTTAGCATTCACTTATTTTAATATTCTAGAACTTGAAGATGTGAATTTGGTTTATACTTTCAAAGAGTATTGCCCTATAAAATAGCGGAGTTGGAACTGTTCACTACACCAATTTGGATAATCAGGTAGAGTTTTTGGTACAAATAACCACATATGCTTTGTGAATATTGTGATTACAACATGGTGACTTTGAATAAAGTTTTAGCTCCTAATTCTGAATTCTTCCTTTAAGATACATTTAGAAAGGCATTTTACAAACTAATTTGTAAGTAAAACAAGTCGGAGAATTAACATATTATAAATCAGATTCTCTAGCTGTTATATTCAGGATTTGGAAACCTATTCTGCAAGCCTGGCAAGTCACTGAACCCTTCTTTATCAAAGTACAGTACAAATGATTAAAACTCTTACATGCTTACAAATGCCCTGTGACCTTCAGGTATTAGGCAAGTACTAACTAAAGCCACTGAAGAGCAAAAGACCAGCCTTGCCTGCATATATAATTGTTACTGTTTTAGTAGGCTGAGAAATAACATTTTTATGCTTTATATAGTTTACACATTGCATCTTTTAAATCTTATTTTTACATTTAAACTTCTAATTCCTAGTGTGATTAAAATCATTAGACTTTCCTTTTAAGAAAGAGGAATCTGGCTGGAAGCAGTGGCTCATGCCTCTAATCCCAGCACTTTGGGAGACCGAGTTTGAGACCAGCCTGGCCAGCATGGTGAAACCCCATCTCTACTAAAAATACAAAAAATTAGCTGGGCATGGTGTTGTGTGTCTGTAGTTCCAGCTACCTGGGAGGCCGAGGCAGGAGAATTGCTTGAACCCGGCAGGTGGAGGTTGCAGTGAGCTGAGATCATGCCACTGCACTCCAGCCTAGGTGACAGAGTGAGACTACATCTCAAAAAGAGAAAGAAAAGAGAATAGAAAAGGAAACGAAAAGAAAGAGAAATCTTTAAACAACTCAATGACAACAGAAAAACCAACTAGCCCCATTAAAAAGCGGGCAAAGGACATAAACAGACATTTTTCAAAAGAAGATATACAAATGGCCAATGAGCATATGAAAAAATGTTCAACATTACTAATTATCAAAGAAATGCAAATTAAAATCATAACATGATATTATCTTATGACAGTCAGAATGGCTATTATTAAAAAGTCAAAAAATAACAGATGTTAGTGAGGATGTAGAGAAAAGAGTCCACACTGCTGGTGAGAATGTAAATTAGTATAACCTCTATGGAAAACAGTATGGAAATTTCTCAAAGAATTAAAAATAGAACTACCATTCAATCCAGCAATCCCACTATTGGGTACCTATCCAAAGGAAAAGAAATCAGTGTATAAAAAAAGATTCGTGCACTTATATGCTTATCGCAGCACTATTTATAATAGCAAAGATGCAAAATCAGCGTTAAGTGTCCATCAGTGGATGACTGGATAAAGAAAATGTGGTATGTACATACAATGTAGCATTATTCAGCCAAAAAAAAGAGTAAAATCATGTCATTAGCAGCAACATGGATGGAACTGGAGGCCATTATGTTAAGTAAAACAACTCAGAAAGTCAAATACTGCCAAATAATGTGTATACATGGACACAGAATTTGTAATAATAGACATTGGAGACTCACATGGGACAGTGAGAGGGGGGTAGGGGATAAGAAATTATTCAACAGGTACAATGTGCATTATTCAAGTGATGGTTACACTAAAAGCCCAGACTTAACCACTACACAATATATCCACGTAGCAAAACATCACTTGTACCCCTTAAATTTATACAAAAAAAATTTTTTTTAAAGGATGTTTACCTTAAGAAGCATAGTAATACAAAACTGTCTAGATTATATATTAAGCTTATAATCACATAGATAAGCTTATACTTTTGATTAGTCCTGCTTTTTAAGATAGCTATATTTTATATACATTTATACTGCCATTGAAAATATACACTTCTTATCTAGCAAATTCCCTATTACTGCTAAGATAGTCAAACATTTTGATGACCAATATAAGCCATATATATGCATAATACTGTTTATTTCTTTAAAAGAGTAAATAAATATAGCCATCTAAGGAACTAAAAACAATAAAATACACAAATATAAACACCTAAGAAATTTTACAAACTAATTTTTGAAATATTCTACTATATAAAAATATAATTATATGACATAATAGCTTTAGTTTATCATTTGTCTCATCATTTCGCAGCAGTCCCAAACATGATAAACAGAAAGATATCTGATGAACTGAGAAATTAGTTATTATAAAAATCTCATTTATATTCACTCTTGCAGTATAACTGCATTAATATTAAAAAACACCCAATTCTAAATTCATTTATTTAACCTTAAAGGCATTTTATACTGGTAAAACATTATTATACAGATATAGGCTTATTATGAATTTAATTATGCAAATTTAATCACCCATTTTACTTTGTAGGAATTATATATGCCTTAACATTTTCATTCCTCAGAAATAATAAAATTACAATTAAAATAGTTTTTACTGAAAATTCAAATACAGCTTTTTGGTCAGTGAGTATTTATGGCTTAATGTCACAGGCAAAAACAAAAGGAAGAAAACTGTAACCATTTTTAGTAGAAACTACTTTCTATTTTGGCTTAGTGAAAGATGGGAGTCACTCTACCTCACAAAGCAGTAAGTCAATGATGTGGAACACCATGCAGAGTGGGAACTTGGCAGTAAAAAGAGTGAGAAACCACTGGGATGCATACATATGAGCTTCCAGGTTCAGATCAGAAAAATGGCTATGCAGGTCCGGTAGCTGTTCCTAAAAGTCAAAGTGGAAAATTTAGGAGCAATGAGAAGCTTGCAGCAGAACAATGAAGTTCCTGCCACAACTGCAACTTACAAACAGCTTTCTATGATCGCTGTAACTCTATTCTAGTATTGGTTGTCTTGTATAACTGCACAGAAGTGATGACAGCAGATGAGAATTAGGGATATGACAGATAATTGAGGAAAATAAAAACAGACTTATTATAAACAACTAAGAAAGACCATCTCTTGCTCACTTGACTGTTCTTGATTCTTGCAAAATTCTCATTCTACCAGAGCATCTGTAGTGTAATGAGTATCTTGACTCCAGGGTCAAGTCATAGCATCCCCATTCAGGGTTAAATTTTTTTTTTTTTTTTTTGAGATAAGAGTCTTGCTCTGTCATCCAGGCTGGAGTACAGTGGCATGATCCTGGCTCACTGCAACCTCCGCCTCCCAGGTTCAAGCCATTTTCCTGCCTCAGCCTTCCAAGTAGCTGAGATTATAGGCACCCTCCACCAGGCCCGATTATTTTTTGTATTTTTTACTAGAGACAGTGTTTCACCATATTAGCCTGGCTGGTCTCGAACTCCTGACCTCAAGTGATCTGCCCGACTTGGCCTCCCAAAGTGCTGGGATTACAGGTGTGAGCCACTGTACCCAGCCCAGGGTTCAATTCTTAACTAGCTAGAAAAGAAATGTATCTTCTCTTTGGAAATCATCTAATCTGGGGTCTATGATGTTTCAGTATATTTTTTGAACACTTAGAAAATTCTAAGCCACGACAAACTATTTAGAAATCTGTCTTCAGCATATTAAAAATGGCAAAGCAAAGAAATTATGCAAAGGTATAATATATAAAATTGGATATCTTCTAAAAATGCCTTTATGGTAACTTTATTTTTTTCTCCCAATTTAAACAAGCAAATGGTTTTCAAAAGCATGAACAGCAAGGTACAAAGTATTAGCATAGCTATTACCATAACTGAAAGACAAAGGCCACCTTCATTTTGTTTTCCTAAATAGACCACAAAAAGAAGAATAAAAAACAAAATAAGCCATTTCTTGAACTACATGCTCTCTTTGAAAAATAGCCAAATGTGCCCATTAGGTACTTCAAATGGAACGTCCAAATGCTCATTCAGTTAACTGAAAAAAAACTGCTAACAGAAAAATGTGGTTGAGGTTCTTCATAGTACCACACATCTGTTATTTATTAGGTATATTTACTTGATTCTCAAAGCCCTTAGGAATACTGACCTTTGAAAATATATGAATTTTTTGGTAAATAAAAGGCAAAAAGCGAGTAATCCCAAATATTTACTTGGTAGAATTAAATCGTTAAAAAGGAGCTTATTGCTGTTAATATCCATATTTACCAGATTCTTCTACATAGTCTTTTTCCTCCTTAATGCCCATTTGTCATTGTACTTATGGCTCGTTTTACATCCCTGCCTCCTTTTATTTCTTTTCAATTTTAAAGTCTTCTACCCTCCTACATTCCCTTCTCCCAATAAATTGTTCCTTTAACCTCACTGCAAATTCATCCTCTACTGCCCTGTTCTTCTAATCTCTCAGTCTCCTACTGGCTTCACTTCCCTCTTTAGACACCTACGGATCCCCTGGCAGTTCATATCAATGAGCTCCTACTAGCATCTTCTGCTCTCACATTCCACGAACCTCCTTCCTCAACCATTTTACCCTTCCCCAATATGGAATCAATCCATCCATGTATCTCCTTCACATTTCTCTTGGATTCCCAAAACCCCTTTTAAACAAAGTCACATAAACATGCCACAAAAACCCATTATAAATTTAAGATTATCAACTTCAGGTAGAACTCCAAAGCTAGTTAAAAATTCCTTTTGTCAGCTCTGGTCAATCACTTTGCCTGTGGTCACAATCTTTTTTACTGTGTAATATTTGGTATATATAAAAGGATGCATGTTTCTCACACACATTTATAAATACGCATTGTAAAGCACAACAACAACATTGAGATTAGGAATTATATTTAAAAATTTTTAAATGTATCCCTACAGTATTTTAGTATGTTTTATTCTCTTATGAATATCTTTCTGGCTTTTCCAAGTGTTCTACGTGGACTCAAATAAGGAAGTGGTGCTAATTAGTATGCAGAAAGCTCTTAGGTATTTCAATTTTTACTCTGTAAATATCTCCATTCCTCTACAAACAATACTTGGCAATCTCTTAATGATTAAACTCATTAGATTCTCACTTCAAAGTATATTTAACTTGAACATTTAAAATGTGAGATATTTTTAAAATAGTAAAATGGCTAAATAAACATATTATGATAGACCAATGTAGATATTGGTCTGAAACTAAATCCATGTACATTTTCTATAATATTCCATTAAACTTCT